>NC_000015.10:34792025-35095055 GCF_000001405.40 Homo sapiens | reverse complement strand
AATAAGTTAAAAGATGACATCGAGAGATTTTAAGCAGAGGTGATTTCATTTTTTTCCTCTCACTAGTTATATGGTTAGCTCCTTCATGTGCTGATTTGTTATACCACATAGGGCTGGCTCACAGTCCTTGCCAGCCTTCTGAAATCTTGATAGTTTCAGAAATGCACTGTCTCCTGGGAATGTATAAGAAAGGAGCTGTGAGCTCCTCTCCTTCAAGGACACTCTCTTCAATCCATTATCTCCTGCCTGTGTGCGATAGTCTAGTCTATCAAAACACAGTGATTGAATAAAACTTTTATTTCAGATAATGAATGCATTGATTTAATAAAGGATTTGTACTACATAGTATTATAGTTCCCTAAATGAACACTGAAATCCTAAAATGGGAAAACTTACCATTGGTCCAAGTTAAATCATAGGCACTTCTTTTACTGGAAACCCTAATAAGATAACAACCCATTTGATACTTAAAACAAAAAAATGTGTTATATAAGTACTTAACATTTTCTAGCTATTTTTAAGCCGCCTGTTTTTCCTATCATAAGTACATCTGGCATCAGGCAAACAGATTACAGCCATGGACATCTGACTAATTTATAATATTTTTATATTTTCATATTTTTGGCAGACTAATCCATTAACCTAGCTTTCAAAGATGAATCTTGAAATCTTGCACTCTTGCAACCTTTTTACCTTTTTCTCTTCCAAACCCTAGAATATTTTTGGCAAGTCCTAAAACTTAATTGAAAAACAGAGTCAGGGAGACAGAAATGAACCCTTATGTTCTGTCCATCTAGTGCCCCTTCCAGAGCTAACTTCTAAAAGGAATTATGAATCTGTTGTACACAATGTTGATTTTGAAAGATCTTTGTACTTTCAATCATTCTTCCTTCCTTCAGTTTACTAGGCACATTGGCACTTGTGTTAGCATCCTATTTTGAGAATTGCATTTTGTCTAAATGTAATGGGAGTTTAATAACTTAAGCCTGGCAGGAGAAGAATCAGTTGCTTGCCTTTGCAAAAGACATTTGAAGGTTTGAGCCATAAGGAATGGAAGCAAGACTGTGGTAGCTCTGTTTCCGCATCTTGAGTTAGAGAGGTCAAGTCTACTTATCTCCTCAGAGCTTTTTTTAAATTCTAGATTTAGTGGGTATAAAGACAGTTTTGTTACATGGATATATTGCATAGTGATGAGGTCTGGGCTTTTAGCATAGCCATCATCCGAATAGTGTACCTTGTACATACTAAGCAATTTCTGGTCCCTCACTCTCCTCCCACCCTCCCACCACTCAGAGCATCTTTTTGATCTGGCATCAAAAGGTGAGCCATCCCTCCACTATTTATGGAGGGTTGTTGTTGTTTTTTGTTTTTTGTTTTTTTTTGAGACAGAGTCTCTCTTTGTCGCCCAGGCTGGAGTGCAGTGGTGTGATCTTGGCTCACTGCAACCTCCGCCTCCCAGGTTCAAGCGATTCTCCTGCCTCAGCCTCTTGAGTAGCTGGGACTACAGGCGTGTGCCACCACGCCCAGCTAATTTTTTGTATTTTTAGTAGAGACGGGGTTTCACCGTGTTAGCCAGAATAGTCTCCATCTCCTGACCTTGTGATCCGCCCGCCTCGGCCTCCCAAAGTGCTGGGATTACAGGCGTGAGGCACCGCGCCCGACCTATTTATGGAGAATCTTTTTTTTTTTAACTGTTATCACTACAAATTTTGTTCAGAAACCGATCTTTGTGTTTTTGTTGTTGTTGTTGTTGTTGTTGTTGTTTAAAAAAATCCCCTTATGAACTGGTTTGGTCAATCAACTACAACACTTTCTAGCAGACGTAAGGTAAAAATGGCATGGCTCAGAATCGCCCAGATCTTTCACGATCTCTCAACCGCCTCCTGTCACGCTCCCGTCCGCCGCCGCCGCCTGGGCCACCGCCACCGCCACCGCCACCGCCATCGCCATGACCACGGTCTCCAGACCGAGAATGACGCTCCCGGGATCGGGATCTTGATCTATGCTTCTTGCGACGCTGCCCACACAGCTCCCGCCGCAGCTCTCTGGAAATGGGCTTCAAATGCATGAAGTTGCAGAAGCCGCCTCGTGTGCATTCTCCCATCTCATACTGACGGCAGCAGGCTCCCCTGAAGTCCGTCACAGGTGACAGCTCGGCGTGGATCGGCTGTCCGTTAAACCAACGGTTGTTCAAGTCAATCACAGCCTTTTCCGCATCTTCCTCACGGGGAAGCTTGAAGTACACGTTCCCCACCAGGTGGTCTCCCAGGTTGTCACAGACATTCATCTCCTCAACTTCCCCATACTTCTCCCCCAGTTCTATAAAAACCTCCTCAAAAAATTCATCAGAGTGTTCCTGCACCTCAACATCGCTCAGGGCACAGCGCAAACCGTCGGCCGACTGGGAAGCGTTTTGAGGGTTACAGTAAATGTTCAAGAGGGCAATGGTCTGGCTAAACGTCGGTTTATGGTGCAACCAAGAGCACCTGTCTCCATGAAGACATGCTCCAATTTTGAAATCAAATGAACAGTTGACTTTCTCGGTGCCAAAGATGGAGGCTGGACACTCCGCCATTTCCCACCCGCCGCCGCCCCTGCTGACGCCCGCGGGAGACCTGTGGAGAATCTTAACTGCTGGATTGAATATGTCATATTCTTCCTTTAAAAATCCACCAAAGGCCCCGAAGTAATGGACGTGTTTTTAATCAATCTAATACATAAATCATGCATCAGATATACTTCAAAACAGAGCAGCTAGCAGAACACCTTGAAAGATTCATTAGAATATTTTTTTTTTTTTTACAGACATGCAACTAAGTTAAATAAATGTGTGTCAACTCAAAACTGAGATGAGAAACGGCAGGGTGCTTCATAGATTGAGACTCAAGAACATGGGAATTCTAATCTTGTCTCTGTTACTGACTGGTTTAATGACTTTAGTAATGTTTATGACATATTTCTAACTACTCTTCCTTTGGCCAAAACCCAGAACAACGTGTAATAGAGCATTTTGAGCTTCTAAGAAAATGGCCCTATTTCAGTTGACAGCAGTAAAGCATTGTATTTATAAATGTGGAGTTAGCTTGGATTCAAATCCTGGTCCCACCACAGCTTGCTACTTAACCTCGGGTTAATCCCCTACTGAAGAGCATTAGGTGGTCTTTTGCTATTGTATATAATACTACAATGGGCAACTTTTTACATATACATATATTTATGCATTTAAATAATTTTAAATATGTATATATACACACACACACACACACACACACATATATATATATATATACACACACACACATACCCAAAAGTAGACTTCTTCAATCTAAGATTAGGTAAATTTTATTTTATGTTATTTTATTTTATTTATGTTTATTTCGAGATAGAGTCTCGCTCTGTTGCCCAGGCTGGAGTGCAGCGGCACGAGCTCAGCTCACTGCAACTCCACCTCCAGGGTTCAAGCAATTCTCCCTGCCTCAGCCTTCCGAGTAGCTGGGATTACAGGCACCTGTCACCACGCCTAGCTGATTTTTGTATTTTTTAGTAGAGATGGGCTTTCACCATGTTGGCCAGGATGGTCTTGAACTCCTTACCTCAGGTGATCCACCCACCTAGGCCTCTCAAAATGCTGGGATTACAAGCGTGCACCACCACACCTGGCCAGATTAGGTGAATTTTAAATTTTCATATATATTGCTAAATAGCCCTCCAAAGTCATTATACCAGATTTGTACTCCCACCAGCTGTGTATATAGGTTCCTAGTTCCCTATACCTTTCCCCACACTGTTAACTGGCAATTTTAATGTTTAAAATTTTTCATCAGTCTCAGAGTGGAAAGACAGAATCTCATTTTTTATTTTCTCACCTTTAATTTTAAGTAAAGATTGGCATCTTTCCATATTTTAGTAGCTATTTATTAAGTATAAAGATCCCATTCCCAATTTTCTGTTAGGTATTTTGTCTTTTGCTTATTGGTTTGCAAAGCTCTCAGTTATTAAGATCTTTGTGAAACAGAAGATTTGGAAAGCAATTTTGATTAACTTCAATCATGAAGGATAGTTTATAAATTTGAAAACTTTATTGCACTTGGCATTACTGCCTGAGAAAGAGCAAAACCTCCCCAGACATGAACAGTGAAAATCCTTAGCTATGTATTACCAGAGTTATTACCATAATAATCATTGAAATAATTTATATTATATGTAAAGAAAAATGCAAAGAGGGGCCAGGCACAGTGGCTCACGCCTGTAATCCAAGCACTTTGGGAAGCAGAGGCAGGTGGAGTGCTTCAGTCCAGGAGTTTGAGACCAGCCTGGGCCACATGTTGAAAACCCATCTCTACCAAAAATACAGAAAAATTAGCTGGGCATGGTGGCACACATCTGTAGTCCCAGCTACTCAGGAGGCTGAGTTGGGAGGATCACCTGAGCCCAGGGAGGTTGAGGCTGCAGTGAGCCATGATTGCACCATTGCACTCCAGCCTGGGCAACAGAGTGAGACTCCATCTCAAAAGAAAAGTAAGAAAGAAAAATATCAGTAAATCTAAGATGTGATCCCTGCCTTTAAAAAGTTTATAGTAAAAGACATAGAACACATTCACATGAAATGCTGAGACAACACAAGGAACTAGTGATGCAGGTCATAAACGCTACAGCCTACCTCCAGTTGGAGTGATTAAAGAATGTTACTTAAAAGAAAACACATGTTTGAATAGGCAGAAAGGTTCAGAAGAACAAAGGTATGAATCAAGTGAGAGAGACAGTAAATAGACAAAGGTAAATGGATTAGAGGCTTGTATGGGGGACAGGGGAAAAGTTCAGCCATGGAAAGGTAGATTGGGGTCAAATTACTGAAGGCCTTGGCTGTCTGATTTAGCTTGCATTTTATGGTGAAGGAGCAACAATGTTTTCAAGACTATTGACCTAATAAAATGAGCTTTTAATGATAATTTTGCCATGTGAATAATAAAGGATGAATAAAAAATATTGTGCTGGGAAAGGGAATAACTAATATATTCATACTTTCTATGGGAGAAAATCAACTAGTTTAAAGGAAAAGGAGCATGTATTTTCTTCAATTTATAGTACATAAAGCTTCTATAGAACTGATGCTGTATAATGATGCCAAGAAAATAAGACTGATTCAAACCCAGATTTTTTTTTTGTATATAGTGAACATTTCAATACAGTGCCTTTTTATAAACCTGTGATTCAACTTTCATATTCCTCCACTCACTCATTCTGAAGATCGTAAGCCTTTCCTTGTTGGATCTGGAATTCATACCAATTTTCTTACAGACCTGGAAATTCCAAACATACTATTGTCGTTACACCTCATCTGTCATCCTAGGGAATGCCTTAATTTATTCTTGTAATTTGGAGAAATGAGGTGATGGTAGAAAGAGCTCAGAATAATGGAAAGAAGGTGTTGGCTTCACAGAACTAGCAATTCCTTTCTTAGTTCCTTAGTTCATTTCCTTTACATGTTGGTAAGGGTTAGTTATTAATGGAAGCCCCCTATACTACAACATGCAGCATTCACTCAACAAGTATTTACTGAGCATATACAATGTGCCATATACTGAGCCAAGCACTAAGGACAGTGTTTAAAAAATAGAGCTAGTCCTTGCTCTTATGAAGCCTACAACCTGATGGGACAAATATAAACAAGTCCACATCCTACTGCTGCTTCTCACATGTGACAAGAAGCTGGGCTTTTCACTTGAAAGTTACCTACATGAACAATATAACTTTGTTTGCCCCATCTTCGGTTTACTTCATGTACTCCTATGCTTACATGTCTTTGCATACTGAAGTATTTAATCCACTTCTGATGGATATAAGAGGATAGAAGGAATTAAAATAATAAATACTGGCAAGCTTGCTGTAAAATGCCAGATGTGCAAACGGTTATGGAAATCACCAAACAGTAAAACACGGAGTCAATCTGTAGCACTGAAGAGATGCCATAGCTGCATTGGCAAAGATATACTTTCTAAAGTGAATAATAAGTACTAGATTGATGGCCCAGAGGGTAGGTACTATAGGAACTTAGAAAAGGAAGCATTACTTCCTGAAGGTGTGGGCTTTGTACAGTGCCTCAAAGGATGGGTTGCATATGAATGGGTAGAGGAGATAGATTGTGTCATAGGGGAGGCTGAGTTAGTGACAGCCAAGGAGAGAAACCCAACGCAAACTGACTTGTGCAGAAAGAGTGGTCCTAGGGCTTCAGGCATGGCTAGAGCCATGGGGTCCTAAAATTTCAGTTGATTCCTCTTTCTCCCTTCATCACCTGGCTCTGCTTTCCTCTACACTGGTTTCAGTCTCAGCCTGACTGCACACAGGTAGCCCCTTGCATCTTCTGGCTTACATCCTACTCCCTAACTACCCCAACACAAAAGATAAGCTCTCTTTCTCAACAGTTCTAAAAACACTCCTGTGATCCCCTGATTGGACCAATTTATATCACTTTCCTATCCCTGAGGCAATCACTGTAGCTGGGAGGACAGAATTCATTGATTGGCCAGGTCTGGGCTATGTGCCCACCCGTAGAACAGAGGCAGGTGAGGTCAGCTCCATCTAAGCCATGTCAGAACAAGATCAGCTCCCCAGAGAAAAAAACTGTAATGAGGTCACCAGAAAAATAACAACTACAACAATCATCATCATTGCAAACACTCTAAAATAAAGAACTCACTATGTACCAGGTACTATTCTAAATAACTTTTACATATTACTTATTTGCTCTTAATACCTCTGTGAGGTAGATAATCGTATTATCCCCATTTTCAACTGAGACATGGACCAGTAAATGGCAGACCAGAGAGTTAATCCAGGCCATCCCACTGCCAAGTCCATGGTCTTATCCACTGTGTTTACACTAAAATTGACTTCTCTACACTCGGAAAAGAACTAGCTAACTAGTTCAAACTAACTAGCACTCAGACTCAGAAATGAGCAAAGTATATTTGGAGAACAATGAGAAGGCCAGCAATTCAGAAAGATGGAAATTTTAGTCTCTTCTGATGGCCAGGAAAACCATATCCAGAAAGCTGGTAGACAGCTAGTGCTTATCTTCACCAGGTGGTGAAGTTTTGATCAGACCCAGGAAACCACCAGCTGAACTTCCAGGGAGAACAAAACAGTCACCGCAGAAACCTGAATCATTCCCCAAAGGCCACCCCAGTCCAATCCTCTTGACAGCTTATGGTTTGCACTTTTACACAATTTACCAGGAACTGATTTTATAGCGATGCCTGATCCTCTTTTTCTCTCCTGCTTTGAAACATCATTCATGGAACATATATAAATCTTAGTTAAAACTAACAATGCATTTAAAAACACACACACAATCAAACGATTGCCGGTTTGGCATTGAGAAGCAGCAGACCCAGGCTTGAGCCTGTTTACTGTGCATTTCCTGATACAGAGAAAAGCAAGTACAGTTGAGAAAACACCACAAAGCATTATATAGCAACAGCTCGTGTGCTTCAGAAGAGAAATGGATACATTAGGAAAAGTTTTTTTCCCTTTGATGTAGAATATGCTATCTTTTTAAATGGGAGTTAACTTAACATAAATAAAATTCAGCCCGTAGGCTTCAGAAAACTAATGTTGTATTTGACAGTGTCATTTCTGTGATCCTGAAAGCATTTGGGGAGTTAACTTGGGCCTTCATCATGACTTTCCTTCATGGCATGGAAAGCACATTATTTTTTTAAACTCTGTTTTATTGATTTCCCCTTACTTTCTCCCACATGTTCCCTTTGCCAGCGGTTATCTCTGCCCCTTCTGCTCTCCCACATGCTGTGAGGGCAGGTGGGGTTTCTCCTGTGTCTTTGCCTGCAGGTGGTCCAAGCGCCGCTGCCCTCTTGCTCCATCCTTGTTTGAAAACCTCTTCCTGTATGGTCTTTGAAAAGAAGATAAGCCAAAGGCCCTGGACCTACCTTCAAGAAGAGATCAGAAAAAGCCTTCTGTTCCTACGCTGAACCATTTGCAGAATGTGCAATTTGCAGTTAGCATTTTTTTTTTTTAGAGACGGGTCTTGCTATGTTGCCCAGGCTGGTCTCGAACTCCTGAGCTCAAGCAATCTGCCCTCCTCAGCCTCCCAAAGGGCTAGGATTACAGGTGTGGGCCACCACGCCCAGCTTGCAGTTAATACATTTTTAGTTGAACTTGGAGATGTTCCCCCTCCTTTCAGGACACAGAGTGTATGAGCCTGGTAGATGGACAAAACTGTTTTGTTTGCTTTTGTGCTTTTTATTTCCATAAAAGAGCCCTGAATAGTCAAATACCAGGTGATTTGACACCCCCACCACCCAACCGCCATCCAAGATTTGGAAGTCTTTTTTCTTTAAACAAAATTAATAGGCCGGGTGTGGTGGCTCACACCTGTAATCCCAGCACTTTGGGAGGCCGAAGTGGGTGGACCACCTGAAGTCAGGAGTTCGAGACCAGCTTGGCCAACATGGCAAAACCCCATCTCTACTAAAAATACAAAAAATTAGCCGCTTGTGGTGGTGGACGCCTGTAATACCAGCTACTCGGGAGCGTGAGGCAGGAGAATCACTTGAACCCAGGAGGCAGAGGTTGCAGTGAGCTGAGGTCGCGTCATTGCACTCCAGCATGCGCAACAAGAGCAAAACTCCATCTCAAAAAAAAATAATTTTATGTAAATGCATATGTAGAAACTTGAAATACAGTGTGCTTTGCAACGTGGGACGAAACATTGGTAACAAGTATTTTTTACCATAAGTGTCCATTTTGACCATTTTTAGTGTTTTAGGAATTGCTTTTGAAACTGATTATATTTGAAACATATAAGACTACAATTGGAGAATCCTTGATATTAAAAAGTTGCCATGATTAAAAAGTCTTTCAGAATTTCTTGGTTAGTAAGATTTGGAAGCTTATAGCTTCTAGAGTTTGTTTTTAGAACAAGAGGTATGTTTGTGTGAAAGTGAGATGGGAACTCATGAAATGAATGCAAAATTGTGTGCACATATGCATATGGTTGTGTTCTGGAGAAAGCCTTGGTAGCTTTTAATCAATTCTCAAGAGGGTTCATGACACAAAGAATTCCCAATTTGCCTGTCTCGCTTTCCTTCCCACACCCACCCTCCCTTATCAGTAGTAACTAGCTTGCTCTCTCTTGCCAGCTGCCTATTTATCCCTTCCCAGATGAATTGTCCTTCTTGTTTTCTGACCAAGCAAAGCTGAGCAAGGAGAACTCAGGAGCTGGTGCCCAGGTGGGGGCGTCAGGTAGATGGCAAGACTGCTGGGAGCGCCGCAGTGAGTGCCCTCTGGGTGAGCTGTTAGGAAGGCAGACAGCTTCCCCTGCCCAACACTGACCAGGAAACGTGGGCAGTCCAAGATGCCACTCTGCAGTCAAACTTCTATTACATTGAGGATAAGTTGAAAGAGAGTGTCAAGGGGAAAATGGAATTGGGTAGTGGCTTTCCACCGTTACCTGTTTTTGTCCAGTTATATTTTCTTTTTTTTTTTTTTTTAGTATTTATTGATCATTCTTGGGTGTTTCTCAGAGAGGGGGATGTGGCAGGGTCATAGAATAATAGTGGAGAGAAGGTCAGTAGATAAACACGTGAACAAAGGTCTCTGGCTTTCCTAGGCAGAGGTCCCTGCGGCCTTCAGCAGTGTTTGTGTCCCTGGGTACTTGAGATTAGGGAGTGGTGATGACTCTTAACCAGCATGCTGCCTTCAAGCATCTGTTTAACAAAGCACATCTTGCCAGGATTTTAACGTTCTGCTGGACTGAGCTGGTTGCCTCATGTTATTATGCAGGCAACTCACTTTATCCCAATTTCTTGATACTTTTCCTTCTGGAGGTCCTATTTCTCTAACATCTTCCAGAAAAGTCTTAAAGCTGCCTTAACCTTTTTTCCAGTCCACCTCTTAAATTTTTTCCTCCTCTTCCTCTATACTAACATGAGTGTGGATCCAGCTTGTCCCCAAAGCTTGCCTTGCTTTGAAGAATCCGACTGTAAAGAATCTTCACCTATGCCTGTGATTTGTGGGCCTGAAGAAAACTATCCATCCTTGCAAATGTCTTCTGCTGAGATGCCTCACACAGAGACTGTCTCTCCTCTTCCTTCCTCCATGGATCTGCTTATTCAGGACAGCCCTGATTCTTCCACCAGTCCCAAAGGCAAACAACCCACTTCTGCAGAGAATAGTGTCGCAAAAAAGGAAGACAAGGTCCCGGTCAAGAAACAGAAGACCAGAACTGTGTTCTCTTCCACCCAGCTGTGTGTACTCAATGATAGATTTCAGAGACAGAAATACCTCAGCCTCCAGCAGATGCAAGAACTCTCCAACATCCTGAACCTCAGCTACAAACAGGTGAAGACCTGGTTCCAGAACCAGAGAATGAAATCTAAGAGGTGGCAGAAAAACAACTGGCCGAAGAATAGCAATGGTGTGACGCAGAAGGCCTCAGCACCTACCTACCCCAGCCTCTACTCTTCCTACCACCAGGGATGCCTGGTGAACCCGACTGGGAACCTTCCAATGTGGAGCAACCAGACCTGGAACAATTCAACCTGGAGCAACCAGACCCAGAACATCCAGTCCTGGAGCAACCACTCCTGGAACACTCAGACCTGGTGCACCCAATCCTGGAACAATCAGGCCTGGAACAGTCCCTTCTATAACTGTGGAGAGGAATCTCTGCAGTCCTGCATGCACTTCCAGCCAAATTCTCCTGCCAGTGACTTGGAGGCTGCCTTGGAAGCTGCTGGGGAAGGCCTTAATGTAATACAGCAGACCACTAGGTATTTTAGTACTCCACAAACCATGGATTTATTCCTAAACTACTCCATGAACATGCAACCTGAAGACGTGTGAAGATGAGTGAAACTGATATTACTCAATTTCAGTCTGGACACTGGCTGAATCCTTCCTCTCCCCTCCTCCCATCCTTCATAGGATTTTTCTTGTTTGGAAACCACGTGTTCTGGTTTCCATGATGCCCATCCAGTCAATCTCATGGAGGGTGGAGTATGGTTGGAGCCTAATCAGCGAGGTTTCTTTTTTTTTTTTTTTTTCCTATTGGATCTTCCTGGAGAAAATACTTTTTTTTTTTTTTTTTTTTGAGACGGAGTCTTGCTCTGTCGCCCAGGCTGGAGTGCAGTGGCGCGGTCTTGGCTCACTGCAAGCTCCGTCTGCCGGGTTCACGCCATTCTCCTGCCTCAGCCTCCCGAGCAGCTGGGACTACAGGCGCCCGCCACCTCGCCCGGCTAATATTTTGTATTTTTAGTAGAGACGGGGTTTCACTGTGTTAGCCAGGATGGTCTCGATCTCCTGACCTTGTGATCCGCCCGCCTCGGCCTCCCTAACAGCTGGGATTTACAGGCGTGAGCCACCGCGCCCTGCCTAGAAAAGACATTTTAATAACCTTGGCTGCCGTCTCTGGCTATAGATAAGTAGATCTAATACGAGTTTGGATATCTTTAGGGTTTAGAATCTAACCTCAAGAATAAGAAATACAAGTACAAATTGGTGATGAAGATGTATTCGTATTGTTTGGGATTGGGAGGCTTTGCTTATTTTTTAAAAACTATTGAGGTAAAGGGTTAAGCTGTAACATACTTAATTGATTTCTTACCGTTTTTGGCTCTGTTTTGCTATATCCCCTAATTTGTTGGTTGTGCTAATCTTTGTAGAAAGAGGTCTCGTATTTGCTGCATCGTAATGACATGAGTACTACTTTAGTTGGTTTAAGTTCAAATGAATGAAACAACTATTTTTCCTTTAGTTGATTTTACCCTGATTTCACCGAGTGTTTCAATGAGTAAATATACAGCTTAAACATAAAAAAAAAAAAAAAAAAAAAAAAAACAAAGCACATCTTGCACCGGCCTTAATCCATTTAACCCTGAGTTGACACAGCACATGTTTCAGAGAGCATGGGGTTGGGGGTAAGGTTAAAGATTAACAGCATCCCAAGGCAGAAGAATTTTTCTTAGTACAGAACAAAATGGTGTCTCCTATGTCAACTTCTTTCTACACAGACACAGTAACAATCTGATCTTTCTTTTCCCATTTCCCCCTTTTCTTTCCGACAAAACTGCCATCGTCATCATGGCCCGTTCTTGATGGTCACTGTCTCTTCAGAGCTGTTGGGTACACTTCCCAGACAGGGCGGCCTGGCAGAGGCGCTCCTCACTTCCCAGACGGAGGGGCCGGGCACAGGTGCACCTCCCTTCCCAGATGGGGTAGCGTCTGGGCAGAGGCGCTCCTCACCTCCCACACGAGGTGGCGGCCGGGCAGAGGTGCTCCTCAAATCCCAGATGATGGGCAGCCGGGCAGAGGCGCCCCCCACCTCCCAGACGGGGCGGCCGGGCAGAGGCGACCCCCACTTCCCAGACGGGGTGGCCAGGCAGAGGCGCTCCTCCCCTCCCAGACGATGGGTGGCTGGGCAGAGGCGCTCCCCACCTCCCAGACGGGGCGGCCGGGCAGAGGCGCTCCTCACCTCCCAGACAGGGTGGCCAGGCAGAGACGCCCCTCACCTCCAAGATGGGGCAGCCAGGCAGAGGCGCCCACTTCCCAGACGGGGCGGCCGGGCAGAGGCACTCCCCACCTCCCAAACGAAGGACAGCCAGGCAGAGGCGCTCCTCACTTCCCAGGTGGGGTGGCTGGGCAGAGACGCCCCTCACCTCCCAGATGGGGTGGCCGGGCAGAGGCGCCCACTTCCCAGATGGGACAGCCGGACAGAGGCGCTCCCCACCTCCCAGACGAAGGGCGGCCGGGCAGAGGCGCTCCTCACCTCCCAGAAGGGGCGGCCTGGCAGAGGCGCAACTCACTTCCCAGACGGGGTGGCAGCCGGGCAGAGGCGCTCCTCACCTCCCAGATGGGGTGGCGGCCGGGCAGAGGTGCTCCTCACATCCAAGACGATGGGCGGCCGGGCAGAGGCGCTCCCCACCTCCCAGACAGGGTGGCTGGGCAGAGATGCCCCTCACCTCCAAGATGGGGCGGCCGGGCAGAGGCGCTCCCGTCCTCCCAGACGAAGGGCAGCCGAGCAGAGGCGCTCTTCACTTCCCAGGCGGGGCAGCCGGGCAGAGACACCCCTTACCTCCCAGATGGGGTGGCCGGGCAGAGGTGCCCACTTCCCAGACAGGGCGGCCAGGCAGAGGCACTCCCCACCTCCCAGACGAAGGGCAGCCGGGCAGAGGCGCTCCTCACCTCCCAGGTGGGGCAGCCGGGCAGAGGCGCTCCTCACTTCCCAGACGGGGTGGCGGCCGGACAGAGATGCCCCTCACATCCCAGATGGGGCGGCTGGGCAGAGGCGCTCCTCACATCCCAGATGGGGCAGCCAGGCAGAGGCACTCCTCACATCCCAGACGATGGGCGGCCGGGCAGAGACACTCCTCACTTCCCAGACGGGGTGGCAGCCGGGCAGAGGCACTCCTCACTTCCTAGACGGGGTGGCCGGGCAGAGGGGCTCCCCACATCCCAGACGATGGGCGGCCAGGCAGAGACGCTCCCCACTTCCCAGACGGGGTGCCAGCCGGGCAGAGGCTGTAATCTTAGCACTTTGGGAGGCCAAGGGAGGCAGCGAACAATTTCCTAATGAAGTACTGGAAAAGACAACCTTTTTCTCCATTACTATTTGGAATTGTAGATCACATACATCACCTGTTCCAACACCACGAGTCGAATAAATAATGAATCTTTTTATAAAGAGTATCCGTCTTGGAGGGATAGTCCCGTTGTAGAGATGTTTCACTTGTGCAAAATATCCAACATATCTATTCTGACAAGGAGTTTCTACTCCCTGAAATTTATTGCTGTGGGTTTTATCTGTTCGCCTTTCTCCAAAATAATACAGGCTTTCCTCTGCAGTTAAAAATATTTCGGAGGCAATAAGGAGCGCACAAACCATAGTTCCGGTTCTTCCTTTCCACTGGAGATCCACGCAACCCGGGCAGAGGAAGAGATTGTTTCTCCCAAGCCTTGGAGCTCATTCGAGGAGAGACTTGGAGACTTTGTGAGGGAAAGACACAGGGAAACGCTGCCGGCATTTTCCCAAACCTGGACTGGGAGCAGGACAACACTGGGGGATCTTCCCTATCTGGTTCAACCCATCTTGTGCCCCCAATCCCCCTACCCCTACATTTTCTATTTGATGTTTTGGGGGAATTTTTTTATTTTTGCCGCTTTCCTTAGTTTCTGTCTCCATTACAACATCCTAACACTCTAATTGGCTTTGTATGGGACAAACAGGAAGTATTGCTTCTGGCAGGATGGGATTTTCTGTCCTGTTGATTGATGGATTAATTTTTATTGAGCACGGTGTGCTACCAGCGGAACCAAAAATCCAAGATACAATTCCAGCTCTAGGAGTCTATGTTCTAATAAAAGTAAGAACAACATATTCAAACATCCCTGTTTCTTTTTCTCGTCAGTTTCCCTTCTACTGAGACAACTACACAGATAATTTAGGACCCCAAAACATGCTATTAAAAAAGGACCTGACTGGACCAGACAGCTGGGTGGGGGCAGTGGTTTCATCTGAAGAGCTTCAGTCATCATATTGGCTGAGTGGCTGCTCGGTGCTGGACTTTAAAAGAGTTAAACATTTTTCCAGATTTTTTTGGTTACATTCTTATGTCAAGTTAGATTAAACAAAGTTACAGTCTTGAACTATGCAGTAGTTTAAACCCATACAGAAATCTCTTCACTAAAATACAACACAATACTATATGGCTCAATTTCATGAAGGGCTAACGATTTTATATAGTCATATTAAGAATGTTTCATTGTCTCTTCATGTCTGTGATATAAGGATCCAGATCATTTTTTTCATAAATTAGCATCCCCCCAAAGAAGTCTCCTTTCCCTAACTATTCTCTCTTAATCAAGCACCGAAAGCCAGGAAACCCAGGTAATAGATATTTTCCTATTTCCTCAGAGCAAATTTTCGTGCTCAAATGAAAAAACTGTTTCATCTTTGGATCAGTTACAATATTTCTGAACCACTATTTCCTCATCTATAAGATAAAGAATATTGGAGATGATCATTTTGTTTCCTTCCAGCTCTGAACCACCCCAACAGACACAAACTTTCTTGTGTGATTTCTGATTTCATTTGCAACCTTACTCAATTCCAGTAGAAGCTGCATAGGAGCAGGGTCTATGTCCATCTTGTTCAGGTATAGGCCTAGCTCCTAGCACATGAAAGTAGGGCAGTTAATATAATTTGAATGAATAAATTATGTTCCAAGCGATGTGTGTTTTTGATGTGTATTTTTGCTGTAGCATGCCTCAAATCTTTCTATGGAAGAAAGCAGGGTCCATATTATAAATTCCTACCTCTTTTGGAATATATTCTTACACCATATTTGAAATTCTTTCATTTGCTCTGCCTGTGTGGCTATGGCTAAAATTCTGTCATCCCTTTCTCCTCCTTTTTCTCTTGGTGAACCCATTATCTTGCATACTGTTTCATAAAAGGCCCCAACACATAGAACACAAGACTTCCACTCAGGAAGCGGGAGCTTGGGCTGCTGAGGAAGAAGGAAGCAAGGTCCTGGCGTCCACTGAGGCCAGGTCGGGCAGAGTAGGTCTCTGCTGGCCACCAACCTACCAGCAGACAGTCGATCTAACAACACATGGAAGGAACAACACTCCTTGCTCTCTAGGCTAAAAATGTGAACCCGTTCCCCCAAATAAGGGGTCTAATTCTAAAGAACTGGGAAAAAGGAACCCACTACTGCTCCAAAGGCTACCTAGACCCGGGGTTGTTGGCCACTGAGAGTCTCCAGCTGAGGGAAGGGTCAAAATACTTCCAACATGGTTAAATGTGCTGATTTTATTCTTAGCTAAAAAAAATCACAGATTTAGGCCGGGCGCGGTGCCTCACGCCTCTAATCCCAACACTTTGGGAGGCCAAGGCGGGTGGATCACGAGGTCAAAAGATCGAGACCATCCTGGCCAATATGGTGAAACCTCGTCTCTACTAAAAACACAAAACTTAGTTGGGCTTGGTGGCGCGCACCTGTAGTCCCAGCTACTCGGGAGGCTGAGGCAGGAGAATCGCTTGAACCCGGGAGGCAGAGGTTGCAATGAGCTGAGATTTCGCCACTGCACTCCAGCCTGGCAACAGAGCGAGACTCCGGAAACAAAAACAAAAACAAAAAAACAGAGATTTTTCTCTAAACCTAAGGCTTATCCAGAACACTGAGATTATGTGTGTGATAGGTAAACAGTAGGGAGTTAAGGGGTGGAATTATGGGGAGGGTAGGGGAGGAGCGGGAAATCAAGATGAGAGAAGAGATTTACCTGTGGCACCGATTTTCTCCCTCTAAATGTCAGCCTGCAGCGTGGGCCTTGTGGTGCATTTGATAGGCAATACTGCTCTCTAGTGGCCAAGCAGGATGAGCGCAAGCTTCAATTAAATCCCCTTAAAATTTAGGGCCATTTTTGTTATTTTGGATTGCACCTCCAGTTTTAAGAGTGCCTTCTTTTAAATATTAAGAAGAAAACAAAATAGTCATTTTACCCAAGTGCATAACTTCTTATAAAAGCATGCATGTGACTCTTCTCTCCCCTTCCTCACTGATTTTTCCTTGATGTCCCCTTGTACACAGGCACACTCTTTTGGGCCTTCCTAATAAACCACCCGGCCATGGGTCTTGGAGTCACCTGGGGAAGCTTAGAACTTGCTTTACACCTCAGGCTGTGGCTACTTGAGGACCCAGTAGGAAAGGCACAAGATGAAAAGTTGCCCTCACTGTTCCCTCGATGGGAAGACCCTTCCCTCACTCCCTCAGGAGGCTGGTTCCTCCCCAGGTTGCTCAGCCCAGAGGCCACCTGGCTAGAGCAGTCCCACTCCACTGACACCCTCCCTGAGTATCCACATCCAGCACATTATCATTCTATCGGCTTCATGCAGCTCATCACGCCTCAAAATTATCTTTTTGCTTATTTACTCATTTAATGTCTCTCTCTCCCCACACCCCATCACAATACAAGCTTTGTAACAGCAGAGACCTTGTCTATTTTTTTCACTTATATGTCTCCAAACACTAGAAATTTGGCATGTTCTTGGCACACAGTAGGCTCTAAATAAATTTTTTGAATAAATGATAGAGAATATTTAACTTCTAAGCTTTCTCTTCCAATAGCAATCTTTTTGTCTAACACCTTACCATCTCCAGCGTTAGAAAGGTGGGACATGACACTATGGGAAGCATTCCACTAGGGAACTATAAGGCGTGAAATCTCTGCCCATGCATCAGTAGAGGCAGCAGACTGGCATTGTAAATTCCCAGTACTGGGTTTAATTTAATTTTTAAAAGTCTAATTAGGCCCTGGCCCAGTGGCTCACGCCTGTCATCCCAGCACTTTGGGAGGCTGAAGTGAGAGGATCACCTGAAGTCGGGAGTTTGAGACCAGACTGACCAACATGGAGAAACCCCGTCTCTACTAAAAATACAAAATTAGCTGGGCGTGGTGGTGCATGCCTGTAATCCTAACTACTTGGGAGGCTGAGGCAGGAGAATCACTTAAACCTGGGAGGTGGAGTTTGCGGTAAGCCGAGATCATGCCATTGCATCCCAGCCTGGGGAACAAGAATGAAACTCTGTCTCAAAAAAAAAAAAAAAAAAAATCTGATTATATATGTTTCTCCTTGTCTACTCAGAAAAAAATCCTAGTGTATGTAGGTACAATCTTCTAAAACAATAGGAATATACAGAAGAGAAATAGAAAGGCACAGGATGATAAAAAAATTATCACAGTGTTGTGCATAATAAAATGCCAATTGGTAGTTTCATTTAACTTAATTGATTTAATAAACGACATAAACTTATGAGTACATATCGTTGTACCAGGAAAGTTTTACTGTACATTTTTTGGGTAATATCAGTATACGCTATGTCATAGTGACCACAATATCTGCCTCCATTTCTCAGTGTTTTTGACTTAGTCGCAGAACCATTTTAGAAGACCTGGTTTGATAGCCTACTTAGATCAGGGCTTCATTTTCTTTTTGTCTCCTTTATCATTCCTTTTTTTCCCATATGAAATATAAAATGGCATTCTAGTGGATAAAACAAAACAATTTTGAGCTCTTCTGGTTAAAGCCATGTTAGGGACCCGAAAACCTGCCCAGTGGGCTTCCTTTACCATTCTCCTCTCCCCTTCTACCCCCCTCTCATCATGAGAACCCCCAAGTTCCCTCTGTCAAGCCACAGGACTTCTGAACACAGATAGAAACCAACTGGCTGACTGTCCTATTCTACTGTCCTATTAAAATCCCAATATTTGAAATACTCTGCTATTCTATTATTCTGGTGACAGAGCAGAAATTAGCTTATTAAACAAGCTAATGTGTGACTTCTGTACCTGTGCTCAGTCAATAGACATTTGTGGAGTGTGTTCTCACTACGTGTCAGGCTCTGCTAAGTACAAGGAATACCTGTGAAATGGACAGGGCCTTTGCCTTCACGGAGGTCAGTGTAGTAAGAGATACTGATAGTACAATGTACCAAATATGACGATAGGGTGAACACAGAGGGGAACATAGAATATGTCCTGATCCACCCAGCAGGAGCGTGGTGGATCAGGGAAGGTTTGCTTGTTGGAGGTGGTGATATAGATATAGACCTGTGGAGAGCTTGGAGAGGAGTTTTCTAGCTAAGAGGATAACGTGTACCCACAGGCCCCGTGGTTCATCTGAGGGACTGGAAGGAGCTCTGTTTCAGTGGAACATGAAATGTATGGTGTCAGAACAGTGAGAGGAGAGAAAGATGAAGCTACAGAGGTGAGCAGAGTCCGCATCACAAAGAGTCTTGTAAGTCATTGCCAAGAGTCTGAAATTTAGCTGGAGGGCAATGTAAAGCTGTTGCAAGATTGTAATCAGGGAAATGATATGATAATTCAGCTGTAGTGTGAAAATGGCAGCAAGACTGATCAATGAGATCAATGTGGAGAATGTTGTAGTCATCGAGATGAGAGACGATTGTGGTCTGAATCAGAAAATGGCCATTGAGATGGAGAAGATGGATGGATTCAAGAGATATGTAAAAGCTGGAATCAGCAAGACTTCCTTGATTGAATATGGAGCATGAGGGTAGGGGAAAGGAAAGGATAATGCCCAAGTTTCTGGCTTGAGCCACTGAGTGGATGGTGATTCCTTCACCAATATAAGGGCATTAATATGGGTAGAAAGATAATGAGTTTTATTTTGGACATGTGGTGGGACATGTCTATAAGACAATTAAGTGGAAATAGAGTGCAGTTGTGTATAAGGATATGAAGATCAGAAAAACTATCGGCTAAAGATAAAGATTGAGGAGGCATTAGCATACATGGTAGGTGGTACTTGAAGACATGAAAATATATAAGATATCCAGAAGATTTTGTAGAGAAATAGAGGATCTAGAATAGAACCCTATAGGACAACCACATATGTAAGGGGTAAACAGAAGACAGGCCCCAAAGGAAACAGAGCAAAAAAGAAGAACAGAGGTAGAAAATAAATTCTTGGAAGCCAAAGGAAAAGGGTGTTTCAAGGAGATAGTTGTTGACTATGTTGAATTTTGCTGAGCAACAATGGAGAACTGTTCTTTGGATTTAGGAAGAAGGCAGTCATTAGTGACCTTGGTGAAAATAGTCTCAGTGGAAGTAATAAGAGTAGAAATCACATTGCTATAGGGTCAAAGGAAAGGGGGAACGTAGACACAATACTGCCAACAGTTCTTAGGAAGCTTGCTCTGAAAGGAAAGCAAGAGAGATGGTTGGCTGGGTACAGTGGCTCACGCTTATAATCCCAGTACTTTGGGAGGCTGAGGTGGGTGCATCACCTGAGGTCAGGAGTTTGAGACCAGCCTGGCCAACATGGCGAAACCCCGTCTCTACTAAAAATACACAAATTAGCTGGATGTGATGGCAGGTGCCTATAATCCCAGCTACTTGGGAGGCTGAAGCAGGAGGATTGCTTGAACCCTGGGGCGGGGTGAGCGGGGAGGTTGCAGTGAGCCAAGATCACGCCACTTCACTCCAGCCTGGGCGAAAGAGCGAGACTGTCTCAAAAAAAAAAAAGAGAGAGGTGTTGATAAAAGAACAGAAACGTGAGGTCAAAATAGGGTTTTTTGTTCTTTGTTTTTTTAATTCAAGAGACTTGAGTGTGTAGAAATATTTATGGAAAAGAGAGTGTTGTCATATTAATTTTACAGAACCTCAAAGAGGTTAAGCAGCTTCCCCTAAAGTCACACAACCAGCAGAGTTAGGATGCAAACCCAGGTCTGTCTGACTAAAGTAAATACAAACATAAAGAGTGTACAACTTGGCTCTAAGTACTGGCTTCTCAATAGAATTCACTAGATCAGAATCATATTCCAATTAGCACTAGTAGAAAAAATATATATATCATGTTTTCAGCCCTATTAAGAGACCAAGAAACTGAAGCTAAAAGTAAGCATCTGGCTTAAGCTTACACAGCTCACTATTGGCAAATCAGGTCCGGGGCGTTCACTGCTCTTAGTCTTCTTATATTCTACCTTTCATAGCATTTCCGCTTGGTTAAGGAGCCAATTTGGAGTTGGAGAACAAAGCATAAAGTATCTTAGTATAACAACTGATCGGATTAAGCTATTTAGATTTGCCATATACACGTCTGTATCACAGCAAGGGAAACTGCCAACAGAGTAAACAGACAACCTACAGAATGAGAGAAAATAGTTGCAAACTATGCAGCCAACAAAGGTTTAGTATGCAGAATCTATAAGGAACTTAAACAACTCAACAAGCAAAAACCACGTAACACCATTAAAAAGTGGGCAAAAGACATAAACAGAAACTTTTCAAAAGACATCCAAGAAGCCAACAAACATATGAAAAAACATTCAACATCACTAATCATCAGAGAAATGCAAATCAAAACCACAATGAGATATCATCTCAGCTGGGCACGGTGGCTCCCGCCTGTAATCCCAGCACTTTGGGAGGCCACAGCAGACAGATCATGAGGTCAGGAGTTTGAGACCAGCTTGGCCAACATGGTGAAACCCTGTCTCTACTAAAAATACAAAAAATTATCTGGGTGTGGTGACTCGCATCTGTAGTCCCAGCTTCTTGGGAGGCTGAGGCGGAAGAATCACTTGTACCCGGGAGGCGGAGGTTGCAGTGAGCAGAGATCGTGCCACTGCACTCCAACTTGGGCAACCGAGTGAGGGTTCCTCTCAAAAAAAAAAAAAGATATATCATCTGACCCATGACAGAATGGCTTGTAAAAGCCAGAAAATAACAGATGCTGGCGAGGCTGGAGAGAAAAAGAAGCACTTACATGCTATTGGTGGGAATGTAAAAGAGTTCAGCCACTGTGGAAAGCAGTTTTATTTCTCAAAGAACTTAAAACAGAACCACTACTCAACCCAGCAATGAGATTATATGCTCAAAGAAAAAAAAATCATTCTATGAAGAAGACACATGCACTCATACATTAATCATAGCACTATTCAGAACAGAAAAGACATGGAATCAACTAGGTACCCATCAACAATGGATTGGATAAAGAAAATGTGGTACATATACACCATGGAATACTATGCAGCCATAAAAAGAACAAAACCATGTCCTTTACAGCAACATGGATGTAGCTACAGGCCATTATGCTAAGCAAATTAGCAAAGGAACAGGAAACCAAATACTGCATCATGTTCTCACTTACAAGCAGGAACTAAACATTGGATACACAGGGACATAAAGATGAGAACAACAGGGCTGGGTGCAGTGGCTCATGCCTGTAATCCCAGCACTTTGGGAGGCCAGGGCAGACAGGTCACGTGAGGTCAGGAGTTCGAGACCAGCCTTGCCAACATGGGGAAACCCCCGTCTCTACTAAAAGTACAAAAATTAGTCTGGTGTGGTGGCACATGCCTGTAATCCCAGCTACTTGGGAGGCTGAGCTAGGAGAATGCTTGAACCCAGGAGGCAGAGATTGCAGTGAGCTAAGATCATGCCATTGAACTCCAGCCTGGGCAACAAGAGCGAAACTCCGTGTCAAAAAAAAGAAGAGAGAGAAAAACAGACACTGGGGACTACTAGAAGCAGGAGAGAGGAAGGAGGACAGGGGCTGAAACACTACCTATTGGGTACTATGCTCAGTACCCAATAGGCAGTGGAAGTAATAAGAGTAGAAGTTAAAGATCCTGGGTGATGGGGTCTTTCATACCTCAAACCTCAGTGTCATGTAATAAACTCATGTAACAAACCTGCACACATACCCCTTAAATCTAAAATAAAAGTTGATATTATATTTTTAAAAAGTTTTTAATCTACACATGGGATAAAATTTTATGATATTTCTCACACATACTCCCACACTTACAGTACATGTAAACACTAATGAAAATATGCAACTAAAATCTAACCCAGCAATTGCACTCCTGGACATTTATGCCAGAGAAAAGAAAACACAGTCACACAAAAACATGAATGCTCCTAGTGGCTGTATTTGTAACAGCAAAAAAAGTAATCAGCATCAATGTCCTTCAACAGGTGAATGGTTAAATAAACTGTGGCGCATACATACCATGAAATACTACTCTGTAATCAAAAGGAGGAAACAATTGATACACACAAGTTGGATGTATGTCCAGGGAATTTTGCTGGGTGAAAAAGAAAGCCCATTCCAAAAGATTACAGGCTATAGATTCCATTTACATAAAATGACAAACTTACAGAGATACACAGCAGATTAGTGGTTGCCACGGGTCGTATTGGGATGGGGGATCCGGAGGAAAGTAGGTGTGGTTATAAAAGGGCAAGAACTGTTCAATATCTTGATCGTATTGGTTGATACACGAATCTACATGGGTGATAAAATTGTGTAGAGCTTAATACAAACACAAACGAATAAAAGTAAAATTGTTGAAATACAAATAATGTCAGTGGATTGTATTGATGTCAATATCTTAGTTGCAATATACCATAGTTTAGCAAAATGGTAGCATTGGAGGATACTGGGCAAAGTGTACAAGGGACCTTTTTGTATTGTTTCTTACAACTGCATATCAAAATTATCTCAATAAAAATTGTAATAAAGGCCGGGCGCGGTGGCTCACACGCCTGTAATCCCAGCACTTTGGGAGGCCGAGGCGGGCGGATCACGAGGTCAGGTGATCAGGACCATCCTGGCTAACACCGTGAAACTCCGTCTCTACTAAAAAAAAACGTACAAAAAATTAGCTGGTCGTGGTGGCGGGCGCCTGTATCCCAGCTACTCGGGAGGCTGAGGCAGGAGAATGGCGTGAACCCAGGAGGTGGAGCTTGCAATGAGCCGAGATCGCGCCACTGCACTCCAGCCTAGACGACAGAGCAAGACTATGTCTCAAAAAAAAAAAATTGTAATAAAAAGAGAAAAAAAAATCCATGTCACTCTTTGTGAGCCCAAAGTGGTCTAAAAACTGCTCAGCATGCTAACATGTAAATTCTACTTATTTAAAGTAGAATTGTGACGGTATATACTAAGCCTATGTTATAGTTCTAGTAAAAAATAACAAAATCGGCAGTTTTTCAACTCAGTGTCTTTGACTTGGTTAAACAAATGTGTAATTATTGTCAAAATTTTCCTCAGGGAAATGAATATATCATTTTTGCACTTCTTGTATGGTTTACCAAAAAGTTGAGTAACTGCAGATTGCATAATTGAAGGAAGTTTTGAAAATGAAAGCTGTAGGTAGGTGAAGTGGCTCACGCCTGTAATCCCCGCACTTTGGGAGGCCGAGGCCGGCGGATGACCTGAGGTCAGGAGTTTGAGACCAGTCTGGCCAACAAGGCGAAACCCTGTAAATTAGCCAGGCATGGTGCCGTGCGCCTGTAATCCCAGCTACCCGGGAGGCTGAGGCCTGAGACTCGCTTGAACCCAGGGGGCGGAGCTTGGAGTAAGCCGAGATCGCACCCCTGCACTCCAGCCTGGGCAACAGAGCGACACTCCGTCTCAAAAAAAAAAAAAAAAAGAAATATAGAAATAATGTCTCCCTCCAGAGCAAAGGGCAGTCTGCTTACTGCCCATTATAAAAGATTCAGGTTTTTTAAGCTTAGAGTTCTTCTCCTAGAGCACAATCCACCATTTGCTGGCACCCCTTGAAACTTCAGGCCAGGGGAGCTGTACAAATGTACTCATGCTCATGCTGCTGGCTGAGCCATGAGTAATAATGTCCTTTGCCTCTGACCCAGAAGTCTACTGTCTTCTGCCAGCATCCAGAAGCTTGGAAATAGAGCAAAATCTCAGATCTATTACAGGTCTTCAAACCTTATACGATTTAAAGATTAAATGAGTTTGTTTGTTTGTTTGTTTGTTTATTGAGATGGAGTCTCACTCTGTCGCCCAGGCTGGAGTGCAGTGGCGTGATCTGGGCTCACTGCAACCTCCGCCTCCCAGGTTCAAGCGATTCTCCTGTCTCACCCTCCAGGATAACTGAGATTACAGGCACCCACCACCACACCCAGCTAAGTTTTTTTATTTTAGTAGAGACGGGGTTTCACCGTGTTGCCCAGGCTGGTCATGAACTCCTGAGCTCAGGCAATCCACCCGCCTCAGCCTCCCAAAGTGCTAGGATTACAGGTGTGAGCCACCAAGCCCGGCCACGAGTTTCTTCATTTAAAATGCTTAGCACAGCCAGGCGCAGTGGCTCATGCCTGTAATCCCAATACTTTGGGAGGCCAAGGCAGGTGGATCACGAAGTCAGGAGGTGGAGACCATCCTGGCCAACATGGTGAAACCCCATCTCTACTAAAAATACAAAATTAGCCAGGCGTGGTGGTGCATGCCTGTAGTCCCAGCTACACAGGAGGCTGAGGCCAGAGAATTGCTTGAACCTGGGAGGCAGAGGCTGCAGTGAGCTGAGATCACACTACTGCACTCCAGCTTGGGCAACAGGCAGGACTCTGTCTCAAAAAAAAAAAAAAAAAAAAAGTGCTTAGCACAATTCTTGGTACTTGGTAAACATTCAATAAATGCTCGCTCTACTTACATTATAACCATCAAAATACAGGTATGCCACTGGGAGAGCCACGTAAATAAATGTGTGTGTGTATGCTTGAAATCCCCCGAGCAGGAATTTAGTCCTGTGGGTTAAGGCTTTATATTTCAAAGTGTATGCTTTTATATATTCCAGGTACAAGGGCCCATAGGGAGATTACTTTCATAGCTGTTCTTTGCTATGGACACCTCATAATCTATCCACATCCCCTGGTAATCAATGTTCATTTCTCATAGCAGAGCCTGGCAAGGGAAATCTTAGGAGGTGTTCATTTTACGTGATTGGAAGAGAGATTTTGAACATGAGTTGTTGTCTAGGTAAACAAATTTGAGTAGGACCCAAGAATCTCATCATGAGAACATGGTATGTATTTGTCTTGCTCACAACTTTATTCCCAACATCTAGCACAAGGTCTAGCACACAGCAGAAGCTTAGAAAATATTTGTTGAGTGAGTGAATTTCTATGACAGAAAGAAATTCAGGGGAGTCTTTCTTTTCCTTGGCCATCCAGAAATAGATGTCTGAGTTATTGAAGTGCCCCGTCCTCAAATTATCCCTGCCAAACTTGGCAACCATTTCACCTACTGAAAAGAAACTCCATCAAAAATCTAAGATAAAAAGAAATGATAAAATAACAAAACAAACTTTTGACCCACTTTGTTGTGCATTGGAAGGCACGCTTTGGCAGACAAAAAGGCTCAATGCTGTGTAATTGTCGTCAGTGTTTCACTTAATATTTTAATGAGCTGAGCAACTGACATTTTGACTGAACACATGCCTTTGGTGGCTCTTGTTGCTAAGCAAAAGAGTGTATAAAAAGCTTGTTGTCCTTTTTTTTAAAAAAAAAATAATTTCTTAAAACGCAAATACATCCCAACTGCCACTTGGATTTCTACAGAGACAATTCCTGTCATCCTTCCTCCTTCCTGCCCAAGCCAGCTCTTCTCATCATTTCCTCTGCTCCCGCAGAGTTGCTGAGTTGGGTTCCACGCTCCTCTGCTAGTTCCTGGATTCACAGCAGATCCTTCTGAGCCAGGACATGTCTGCCAGGACAGGCAGTGCCATTTTTAGCTATTTCTCTCCTCTCTTCTCCTCAACCTTCCACAGAACAACATTTGTACATTTATTTTAATATTCCTTCTTCTTTCAATTCAGCTGGCTGTCTTAACGTTTTCTCTACATCTGACACTTCTACCCATTTGCTCCATGATTTTCCCTTTTTTCTCCTCTCTTTTTTCTCCTTTCATTTTCCTCTCTCTGGTAGGGGTGGTTGGTTGGAATTCCCACGATGATCAAAAGGCGATTTTTGAGAAACAGGGGAAATGGGTGATGTGCAAAATCGGGAGGGAATCACAGCAAATGGAATACTCTTTAAGCAATTAGATATTTGTATTCTTTCTTTGCCAGCCCTTGAAAATAAGCATTGTAATTATCCCGTCATACAGATGGAATAACTAAGAACTAAGAGGTTAAACAACCATCCAGCTGGGCACTGTGGCTCACGCCTATAATCCCAGCACTTTGGGAGGCCGAGGTGGGCGGATGATGAGGTCAGGAGATTGAGACCATCCTGGCCAACATTGTGAAACCCCGTCTCTACTAAAAATACAAAAATTAGCTGGGCACGGTGGCACACGCCTGTAGTCCCAGCTACTAGGGAGGCTGAGGCAGGAGAATCACTTGAACCCGGGAGGCAGAGGTTGCAGTGAGCCGAGATCACGCCACTGCACTGCAGGCTGGGCGACAGAGCTAGACTCCATCTCAAAAAAAAAAAAACAAACCGTTCAAGGTCTGACAGAGAGTAAATGGCAGGACCAAGATTTAGACTCAGGCAGTGTGACTCCAGATCCCACTCTTACCACTGTCTTCCACTATCTTGTGTGAGCTGAGATGTGAATAGGGATGAATATAAGTGACAGTAAACACATAGAGGAGAGGGCAAGTTTGGGGAACCGTAACATCCACAGAGAAGTAACCAGGAAACAAAAATCTAGCAAACTTAAGAGGCTCATTTGTGACATCGTTTGGGAGTAGAAAAACATGTAAGGTTCATATTTGGGAGATTTGGGTTGAAATGACACTTTCATTCCTTGTTAGCGTGTTATTTAACCTCTCTAAGCCTCTATTTCCTCATCTCTAAACGGAGATAGCACACATTTCACAGTTTAATGGCAAGGATTTTTAAAAGATAACATGTGAAAAGGCTTTGTAAACTGTGGAGTTCTATGCAAATATCTTTCTTCCTCTTGGCTTCTTCCCGTCTGTAACAGAAAGTAGATTTCAGAATAGGGACTCAAGAAGCAAATGCAGAATAAAGGACGCTCCAGGAAGCTGGGGCAATTCTTGCAGGCAGTCTGTAGTCTAGGAGTT
Organism: Homo sapiens; assembly: GCF_000001405.40. Lineage (NCBI taxonomy): Eukaryota > Metazoa > Chordata > Mammalia > Primates > Hominidae > Homo > Homo sapiens. The sequence continues at coordinate 35,067,678 of NC_000015.10, read as the reverse complement.
ACTCTTCTCTAGCCTGAACTCTGGGAGATTTATGAGACCCATCCTATCTCAGCAGCACAGAGAAAAAACAGTTTTGCCAAAGGCATTAAACATTTTCCTACTGGAGGAAAGTTGCACTTTTAACCTCCAGCATTTTTTGAATTGTATGAAATACAATGAGAACAGAAATGGCCAAAACAAAGGAATACCAAACACTACACTTAAAAAACTGAACTTTTAGAAAATATGGAAAAACTCCGGAGTTTGTATATCAGCTCTCATCAAATGAGATGGGGAAAGATGCAAGGTGGCCATGGGACATGGTCTGGAATAACAGCAGAGGCTGATCAGTAGATGAGCAAGTGGTCCTTGACAGGTGAAGATCTCAAGCCCAACACAAGAGCCACCTCCCCCAGCCACCAGTGGGTTTTAATACAGGGAACAATTTGGAGCCATTGGCAAGTCAGACAATACTAGCTGGCAGAAAATTCAATCTATCGCATTTTGAGGACTTCTCCCCGTTCCTAAAGCTCTGGTCTAAGTGCTAAAGACATAGCAATAAGGACAGGAAGCTCACTACCCTCAAGGAGCTTACATTCTAGGACCCAGCTGGGTGGGGGTAAGAAGTCTAAATGAAGCAGATAATGTCAGAGAAAGTGCTAAGGAACACATAGGAGATGCTCAGTAATATTTCTTAAATGGATGGATGGATAAGTGAGGCTTAGGATTCTCTAAAGACCATCTTTGTACAATGAGGCATTCAAGCCACCTGTCTTAATTGAGAATGCCATTTAATACATTCATTCAAATTCATTTAATCATTCAGACAACCGTTCTTTTTTTTTTTTTTTTTTTTTTTTTTGAGACGGAGTCTAGCTCTGTTGCCCAGGCTGGAGTGCAGTGGCAAAATCTCAGCTCACTGCAACCTCCACCTCCTGGGTTCAAGCGATTCTCCTGCCTCAGCCTCCCAAGTAGCTGGGACTACAGGCACCCACCACCACGCCCAGCTAATTTTTGTATTTTTAGTAGAGACGGGGTTTCACTGTGTTGGCCAGGCTGGTCTCGAACTCCTGACCTCATGATCTGCCCACCTCGGCCTCCCAAAGTGCTGGGATTATAAGCGTGAGCCACCGCGCCCAGCCCAGACAACAGTTCTTAAGTATCTATTACATGCAGGCACTATGCTAGGTCCTAGGGATATGAAGAGAAAATACACTCCAGAGACCCAATAACCCTTTCATTAAAAATCAGCTTCTACCGACTCTATTTGTTCTATCTTCTGCCAATTTTGCCCACTTTCAGATTCAGCCTGAATGTATCTCCTGCCGGGAGAGCCATAAAAGGCTCTGTGCCAAAAGGCTTGCAGAGCCTGGATGGCCCAGAATTCCAATCTAGGCTCAGTAATATGTGACATTTTCACAAGGCAGGTGGCTCCATGCTGGAGTTTCCCATCACCCTAGAATCTCACGCTGAACTAGTAATGAACAGGAGTTCATCATAAGGTAGTGTAGTGACCGATTCTCTCCCAGTCATGAGCACACTTAACCATACTGTTTCATCTGTGGCTGGGTGACCCAACAACAGAATATTCTAGAAGTCTAAGTCTGACCTCTGTAAAGAGGAGTAGGAAATTGTCATAGAGGAAGAGTCCTACTTGCTGCAATTTCCACAGGGTAGGAAAAAATCCTGTCACTGCCATATAGGGCCCCTTACCACTGGCTGTCTCTGGACTTGCAACCATGCATAGATACACACACATAATTAGAATAGCCTTAGCCATCTTATTATCAATATTAAAAAAAATTGGCCAGTACTTTTATTTTATTTATTTATTTATTTTTTCCTGAGAGAGAGTCTCACTCTGTCACCCAGGCTGGAGTGCAGTGGTGCAATCTCAGCTCACTGCAACCTCTGCCTCCCGGGTTCAAGCGATTCTCCTGCCTTAGCCTCCTGAGTAGCTGGGATTACAGGCGTGCACCACCACGCCTGGCTAATTTTTGTATTTTTTTAGTAGAGATGGAGTTTCACAATGTTGGTCAGGCTGATCTCCAACTCCTGACTTCATGATGCGCCCACCTCGGCCTCCCAAAGTGTTGGGATTACAGGCGTGAGCCACCGAAAAATTGGCCAGTTCTGTAGTGTCTTTTCCTTTCCGAATTTCATGATACTGTTGAGAAAAGCCTGATCTTTCTTGCCAAGATACAGCACTGTCTTCCCAGTGCCTGTTAATCCTCTTTTATTTTATTTTATTATTTAAGTGAAGAAAGCTTACTGAGCTGAAAAAAACATTTAGATTGTGACTTCAAAATTGTGACCAGAGAAGGCTGAATTTGCGAGTTGTTTAAAGAAATGAAAAGCAGCCCAGATGAAAAGCTGGAAAGGCTCAGGAAGAAACACAGGTGATGGGAAAGGAAAATAATCTACCCCCAGGCTGAGTAGGGAGCAAACCGAAAAAGACAATACGGAATAAGACCACATTATGTCTAACTGAAAATTGTTGTCAATCTTTCCTCTCCAAAAAAAAAAAAAAAGATGTTCTAATATGTAAGAATAAATGCATGTGTCAAATGGGGTTGTTTGCAAACACTCAATTATTATTGCACAGCAGGAGCACACGGCTCTCTTACTCTCTCTTTTGAGCTGGGTGACAACGACAGGAAGAAGACATCTAAAACATGTTTACATTTTAGCAGAGAGGCCTTCTGGAGGAAAGTCAATCCATAAATCTAAGACATAAATAAACAAGCCACCATCTTAGGCAATGTTCTTGAAAAAAGGACAGGAGACAAATCCGCCTTAAGTTGATAGGTTGACGTTGGAAAAGCGGACCTGGATTCTGTTTGCTTCAATAGAGGACCATAATTGCTGTTCTCTGTAACCTCAGGTCCTCCCCTCCTGGCACACACACCCATGGACCCTTCCCAGAGATCAACATGACTACCTCTGCAGCATGTTGAGTTATGTCGTTGGCCTCTTTGGCTCAGCATTAGTTGTGGAGCCTAGGAATTCGTACGTTGGATTTTCTGGATATGCCTTGGTTTGATTTGTTACTATTCCTTTGCTTTAAGTGGTAGAATCTGTTTTTCTTTTTTTTTTAATTTACATATATCATAATAAGCCATAAGTAAGAGCAGTAATGTGACTAATACAAATTTTACATTCTATAATATTATTAGTATGAACTTTGGTAACCCTATGGGGTGATTTTAATTTTGTTTTGACTGTTAAGAGAACTGATTATGACTTAAACTCTTCTTCAAGATAAAAAATTCTATTATGAACCCTAGATTCAGTACTTCAAACAGGAAAACCTTAGCTTTATTTTGGATACTCAGTGAAGTGATATATTCCTGGACAAATGAGGGGAGAGAAGAGGGCGGCAGGGAGGGGGAAGGGTCTTGAACGCAACTATTCCTCTAGATCAGCATCTCTATATCAGTTCTTAAGTAACAGACCAAACTCAGTCGTAAATGGTTTGTTCTGAAAAATGCAACTGAGTATTTTCTTAAGGAATGAAGCCTGGGAACAATCAAATAGACCAGAAGGGTGAGAACTATTTTCTCTTCAGTGGTTAATTCAGTGCCTGGCATAGAAAAAGTATTGTATAAATTATATATATATATTTAATTTAACTTAATTTTATTTTTTGAGACAGAGTCTCGCTCTGTCGCCCAGGCTGGAGTGCAGTGCGGCGATCTTGGCTCACTGCAACCTCTGCCTCCCAGGTTCAGCAATTCTCCTGCCTCAGCCTCCTGAGTAGCTGGGATTACAGGCATGAGCCACCGCGCCCGGCCTAAATAATATTTTTAATGAATGGATGTGCCATTATCCTCCATTAGTATATTTATCAAGCATCTAACAAAACACCAAAAATTGATTGAGATCAATCACCACTGTATTTAAAGTTTTCAACTTGCCCTACTAACAATACTTTGTCAGCATTCCAGGTGGATGGCAGAATGAACTGACTTACCCTTCATGGCCTGGCCTCTTTATCTTTAAAAGCTGAAAGATGGCCAGGTGCGGTGGCTCACGCCTGTAATCCCAGAACTTTGGGAGACTGAGGCGGGTGGATCACGAGGTCAGGAGTTCCAGACCAGCCTGACCAACCTGGTGAAAGCTCATCTCTACTAAATACAAAAAATTAGCCAGGCGTGGTGGTGCATGCCTGTAATCCCAACCACTTGGGAGGCTGAGGCAGGAGAATTGCTTGAACCCAGGAGGTGGAGATTGCAGTGAGCCTAGATTGCGCCATTGCACTCCGGCCTGGACAACAAGAGAGAAACTCCATCTCAAAAAAAAAATTAATTAAAAAAAAAAAGCTGAAGGATCAGTGGGGCACGGTGGCTCACGTCTGTAATCCTAGCACTTTGGGAGGCTAAGGCGGGTGGATCACCTGAGGTCAGGAGTTCGAGACCAACCTGACCAACATGGTGAAACCCTGTCTCTAATAAAAATACAAAAAATTAGCCAGGCTGCGGTCCCAGCTACTCGGGAGGCTGAGGCAGGAGAATCACTTGAACCCAGCAGACAGAGGTCGCGGTGGGCAGAGATCACGCCATTGCACTCCAGCCTGGGCAACGAGAGAGAAACTCCGTCACACACATACACACACACAAAAAAAAGCTGAAGGATCCCTCACCTATAAGACCAATGGGAGTAGAGGAGGGCTGTCTTATACTAGTCTAGGAATCCTTTTTTCTTCCATTGCTTGTCACTACATCTCCACTTTCTGCAGAAGGGCAGTGACATATCTCAAGTCCAGAGAAACAAAGGTCTGGGAAATTTACAAACCACGCATTCATCCCTTGAATCATATAATGTCTAAGACAAAGTATGAGTCAAAGAGAAAGGGTAATCTTCTGTTGATGTTGGCTTTGCTGTGTTTTATTTTATTTCATTTTATTTAGAATGCCTTGTTTAGAATGTGAGTGCTATACTTGTATGCCACCAAGAAAAAACCTTCTGTACCTCAAAAGATTTTTTTATTTGATAGAAGCAATAAAACATACAAGACTGCTAATACATTCACTTGTGAGCTTCTGAAACTTCTCTGCCCTTTGCTTCTTTGCAGCTGTAAAATATGTTTTGCCCCAGTACCACCAAGACCATGAGCACACTCTGCCCTCCACAGCCACTTTGAGGCCAAACATGATACTTCACTCCATTTAAAAAAAAAAAAAAAAAGAAAGAAAGAAATCAAATTTCCAAAGTGTTAATGATTAGTCTAGATTTCTGAGGCATATTCTAGAAAGACAGATGTTATATGGCACAGCAGTTTCACTAGAAAACACCAACCACCAAGTCCTCCTCTCTGCTTACCACTGGTTCTCAAAAATACCCAGGTGGGGCCCATCCAGACTAATAGAATCTGAATTGCTGAAAGTGAAACTCAGGTTTCCTAGTTTTAAAAACTCCCCAGGAGATTCTAATGGGAAATTAAGGTTGAAAACCCCTCTAGCCTTTCTCCTCCCCCATATCTCTTTTCTAATGCAAAACAATTTAGTTCTCTCCTTGCTCCAAAATTATATCCTCCTTCCCTTTACCTCACTCAGCAAAACAAGGTTTCTCATTAAGGCACATCCTCCTTAGAAGGTTATAGGTAAGTAGAAAAGTTTCGCCATCAAAATAATTTTCTTCTGGTGATGTGTGGAATTAGTATCTTTTAGAATAACCCATGTATATGTCTCCTTTTATCAGAGCCAGGAGGCCGAATATGCACATACTGCAAGGAACTTCGTATGGCATTTAACAAATAAGGTAACTGCCCAACAGGTTCACCTTGCCCGCTGCTGAGACAGAGCCAATTTATCAAGACAGGGGAATTGCAATAAAGAAAGAGTTTAATTCACGCAGAGCCGGCTGTATGGGAGACTGGAATTTTATTAGTACTCAAATCAGTCTCCCTGAAAACTCGGGAATCAGGGTTTTTAAGGATAATTTGGTGGGTAGGGGGTTGGAGAGTGGGGAGCTGCTGATTGGTCAGGTCAGAGATGAAATCACAGCGAGTTGAAACTGTCCTCCTGCGCTGAGTCAGTTCCTGGGTGGGGGCCACAAGACAGGATGAGCCAGTTTATCCGTCTGGGTGGTGCCAGCTGATCCGTCAAGTGTAGGGTCTGCAAAGTATGTTAAGCACTGATCTTAGGTTTTACAATAGTGATGTTATCCCCAGGAACAATTTGAGGAGGTTCAGAATCTCCAGCTGCGTGACTCCTAAACCATAATTTCTAATCCTGTAGCTAATTTGCTAGTTCTAAAAAAGCAGTCTCGTCCCCAGGCAGGAAGGGGGTTTGTTTTGCGAAAGGTCTGTTATTGTCTTTGTTTGAAAGCTAAACTGTAAACTAAATTTCTTCCAAAGTTAGTTGGGCCCACGCCCAGGAATGAACAAAGACAGCTTGGAGGTTAGAAGCAAGATGGAGTCAGTTAGATCAGTCATAATTTTCTCATTTATAATTTTTGCAAAGGCGGTTTCAGTAACATCCTTGGACTGGGACTTGAAAGACACACTCGGCCGGGTGCGGTGGCTCATGCCTGTAATCGCAGCGCTTTGGGAGGCCAAGGTGGGCAGATCATGAGGTCAAGAGTTCGAGGCCAGCCTGGCCAACATGGTGAAACCCCGTCTCTACTAAGAATACAAAAATTAGCCAGGCGTGGTGACATGTGCCTGTAGTCTCAGCTACTCGGGAGGCTGAGGCAGGAGAATCGCTTGAACCCGGGGGCAGAGGTTGCAGTGAGTCGAGATCATGCCACTGCACTCCAACCTGGGTGACAGAACAAGACTCCGTCTGGAGAAAAAAAAAAAAAAAACAGAAAGACACACTCATTGATTTTCAGGCAGAAGCATTGGCACTGGAATCATTCTGGTAGGTGGCTACATGTCCTCTTTGCAAATATTCAAGAAATGAGATTCCACATTCTTTCAGCAAACTCTGACAATGTTAAACAAAAATAACCACAAAAGTGGTCATTAGCTGAGCTGAGAGGACGCTTCTAGCCATCAGATTCCTTCTTTTTGTATTCTCCTTCTTTTTGTTACCTTTTTCCTGAATTAATCACTGCATTTCTATGCTTAGATAAGGGCAATGAGGTGTAGTAGAAAGGACAAGGTGTCTGGGGAAGGTCAAAGTCATTTTAAGATTTCAAGGAACAGAATCTACTCAAGCCAGATCAGTGTTCTCAGCTGTGGTCTGAGTTCCTGGTGATTTCCATCCGGTGGGCCTGGGAGAGGGTCCAGGCATCATCTGTAGCTTTTTTTTTTTTTTAATTTTTTAATTTTTTTGAGACAGGGTGTCCCTCTGTGCCCCAGGCAGGAGTGCAGTGGTGTGATCTTGGCTCACTGCAGCATCCACCTCCCTGGCTCAAGCAATCCTCCCGCTTCAGCCTCCCAAGTAACTGGATGTACAAGGATACACCACCACACCCAGCTAATTTTTGTATTTTTTGTAGAGACAGGGTTTGGCCATGTTGCCTAGGCTGGTCTCTGACTCCTGAGCTCAAGCAATCTGCCTGCCTTGGCCTCCCAGAGTGCTGGGATTATAGGCGTGAGCCACTGCACCTGGCCTATCTGTAGCTTTAAATGTTGCACACACACCTGTCCCTCAGTGGCTCCTGGTCTCTCCTTCTCTCTGCCTGTGCTTCATTCCTGCCATAGAGAGCTGATTCCTTGGCTACTATACCATCATGCCTGTGGCTCTGGTTTGTCAGGGCACCAATTCTGGGCCCCAGTCTGCAGAACATTTCAGAACTGCCTCTCAGTTCAAATTTCAGAGCAAATATGCCTGCTCACAGCACAGCAAATACATTGCTTCTTCTCTGATCTTTGTTCAAATATTGGCCCACCCCCATTTAGAATACATGACTTTGACCATGATACTTGAACTCTGAGTTCTTGTGTAAAACAGAAATACAAGCCGGGCGCGGTGGCTCACGCCTGTAATCCCAGCACTTTGGGAGGCCAAGGCGGGCGGATCATGAGGTCAGGAGATTGAGACCATCCTGGCTAACAAGGTGAAACTACTAAAATACAAAAAATACCATCTCTACTAAAAATACAAAAAATTAGCCAGGCGTGGTGGCGGGCGCCTGTAGTCCCAGCTACTCGGGAGGCTAAGGCAGGAGAATGGCGTGAACCTGGGAGGCGGAGCTTGCAGTGAGCCAAGATCATGCCACCGCACTCCAGCCTGGGGGACAGAGTGAGACTCCGTCTCAAAAAACAAACAAACAAAAACAAACAGAAATACAAATTTCCACTTCACTGGGCTACTGAAGGATTAAATGCAAATATATATATATATATAAAATAACTATCACAATGCCTGGCACCTACCAGTCAGTTTCTATAGCCTTTCAAACAAAGTGGCAAGGCTAAGAGCCCTATGTGCTGTTCGTCTCTTGCACTGACAACCCCACCTCTGAAAAGTCTGCACAGACAGCCTCAGTGCAGTCAAATAAGGCTTGTTGCTTTTCCTTTTCCTCATATTTGCCAAGAGCCATTTTCATAACTCTTTAGTACAGAAATAAGAAGGAAAACTGCTGAAACTCGAAGTGGTTTGACTTACTTTTGTTAGTCTCTAGTTGAGAAGAGAATAAGACTAAAGACCAAAATGAAATTTTTGCTTTGGGCGTGTGGGCTTAATTCATCTGTGCTATCACTCTCGTGGCCCTGAGAAATAGGGGCTGCTCTAAGTAGGCACATGGTAACCACCTACTGATCTGTTTTTGTTAAAGTGTGTTCTGTATTTTCATTTGTACTTGTTTTAAATTTTGTGAGTCTTCTGGGAGTAGACAAAGATTAAACATGGGTAGCAGGTTTTCTTTCTTTCCCTTCTGTCTTCTGACGTGTTTCCTATTTCTTTGTTGGGTAGAATTAGCGTGTTTCCTTTGTTTTTAATAGTTCCTTAAACTTTCAGTCCTACTCAGCCCTATTTTAAGCTACTTTGTCTTTTTGTTTTTCGCTTTTGGTCAGTGGAGGGACTCTATAGTTTGTCAGGATGTGCCTCTGTACGATGAAAACTAGAGAGAAAATTCTGACAAGTAGAGTTTTTTCTTTGATTAGCTTTCTCATGTGGAGTCAAGTCCTCTGCTTGCCTCACCAGGACAGGTGGTGAAGAAGCTTTTCAGATCTTTTTTTCTTCTAGGAAAGCTTGCACATCTGGAGCACAGCCCTCCTTTCTTATTTTTTGCTATGTTGTTCAAAGCTTTTTAAGAAAAAAAAACATAAACAGCAAAGAAAAAAATTGGTTTTTCATACCAAGTTGGCTTTTATTGGATGCCCTCAACTGCAGAGACATATTTAAAGGGCAGCTGGCCACCTTCTTTTGAGGTCAGACAGCTGACTCTTAATCATATTGACAATTTCTGGCTGGGAAGAAACATCTAAAAAACGTATTATGAAACATAAAAGTGGAGGCAGCTCTTTACCTTGCCACTTCCCCCTCCAGTCTCTACAGGAGTTCCTCCAAACAAAGCTCACGTTCCAAGAGTGGCAGGCCCACTTCTTCTATCTCATTCTCCTTCGCAGCCTTTGAACGACCTCTCTCATCCTCCCATCTCTCACAGCCTCACCTCTCTAGGTATTTGGAACCTTACGCTTTGCAGATGAGGAAAATTTAATGCCTCAATGATAACTTCAAATGGCATTTTAGCCCCTACAGAAATGAATAAATCATCAGATTCACTTTTCATTTGGGAACTGAAAGGGATTATAGCCCACAAGAACTTCAGGATCCTCATTTGGAACCCTGCTTTAGGAAGGCTTTTTTTCTTTTTTTTTTTTTTTTTTTTTGAGACGGAGTTTCTCTCTTGTTGCCCAGGCTGGAGTGCAATGGCACGATCTCGGCTCACTGCAACCTCTGCCTCCCAAGTTCAAGCAATTCTCCTGCCTCAGCCTCCCGAGTAGCTGGGATTACAGGCACCTACCACCATGCCCAGCTAATTTTTGTATTTTTAGTAAAGATGGGGTTTCACCATGCTGGCCAGGCTGGTCTTGAACTCCTTACCTCAGGTGATCTGCCCACCTCGGCCTCCCAAAGTGCTGGGATTACAGACGTGAGCCACCACACCTAGTCAGGAAGGCGTTTTATACAGACATGCCCTGCCCTTGCCCGTGACCTGCCCTTGCCCATGACCTTGAGGACATAGGGCTCTATTTCCACTAGTCAGAAGCCCCTAAGGCGAAGGCTTTCTGAGACAAGAAAAAGTAATTTATGGAACCAGTAATATTTAAGTGATAATAATAGGGGCTTGATTGAACATTTACTCTGTACCAGGTGCTGTATTACATGCTTTTATAAGCATTACCTCATTTAATCATCTCACCGATCTTATGATTTTTTCCCCTTGTGATTTCTTCATTGGCAGAGAAGAAAACAAATAAATGCAGTATATCGGAAACAAGTATGTATATGCATGATTTGTAGTGGCCAAACATTGGTAACAACCTGTTAACAGAGGAATACTTAAATACATTTTTTAGTAAAAAAAGCAATTTACAAGGCTGGGCGCAGTAGCTCATGCCTGTAATCCCAGCACTTTGGGAGGCCGAGGCAGGTGGATCACTTGAGGTCAGGAGTTGGAGACCAGACTGGCCAACATGGTGAAACCCCATCTCCACTAAAAAATACAAAAAAATTAGCCAGGTGAAGTGGCATGCGCCTGTAATCTCAGCTACTCAGGAGGCTGAGGCAGGAGAATCGCTTGAACCTAGGAGACAGAGGTTGCAGTGAGCCCTGACTGATTTCAGGTGTCTCTGCCCCAACAGACTCCCTGAGGTTAATAGCCTCCACTCGTGTCTCCAAGGGAAAGAGATCGTCCTCCGCCAAGGATAATAGAACACACAGACACTGTCTCAGTCTCATCCTTGATAAACTGCTGCATGATCACTGCTGTCTGCCGAAGACCAGCAGCAGGGCAGAACAAAACAGATGTACGGGAACTCCATGCAGAGAAGCAGACTTGATCACCATCTACTCAGGGATGCTCAAGGAGACTGGGCAGTCTAAGCTCCAGTGGACTGAAGAAAAGACAAAAAGAGGCAGAGGAAATCCAAAAAGTAGAATGTCAGACTATATTCCACTCAAATTGTCTCAGTCATTTGTTAGGAAGAAAGTACAGAGCCCTGACCCCAAAATAAAGCAAATCCTCATTTTGTCCTCTTCAAAATGAAATGGACTGCTGGCTGGGTGCGGTGGCTCATGCTTGTAATCCCAGCACTTTGGGAGGACGAGGTGGCCAGATCACTTGAGGTCAGAAGTTCGAGACCAGCCTGGCCAACATGGTGAAACCCTGTCTCTACTAAGATTACAAAAGTGCCGGGCACAGTGGCTCATGCCTGTAATCCCAGCACTTTGGGAGGCCGAGGCGGGCTGATCGCCTGAGGTCAGGAGTTCAAGACCAGCCTGGCCAACATGGCGAAACCCCATCTCTACTAAAAATACAAAAATTAGCTGGGCATGGTGGCGGGTGCCTGTAGTCCCAGCTACTCGGGAGGCTGAGATAGGAGAATGGCTTGAACCCAGGAAGCAGAGGTTGCAGTCAGCCAAGATAGCGCTACTGCACTCCAGCCTGGGTGACAAAAGCGAAACTCTCTTAAAGAAAAAACAAAAACAAAAAAGAAACAAACAAAACCCCACAATTTATTAAATTCATTTCCCTCACCTATTCAATGTCCATTTATTCTGCTTTCAGCTGTTGGGGTCAGTTGAAACAAATGCTCACTATTTTGTCCCAATGCAAGATTTGGTAGAAACCTTCCCTTACTCAGCTAATTCTTACCCAGATCAGTCATGCAAGTCAAATCATGTCTCCTGGAAAAAAACCAGCTTCCCATGGAAAATGCGCCACAGGACAGCTCCAAACAGGTGTTTGCCCTGGGCTACCATCCTGGCTGAGCCCTCAGGGGTATCAGAAAGACCCTGCAGACTTGGATGCTCCACCTGCAGAGTCCCCTGCGCTGGGGTTATATCCCCACTCTAAGGCCAAGAGTAGATGCAGTCTAAAGGGCCCAAACGAGGAAAATCTTTCCTCCTCCTGTGGTGGGGGATGGAGATGGCTACATGGATGGGCAGAGTGAATTGAGCTCTCTTCTCACGCACAGACTCTTTTATGACTAATCATTAACACCAATGGCTGAGCTGTTTTCTGTAACTTTAGCCATAACTGGATACAGAGGAAGATTCGCAAAGACATCTACAGGTCACAGTTGAAACTGGCATAAAAGAAAAAATGGTGTCTTCTTAATGTGCCAATGCTTTAATTTGGATTATCCCACCAAATACCTTAGTCAATTTATTGAAAGTTAATTGGGCCGGGCGCGGTGGCTAAGCCTGTAATCTCAGCACTTTGGGAGGCCGAGGCGGGCGGATCACAAGGTAAGGAGATCGAGACCATCCTGGCTAACACAGTGAAACCCCGTCTCTACTAAAAAATACAAAAAAAAAATTAGCTGGGCGTGGTGGCGGGCACCTGTAGTCCCAGCTACTCGGGAGGCTGAGGCAGGAGAATGGCGTGGACCCAGGAGGCGGAGCTTGCAGTGAGCCGAGATCGCGCCACTGTACTCCAGCTTGGGCAACAGAGCGTGACTCCATTTAAAAAAAAAAAAAAAAGAAAGTTAATTGGACTAAGTTAACTAAGAAGCAATTTGTCATTTGTTTATTGATGTACAAGTTATCTAGAGCGGGAAGAAAAGAAAAGTGACATTTGTTGAGCATTTACTGCGGGACAAGTCCTGAACTGGGCACTCTACACTCAGATAGTTTTATTATTTTTTTTTTTTGAGACAGGGTCTCTCTCTGTTGCCCAGGCTGGAGTGCAGTAGGGCAATCTGGGCTCACTGCAACCTCTGCCTCCCAAGTTCAAGAGATTATTGTGCCTCAGCCACCTGAGTAGCTGGGACTACAGGCCTGTACTGGCACACCAGGCTAATTTTTGTATTTTTAGCGGAGACAGGGTTTCGCCATGTTGCCCAGACTGGTCTCAAAACTCCTGGGCTCAAGTGATCCGCCCGCCTTGGTCTGCCAAAGTGCTGGGATTATAGGCGGGAGCCACTGTGCCCAGCCAAGAATACCTTTTAATTTCAGGACAGCCCTCTGAGATGAGCCTTGTTAAATCCATTTACAGACAACCATGACTCAGAGGTGTTAGGTAACTTGCCCAAGTTCCTACAGGGAAGAAATAGAGTAGAAGAGATGGGTTCAAGCCTAGGTCTATCTGAGGCGAGTGCCTACCCTCTTTCCCCTATACCAGAATAGCCAGGAGCTTTAAATATCTGAGCTAATTACACCCAGAGGTAAAATGTACACAATTATGTGCATATTATGTAGTTGCAATTTACTCTTATCAGATGGATAAAAATGAAAAATTGGTATTTTTACACAAATAGGACAAATATCCTTGTGGGCACCTAACCACTAAGTAAGTAGCAAGGAGAAAAATAACTAAAGGTCCAATCTGGTTTAAACCTTTGTCTAATGTTACCATTTAGGATCCCTTTGTTTAATGCTCCATTTCTCTAGATAAAAGTGTTTGGTGATTTATTGGTCTTCTACCGGCTCCTCTCTAAGATGGCATTAGACTACATGAATGCATGTAGAATTGGGTTGTTTGTCCAGAAACTTTGCAATTTCATGATGGATGGGGTCAGAGACCTCAAGCATGATGTCCTCTAGCCCCCTGATCTGCACGTTCTTGTCATTTGTCCACCCGGGTACTGCTGCCCTGCTAAGGTCTGCTGCTTCTGTTGTTTGTGCCTTGTCCTCTGATTTCTTTAGACTTGGCCAGAGCTGGGTGGTGCCTCCCGGCTACTTAGCAGCCTCACTTCCCTCTTGTTCAGGTTCTTGCTGGAGTCTCTGAGGAGGTCTTCCTACAAATCTCATTTGGGCTGCAGACCAGCACTGCCATCAGCTAAAGTACGATTTTTCTTCTTTGCTCATCCTGCCTCCCCTAGACACATACACTGACACCACAGACACACATGGGCACAGATCTCAGTTAGCCCTCGGGCAAGCTTTCCCATCAACACCCTCAGCATGGTCAGTGTTCCTCCTGGATACCTTCAGGGCATCGTGGAAGCTGGGCAAGACCCCTGGAGGCCCGAACTCTGCCTACCATGTTGTGCCACTCCTTCTCCAACATTAGCATAGAGTATCAATCAATTTTTTGGTCTTATGCACCCACTTTTAGGTTTAGTCAGCAACACAACTATGCCTAGAAAATGTGGGCCTCAATATTTTTACACAAGACAAAAATGAACATCAAGAAAAACCTTAGAAGGTAATTTGGGGAGTGAGAGTGAGAACAGCCTCAAATGTGCAATCTGTGGACTGAAAGATTACTGGAAGGGGAGAGAGACGGGCCTGCTGATCTCACCTTGACCATGGGGAGATTCGCAAAAGCGGCTGGAGGCAGGGCACGGACGTGCATTATTTCTACTTACGCATTAGAGCTGCTTTTCCTTCCTAATTAGGTTTTTGTCTTTTTTTTTTTTTTTTTTTTTTTTTGAGCCGGAATCTCGCTCTGTCGCCCAGGCTGGAGTGCAGTGGCGGGATCTCGGCTCACTGCAAGCTCCGCCTCCCGGGTTCACGCCATTCTCCTGCCTCAGCCTCCCGAGTAGCTGGGACTACAGGCGCCTGCCACTACGCCCGGCTAATTTTTTGTATTTTTAGTAGAGACGGGGTTTCACCGTTTTAGCCGGGATGGTCTCGATCTCCTGACCTCGTGATCCGCCCGCCTCGGCCTCCCAAAGTGCTGGGATTACAGGCGTGAGCCACCGCGCCCGGCCAGGTTTTTGTCTTTTACTTAGTGCCAGCTAACATAGCCACTTCCTTCTATGAGTCCTGCTATAGTCTGGTCACTGCAGGCCAACTGGGCCAACCTAGAAATGAGCCTTATTCCAGGGATGACCTGATCCTCCCACCAGTCTCCTCTACCTTCCTCACCAGCATCTCCTCACCTGCTCCATCCGCTCTCAGAGCCCCCAAAGAAGTCGCCAATGTACAGGGCAAGCACCCACACTTGCTACTCCCACCCTCACTCTCAAAGCTTCAACACTGGAGTTTGTATTTTCTGTTGGGCAGATCTGGAATAGAGTATTGATTGTCTCTGCCCTGTTTAAGCTGGCTACGAGGGTTGCCAGATGTCTAATTTCAAACATTTAAACCTTTTTCTGAGAAAGAAAAAAACACCAGATGTATAAATGTCCAGAATTAGAAAATATGTCTTTTCTCAAAATGTAACTTTAAATTTCTTTTTTTTTTTGAGACGGAGTCTCGCTCTGTCGCCCAGGCTGGAGTGCGGTGGCACGATCTCGGCTCACTGCAATCTCCGCTTCCCGGGTTCAAGAGATTCTCCTGCCTCAACCTCCTGAGTAGCTGGGATTACAGGCATGTGCCACCACACCCAGCTAATTTTTGTATTTTTAGTAGAAGCAGGGTTTCTCCATGTTGCGCAGGCTGGTCTTGAACTCCTGACCTTGTGATCCGCCTGCCTTGGCCTCCCAAAGTGCTGGGATTGCAGACGTGAGCCACCATGCCCAGCCACTTTAAATTCTTTTAAAGTAACCAAATATTCCCAAGTATTTCCAATCTTCTATGACTGCCCTTGTTTTAATACTCAAATAAAATGGCTGGGCCCAGTGGCTCATGCCTATAATCCCAGCACTTTGGGAGGCCAAGATGGGTGGATCACCTGAGGTCAGGAGTTCGAGACCAGCCTGGCCAACATGATGAAACCCTGTCTCTACTAAAAATACAAGAATTAGCTAGGTGTGGTATCACATGCCTGTAGTCCCAGCTACTCAGGAGGCTGAGGCTGAGGCAGGAGGTGGAGGTTGCAGTGAGTGGAGATCACGCCACTACACTCCAGCCTGGGCAAACTCTTGTCTCAGGAAAAAAAAAAAAAAAAAACTCAAATAAAATGACTCAGGCTATGGAAGAAAGGTCCAAAAATTTCCCTGAGGCTTCCCAGAGGCTCAACTTCCATACCCTCACTCAAACTGTCCATTTCCACTAAACTCTTGGTATCATTAGCTTACCATCTCTTTGCTTGAAGTGAGTACATCGCCCCTGCACTCAGCTTTGCTTCATTCACCCAAAGCACTACTCACCCAAGGTTTTACTAATTTGGGGCATTCATTCAGTCATTGAACAAATATTTATTGAGCAGCTAGTATAGACTAGGCCCTGTTTAGGCCTTCGGGATTCAGCAGCAAACAAAAGAGACAAAACTCTCTGCCTTCATTGAGCTTACATTCCAGGGGAAACTCTCGGCCAATAAATACAACAAATGACATGCTATATACTGTGTCTGGTAGTAATATGTACATAGAGAAAAACAAAGTAGACGGGATGCAGAGTGCTGGGAGGAGAGTGTGATTATTTTCGTTTTTTTTTCTTTTTTCTTTTGGGTTTTACTATCTACATAGGAGTTTAATTGTTTAAACAGAGGAGTCAAAAAGGCTTCACTGAGGAGACTTAACATTAGATAAAGTAGGCTGGGCACAGTGGCTCACGCCTGTAATCCCAGCACTTTGGGAGGCCGAGGCGGGCGGATCACGAGGTCAGGAGAGCAAGACCATCCTGGCCAACACGGTGAAACCCCGTCTCTATTAAAAATACAAAAAAAATTAGCCGGGCGTGGTGGCGGGCGCCTGTAGTCCCAGCTACTCGGGAGGCTGAGGCAGGAGAATGGCATGAACCTGGGGGGCGGAGCTTGCAGTGAGCGGAGATCGTACCACTGCACTCCAACCTGGGCGACAGAGCGAGAATCTGTCTCAAAAAAAAAAAAAAAGTTAGATAAAGTCATGAAGGCAGCACTGGAGACAGCCATACCTAGGTCTGGGGGAAGGACGACCCAGGTAGAGGGAGCAGCAGGTGCAGTCCCTAGGGACAACATCAGGAAGCCAGTGTGGCCACAGTGGGAACGAGCGAGGGCAGAGCCAAGATGTGATCATAGGGGTAACAGGCCAGGGGTAGGTGGGAAGTGGATTGCATGGGCCAGTAGGCCAGTGTGACCATTAGCTTTTACATGACTATTGCAGGCTCTGGAGTAGAGGGGTGATACAATCTAAGTTACATTTTAGAAGGATCATCTGGCTCCTACATTGAGAAGAGAATGAAACAGGCAAAGGTGGAAGCTGAAAGATGACTTTGGTAGCCATTACAGTAACCCAGGCTAGAGCTGGCTGCTGGAACCAGTGTTTAGGCGATGGCACTGGGAGGAGTGGTTGGGTTATGATACATATTGAAGGTCTGCCAACAGGACTTGCAGATGTGAAAGAATGAGAGGAAGCGAGGATGAAACTTAGGTTTTTAGACTAGGTTTCAGCCTAGGGATGGTGTTGTCATCTACTAAGATGGGAGAGAAAAGGAGTAATAACAACACAGATCAGGAAAGAACATTCAACACAGGTCAAGTTGAATGTCAGGCACAGCAGTTTCTCTGGGCTGTGTCCCTGCAGAGTCCTAACCTCTGGTCTTTTTTCTTTCTTTCTTTCTTTTTTTGAGACAGGGTCTTGCTCTGTTGCCCAGGCTGGAGTGCAGTGGCACAATCTCAGCTCACTACAACCTCCGCCTCCTGGGTTCAAGTGATGCTCCTGCCTCAGGACCCTGCAAAGCCCTACTAATTTTTGTATTTTTAGTAAAGACAGGGTTCCACCATGTTGGCCAGACTGGTCTCAAACTCCTGACCTCAGATGATCCGCCCACCTCGGGCTCCCAAAGTGCTGGGATTACAGGCGTGAGCCACTGCGCCCAGACCCCAACCTCTGGTCTTATTGCTGGCCTCCTGTCTCTCCACATTCTTTTTTCTCTGCCACCTCTTCCAGGCTTCTAACCACCTTCCTTGAGCTACTAAACTAGAAACTCCAAGATTTTTATTATTTATTATGTTCCAATGAATAATCTATGTGATGAAAAAAACTGAAGAAAGCAAGTTCTCAGACAAACTGATTACAAGAAATGTCAAGAGTCTCATTTCAAGTTTGCTGCCAGGACAGAGCCCTCTGAGCAAGTTATACACAAGTAATTCTCTCTTGAGAGAAACATCTATGAAGAAGAAGAAAAGGAAAAAAGAAGACAAGAGGAAAAATAGAATGCAAAAGAGAAAGAAAGAGGAGGTGTTACAAGAAAGAAGACAAGGAAGATGAATAAATAGAGGATGGATGAAGACTATGTCCAACCAACTTTCCAGAAGAGGTCCTCTTCACAGTGACATCTATCAAGCCTTTGATTAGGAATGCTAATTACTTCCCAGAAGAGGCCCAGTACCTTTTAAACTATGGAAGAACAGTTCTGCCCCTTGCCAGACTTGGGACCATATTCTTTCTCATTGTTTCCCTCCTCTCTATCCACAACAAATAAACCCTACCAAGTTTTATATTTTCCAAAGAGAGATGAGTACTACCCCTTCACTACAGTGCTTCAAAGTAATAGCCATTTCTTTGTGTCTAGCCAGGATTTTTTTTGCCCATAATGTTATGCTCTAAAGGAAAGGTTTCCCTTAAGTCATATTGTGGTCTGACTTCTGCACATGTGCTGTAATTGGTGTTTTTTGTTTACAGGGCTCCACTGGTGGTAGGCTCTAGAATAGGAGTTTGGCCAGGACAGTAACAAAAGCACCAACAGCTCAAAGGACCAATCTTGCCAACATCATTTTACTTAAACTCTCTATTAAAGAGAGTTTCTAACATATGCAAAAAATAGGCAGACTTGTACAAAAAACTTCCTAACACCCATCACTCAACTTCAACCGTTATCAATACAGCTAGTTGTATTTAGTCTGTATCCACACCCTCTTCTCTTTCTCTTGCATTATTTTGAAGCAAATTCTAGACTTCATATCATTTCATCTGCAGATTTTCACTGTGTTATCTCTAAAGAATAAGGTCGGCTGGGCATGGTGGCTCAAGCCTGTAATCCCAGCACTTCGGGAGGCCGAGGCGGGTGGATCACCAGGTCAGGAGATTGAGACCATCCTGACTAACATGGTGAAACCCCATCTCTACTAAAAATACAAAAAATTAGCCGGGCGTGGTGGCAGGCACCTGTAGTCCCAGCTGCTCGGGAGGCTGAGGCAGGAGAATGGCATGAACCCGGGAGGCAGAGCTTCCAGTGAGCCCAGATCACACCACTGCACTCCAGCCTGGGCAGCAGAGCGAGACTCCGTCTCAAAAAAAAAAAAAAAAGAATAAGGTGGATTTTTTAACATATAAACTCAATACCATTAAATCAACAATAATTCATTAATATTAAATATTCAGTAAGAGACTTCAAATTCTCAACTGCTTCAAGAATGGCATAATTTTATTTTATAATGTGTTTGTTTCACTAGGGATACAAATGAAGTCCACATGTAATTGATTGGTAAGTCTTTTATGTATTTTATATAGGTTCCCCCACCCCTTCCTTGCAATTTGTTTGTTGAGGAAACCAGGTTTTGGGTCCTGTAGAATTTCCCATAGTCTAGATACTCCTCACTGCCCATCTGTGATGTAATTTATCATGTATTTCCTATAAATCAGTAGACAAATCCAGACACTGCTGGCTTGTTTTAAAATCACATTTGCCACTTACTTTATTACTATTTCCATTATGTCATCTTACAATTTCTCAGAAGTGTTACATTTGTCTAAATATCAATGTCTCAAATCTTGCAACATTCTTTTAAGGTAAGAAACATTTCATAGGTTTATTCCAAAAGGGCTAGCCACCTTAAATCAAATATTAGAGAAAAAGTATTATTTTAGAACCAAAAATTCAATGATAGCTTTTTGGCACAAAAGTTTTATTCACATTGAGAACAAAGATTGTCCTAAACATTGTCTGGAGGCAGAACTTTTTTATGTGATATAATTCACAACCTCCTCTGGGAAGTAATTGGCATTGCTGTTAAAATGCTTGAGCACTTTTCTGATAGACCTGAATGAGATTAAGGACTTCTGGGAAGCCAGGGTTACCCACCCAGCTGACTGGCTAGCCTAATAATCTTTAACCAGACATTATTTTTTCTTGTATCCAGTTTAACAATGATTAACCATTCACTTTTCCTATACGATTCCTAAAGGGAATCTTAAATTGGCACATTTAAAGGTTTCATCCCTTGTGCCTAGCTAGAAATAAAGCTCTGACCCAGGTTTATAATCCATTTGTCTAAGAAGTTGTTTTAACAACACTTAGGAAGAAATACTGTATGTTTTTACTACTTCATGTGGCTAAAACTGATCATTGAAAGGTATTAAATATATGTGCAGGAGCCCTTAAATGTATGGAAAATTGGTTTATTTGAATTCTCTCAGCACTTTTATTTGACTAATGGAAATAAATTTTTCTTCTTTGGGTAATGTAATTCATACTTAGCCACTATCATGGAGTAAAAGATCTTCCTTCAGATTCTTTCTTTTTCTTATTCTTATTCTTTTTTTTTTTTTTTTTTTTTTTTTTTTTTTTTGAGATGGAGTTTTGTTCTTGTTGCCCAGGCTGGAGTGCAATGGCATGATCTCGGCTCACCACAACCTCTACCTCCCGGGTTCAAGTGATTCTCTTGCCTCAGCCTCCCGAACAACTGGGATTACAGGCATGCGTCACCACACCCGGCTAATTTTGTATTTTTAGTAGAAATGGAGTTTCTCCATGTTGGTCAGGCTGGTCTCAAACTCCCGAACTCAGGTGATCCCCCTGCCTCAGCCTCCCAAAGTGCTGGGATTACAGGTGTGAGCCATGGCGCCCAGCCCCTTCGGATTCTTTCTATAAGCAAATTGTGCCTTGGACATAGGCTTTGAATGCTTTGAGAGAACCTCTCTTCATAAGTGGAAATAAAATCATGATTTAATTGTATCAAACGCATTATGGATAATCTATGGGATTTAATGAATCAATAGGTGAGGCTGAGTTGGTAAGAAGTGAACGTTACTTCTGCATTTAAAAAAATACATTTAACTCAATAGGAAGTAACAGATGAGTAATTGGAAAACATTTTAAACTTGATCATAAAGAAATAAAAATTGGCCATGTGCAGTGGCTCATGTCTGTAATCCCAGCACTTTGGGAGGTAAGGCGGGCAGATCATTTGAGTTTAGAAGTTCAAGACCAGCCTGGGCAACATGGCGAAACCCAACCTATACAAAAAAATACCAAAAAATTCGCTGGGCATGGGGGCACGCATCTGTAGTCCTAGCTACCCAGGAGGATGAGATAGAAATGGATGGCTTGAGCCCAGGAGGCAGAGGTTGCAGTGAGCCGAGATCGCGCCACTGCACTCCAGCCTGGGTGACAGAGCAAGACCCTGTCTCAAAAAAAAAAAAAAAAAAAAAAAAAAAAAACAGTTTCCAGCCTTGACCACATAATTTTGAAGCCCCTCACTCTATCTCAAATGGTTAGCCAGCTAAAAATCTTCACACAGAATTTATGTTGATATGCAAAACAGCAGGCCCATTCTAGAAAGCCAGAGCCCAGGTAATTCATACTGGCTCATCTGTTTTCATCAGTCTATACCAAAAGAAAACAGGACTCTCAAATTAAGAAAATGGAATCTAGGGGTAACTGGGAATAATATGATCTCACAGCCTTTTTCAAAGGATTAAAAGTGATAGATATATAAAGCACAAAGCACAGTGTTCATTGTATACATAAGGTACTTATTTTAATATAGTGTTATTATTTAATATACTACTTATAGATAATATATAATATGTTATTTATATATTGTGATATGTTAATTTTTTTTTAGATGGAGTCTTGCTCTGTCTCCCAGGGTGGAGTGCAATGGTGCCATCTCGGCTCACTGCAACCTCCACCTCCCGGGTTCAAGTGATTCTCCTGCCTCAGCCTCCTGAGTAGCTGGGACTACAGGTGCGCGCCACCAAGTCTGGCTAATTTTTGTATTTTTAGTAGAGATAGGGTTTCACCATGTTGGCCAGGCTGGTCTTGAACTCCTCACCTCAAGTGATCTGCCTGCCTCGGCCTCCCAAAGTGTTGGGATTACAGGCGTGAGCCACCGCGCACAGCCAAGACGTATTAAATTAATAATATTTATAAGCTCCTTCTTTTTCCCAAAGTCAGAAGTTCCACACATGCTCAAGGTCAGGGGTTGTTAATGAAGAAAACCTAAGGTAACCGAAGTAATGATGTTTGTGTAGTGCTTAATAATCTACAAAAATTTGTGGGTTTTTTTTTTTTTTTTTTTTTTTTGAGATGGAGTCTCGCTCTGTCACCCAGGCTGGAGTGCAGTGGCACGAGCTCAGCTCACTGCAACCTCCGCCTCCTGGGTTCAAGCGATTCTCCTGCCTCAGCCTCCCCAGTACCTGGGATTACAGGCACACACCACCATGCCTGGTTAATTTTTGTATTTTTTTAGTAGAGACGGGGTTTCACCATGTTGGCCAGGCTAATCTTGAACTCCTGACCTTGTGATTTGCCCGCCTCTGCCTCCCAAAGTGCTGGGATTACAGGCGTCCACCACCACAACCGGCTAATTTTTTGTATTTTTAGTAGAGACAGAGTTTCACCATGTTGGCCCGGCTGGTCTTGAGCTCCTGACCTCACGTGATCCACCCACCTCAGCCTCCGAAAGTGCTGGGATTACAGGCGTGAGCCACCACGCCTGGCCCTACAAAAAGAGAACCGTGGAACCCAGCGACTAGTGTTCAGCTCAGTTAGGACGAACCCAGGCACTTAGCCATGCAGGAACAATGGCAAGACTTTAGCGCAATCAGAGCGGCAATGGGCGCATCGCTGGATCAGGAGCACAGTGGACACCCTGCTGGATCCGGAGGCCAAAGCTCAGCTCCAGCCGTAACAATCATGGACCAGAAGAGTGTGCAGTTGCAAGATTTAATAGAGTGAAAACAGAACTCCCATACAAAGGGAGGGGACCCAAAGAGGGTAGCCGTTGCTGGCTCCAATGCCTGGGTTTATATCCCGATCATTGTCCCTCCCCCTGTGCTCTCAGCCCATAGATGATTGGCTATTTCTTTATCTTCTGTTTTTGCATAATTAGCATTTTAATGAACTCTCTTTACTACCTGATTGGTAGTAAATTGGTAGTGTGAGCTAAGTTGCAAGCCCCGTGTTTATGTGGTCACCTTCCCAGCTAGGCTTAGGGATTCTTAGTCAGCCTGGGAAATCCAGCTAGTCCTATCTCTCAATAATACATTGTTCTGTCTGGAATTATTACATTTCCGCATAGTCTCTACTCCAGTCTCCCGAGGAAGGAACTATGCAATGTTTTCATCTGAACCACAAGGCCCGCCACAGTCCATGGCAAGTGTCTGGTGTTTTAATGAGGACTAAATAGATAATGCTGTAAAAACTCTCTAAAAATTATAAAATGTGGGCCAGGCGCCATGGCTCACGCCTCTAATCTCAGCACTTTGGGAGGCCAGGGTGGGCGGATCACAAGGTGAGGAGTTCAAGACCATCCTGGCCAACATGGTGAAACCCCATCTCTACTAGGTACAAAAATTAGCTGGGCATGGGGGCGCGCACCTGTAGTCCCAGCTACTCTGGAGGCTGAGGCAGGAGAATTGCTTGAACCCAGGAGGTGGAGGTTGCAGTGAGCCGAGATCATGCCACTGCACTCCAGCCTGGCGACAGAGCGAGACTCTGTCTCAAAAAAAAAAAAAAATTATAAAATGTGACACAAATACAGGCAGCTGTCATTGTTTATTCAATAAAGTTTAAAATGAAGAAATCTATTTAAAAATAAACACTTTAAAAGATAAAAGAGTGCTGACTCTTTAAAAAAAAAAAAAAAGTAACAGCACTGAGAAGAAGGTAAGTAGTATACTGACATGTGCAGGCAAAATGAATCACCAAAGTTCCCTGGAGACCTGATGGTCAGACTTTAAATGAACACTTTATTTGAATCTCTAACTCATTCACAGGGAAATTGGGAAATTTTCATTATTCTAATAATTGTGTTATGATTTTAAAAATCTAAAGAAATTGCCACATTCTAGCTTGCTTAATATTTCCACAGTGGAAATAAATGATAATACAGGTTTTACTGAGATTTTCCATTTGGTGAACACAGCAGGCAAGGAGGTGGCAGCTGAGCTCTGTCAATGAGAAATCAATTTGGGTTAGACTGATATGAAAATTAAACTACTGTACTGTATCAGAATATGGCAAAGCACTTTTAAATCTTAGCCTTCGTGATTTATTGAAAAGAAGGAAGTGACTTATTGGAAAGGAGGAAGTAAAGAAGAGAGTAGCAAAAGGAGTTAATGATGACGAAAGATGGAAGAAATGAGCATGAAAGCAGCCAATTCCTTCAGTTTTTGCACCTGTGTTTTATTACATTTAAAGGGAAAGCATCAAAGTTGAATTGATTTTATTTTTTCTCTTTTTTAGGCATAGGGAAAAAATTAAGGGATAAAAGAAAGAACTGTGATAAAGTAGAAATGAGAAGGAAGAGTTGTGAGTAACAATAAAATAGTTGGTATGAAAGAGCAAAGGAAAGACATGGAAACCCAAGAAAAAATAGGAGGAAGAGCGGGCAGCGTTGGTCCCTTTGTATAAAGTGTTTTTGTCACTCAAAATTATAAAACAAGTATCTTGATAATGGTTTAATATTTATTTTCTTCTGCTGCCGCAGCTTTAGGCTCATCACCCTACTTCTTATTCTAAAATGGTAAACATTGATGACAAGTAGCCCCTCTTTCTCACTCTACCCTTAAGTTTTTTTTGTTTTGTTTTGTTTTGTTTTGTTTGAGACTGAGTCTCGCTCTGTCGCCCAGGAGTGCAGTGGCACGATCTCGGCTCACTGCAAGCTCCGCCTCCCAGGTTCAAGCAATTCTTCTGCCTCAGCCTCCCAAGTAGCTGGGACTATAGGCGCCCACCACCACGCCTGGCTAAGTTTTTTTGTATTTTAGTAGAGACTGGGTTTCACCGTATTGCCCAGGCTGCTCGCGAACTCCTGAACTCAGGCAATCCGACCTCCTCGGCCACCCAGAGTGCTAGGATTACAGACATGAGCCACCACGCCCGGCCTATCCTTCAGTATTTTAACAGTTTTTCTTTAGGCCAGAATTTCAAGATCCATATATCTTGAAGTTTGGAGCAACTGCATTGAGATTATTTTTTCCAGAACAATAAAAACAAATTCTCAGTGGTTAGATAGATCATCAAAACATTAATAGTGGCCCAAACTGCTGGACTCCAAGCCATTCTAAAACTTTAGAAATGAAAACGAAATGGCTGTATTGGTTTTTGTTTGTTTGTTTGTTTTGAGACAGAGTTTCGCTCTTGTTGCCCAGGCTGGAGTGCAATGGCACAATCTCGGCTCACTGCAACCTCCGCCTCCCGGATTCAAGCGGTTCTCCTGCCTCAACCTCCCGAGTAGATGGGATTACAGGCATGCGCCACCATGCCCAGCTAATTTTGTATTTTTAGTAAAGATGGGGTTTCTCCATGTTGGTCAGGCTGGTCTCGAACTCCCGACTTCAGGTGACCCGCCTGCCTCGGCCTCCCAAAGTGGTGAGATTACAGGCATGAGCCACCCTACCCGACCAAAATGGCTGTATTGTAAACTTCATCTCTAAGATTGGTATAACTATATCTATAGGTTACAGAGTCTTTGTAAGAAGGAAATGAGTTCATGTATATAAAGCAACAAGAGTGAGGCACATAGCAAGAGCTCTATAGTTGGATTTTGAATGAAGATTCAGATTTAAATAAATATTTGTGCTTGAATTGTTTTAATAACTAAAGCATAAAAAACTTAAACATGCTATTTTTAATATCCTCTTTTTTTTTTCTTTTTTTGAGATGGAGTCTCACTCTGTCACCCAGGCTGGAATGCACCATCTCGACTCACAGCAACCTCAGCCTCCCAAGTTCAAGCGATTCTTCTGCCTCAGCCTCCCGAGTAGCTGGGACTACAGGAGTGGGTCACCACGCTGGGCTGATTTTTTTGTATTTTTAGTAGAGAGAGGGTTTCACCATGTTGGCTAGGCTGGTCTCGAACTCCTGACCTCAAGTGATCCTCCCATCTCGGCCTCCCAAAGTGCTGGGATTACAGGCCTGAGCCACCTAGCCTGGCCCTTATTCTTATTCTTTTTTTTTTTTTTTTTTTTTTTTGAAACAGAGTCTTGCTCTGTCGCCCAGGCTGGAGTGCAGTAGCACAATCTTGGCTCACTGCAACCTCTGCCTCCCTGGGTTCAAGCAATTCTCCTGCCTCAGCCTCCTGAGTAGCTGGGACTACAGGTGCGTGCCACCATGCCCGGCTAATTTTTGTATTTTTAGTAGAGACTGGGTTTCACCATATTGGCCTGGCTGGTCTCAAACTCCTGACCTTGTGATCCGCCCGCCTCGAATAAAAGCCGCTTCAATAGAGGTGCTCAAAGAAGGAATGACAGGAACTTCCCTTCTAATGAAAATCTAGCATAAGATGTCCTCCTTTTTCAAAGGAAAACTGGTCCTTGCACTCCTTTTCTGGCATTATGACCTTACAGTCTTTCCTGTCAGGAAAAGATTTCCAACCTGATACCTGGTACCATTCATATAAACAGTACAAGCCATGACAGCATCGCTCCAGCTTCCTCATCTCATTCAGCTTTTCCCTTTTCAGTTTTCCTACAAGGGGCTAGAATGGAGATAGCATAGGTAGATTCTTATACATCTAGCTGTCTTGCTAAAGTAGTGCTGTAAAAACAAATTCATGATGGCAATTTCCTCAAAGGAAAGGGTCAAAAGTGGGCCAAGTAATTTAATTTTGAAAGTGATTTTAGGACAGGAAATCAGGGATTGTTTGTGGGTAACTCAGGGAGGGCTGAGGATTGTGATGAAGGCACAGATCCTACACCACTTCAGACTTCGTGGGGTCGACCCCTACGAAGCAAAGCTTGTAAGCCCTTTGTAGAAGAGTATCTTACTTTCAGGCCTCTGACTGTCAGTCCTCTGCTCTGGTTAATATCATCAAGGGAATCCTTGCCTGACAGAATGTAATTTGGGATCTATTAAATATGATTACTTGCCCTTGAAAATGATGGATATTGGACAGAATTATAGAATCACTTCACAAAAGAAAAGTCTCTTTTACATCCTTTCTTGTGGAGCCTAAAATGAAGCCTGGGGAAATCCCTCAGAGGGTTGTGGCATTTATAGGTTAGGTTTATGAAAAAGGGAATTGATATTCATATTAAAAACTGTAAAAATTGAGCAAGGTGGAGATAGTGAGCATGCAGACAGCTGTGACGTGTGTCTGAAGGGTGAGTGGCATGTTGGCCAACCGATTTATTTGCTTTAATTATATTAGTAATGCGAAAGCTGACATGATTCGAAACAAGCTCTTTGGGTTTTTCATTCCAATACTAGCCCCAAGTGACTATTTTTTATGGTCCTCCCAATTTCCAATTACTTAAGTGTTCATAGCAGAAATGCTTCAGAGTTCATTGCTGGGTTTGCTTTGGAGGTGGCCTGTGCTTGAGTTTTTACTTAATTAAATTTTGGTCCTGATTATAAAAGTAATATACGGCCATTGAAAAAAATGCAAAACATAAAAAATTGCAAAGAAGAAATTAAAACTCACTAATAATTCTGCTACCCAGAGATTGCCACTAACATTTTCCTGTATACCTTCTAGCCTTTTCATATATATGTATATATACAATACGCACACATATATATACATACATACATACATACAGGTATAGTTCTTTTATTTTTATTATTTAATTGGGCATAATTATCAATTAAGTAATATCAAAAAAGTAATACCAAAACAGTAATATGTACTGTTTTGTAATTTTTTTAACCTTAATACTATAGCAGACCATATTCCCATATATTTAGGTATTATTCTATAATGAGATATTTAGTGGTTATATATTATTCATTGTGTGTATGTAACATCAATTTTTAAAATAATCTGCAGTTGTGGCCAGGCGCGGTGGCTCACGCCTGTAATCCCAGCACTTTGGGAGGCCTTGGCAGGTGGATCACGAGGTCAGGAGTTCAAGACCAGCCTGGCCAAGATGCTGAAACCCCGTCTCTACTAAAAATACAAAAAATTAGCCAGGCGTGGTGGCACACGCCTGTAATCCTAGCTACTCCGGAGGCTGAGGCAGAGAATTGCTTAAACCTGGAGGGGCGGAGCTTGCAGTGAGCCGAGATCGCGCCACTGCACTCCAGCCTGGGCGACAGAGGGAGACTCCATCTCAAATAATAATAATAATAATAATAATAATAATCTGCAGTTTATGGGAATTTAGGAGACCTAGTTACATTTTTTAAAGCCATTATCAGATAACTCTTTGTAAACATCCCTAGCTATTTAGGATATTTTCCAGACGAGTCACAGTGCCTCAAAGTTTGCAAAATAATCAGGCTTTTACATGTAGCTGAATTGCACATTTCTCTTATGCAATTTCTACATTACAGTACTTCTTCACTATATCTTCTGTTTATCTTGCCAAGACCAAAAACAACGGAAGTAGCAGATGGAATTGAGATTACCACTATTACATTTCTGTTTGGCCGTGAATTTTGTGTAACAGATAAGGTGAGAGCAGCATTCAAATTCTAAATTACCTCAAAATAAAAGGAATTAGAGAGGAGGAAATGGGGAGTTACTGTTTAATGGGTGTAAAGTTTTCGTTTTGCAAGATGAAAGGAGTCCTGGAGATGGATGGTGGTGATGGTTGCCCAATAATATGAATGTACTTAATACCAATGAATTGTATACTTAAAAATGGTTAAGATAGTAAATTTTATGTTACGTATATTTCACAATAAAAACATGGGGAACTGGAAAAACGAGAAAGCAAATGGAAAAAGTCTTCACTATTTGTGTTGCAGAGGAGCACATTTAGAAATAAGAAATTGTTTTTATCCCTCAGGCAAAAAAGAAAAAAAAGGATAGGCTTGCCATATTCCATGATGTTGCAATGCTATAGTGGGTGAAGCCATAATCATAATTAACATTTATATGGCATGAGTTACAGTTTACAAGTGCTTTTGTACACATAATATCATTGGCATAATAACCTTGTGAAATAGTTGAAATAGTTAATTATCTTCACTTTGTGTATGAGAACTCTGAGACTAAGGTCAAATAACTTCCCAAGGTGATATAGCTGGCAAAGAGCAGAAGCAAAACATCATTCCAGGGCCCTAATTCTTGCCACAACCATCTTCTATGAAATATACTCCCATGTCGGCAGCGAAACTCTTATGCTGGCAAAACCATCAGATGTTTTCACTTGAAAAGTCAAATATTTCGTATATAAACTGACAAGGACAAATATATTTAAATTGTGTTCAAAGAAAATCTTTAACTTAGAAAACCTACTTCTGGCCAGGCGCAGTGGCTCACGCCTGTAATCGCAGCACTTTGGGAGGCCGAGGTGGGCTGATCACCTGAGGTCAGGAGTTCAAGACCAGCCCGGCCAACATGGTGAAACCCTGTCTCTACTAAAAATTAAAAAAAAAGAAAAAGAAATACAAAAATTAGCCGGGCATGGTGGCAGGTGCCTGTGATCCCAGCTACTCGGGAGGCTGAGGCAGGAGAATTGCTTGAACCTGGGAGATGGAGATTGCAGTGAGATGAGATCGCACCACCATACTCTAGCCTAGGCGACAGAGTGAGACTCTCTCAAAAAAAAAAAAAAAAAGAAAAGAAAAGAAAACCTAGTTCTTTTGGTAGTAGCTTTAAATAGTTTAATAAAATATTAATTTTATTAATATTAAAAACACCCCACTTTTTTGCATCCTTATTTTGTGTTTTTTACACTTGCAGATACTAGTTTAAATTTTTAAAATCTCCTTCGATAACACATTTACCATCCTAAAGGGGGATATATGTGACGTTATCAGCACAGCCAGGCAAGGTGTAGGGTGAGGAACTGAGGAAACTTCTAACAATTTAGAATTGTCAGTCTCTAAACATTAAAAATCCTTTACACAATCACTTATCCCATTAAGATACAAAAAGAAGGCCGGGAGCGGTGGTTTATGCCTGTAATCCCAGCACTTTGGGAGGCCAAGGCGGGGAGATCACCTGAGGTCAGGAGTTCGAGACCAGCCTGACCAACATGGAGAAACCCCGTCTCTACTAAAAATACAAAATTAGCCATGCGTGGTGGCGCATGCCTGTAATCCCAGGTACTTGGGAGGCTGAGGCAGGAGAATCACTTGAACCTGGGAGGTGGAGGTTGCAGTGAACTGAGGTCGCGCCATTTTACTCCAGCCTGGGCAATAAGAGTGAAACTCTGTCTCAAAATAAAAAAAAAAAAAAAAAAAAGATACAAAAAGAAAAGCTACGCATTTTCAAATTAAATATTAGAATAAAACTGGAAGTTTTAAATGTAGATTTTCTCTTTGCAAAGTTTTCTTTGCCTAATTATTTTTGGACACATTTGATCAAAGATTAAGAAGTTGGTATTGGCTATAATTTTTATTAAATATCTTGAATTGCAATAGATGATTTCTGAACTTTTTAAGATCTCTTAGAGTTTTGTCTTTGGATGATATGCAAATGATTTGATCTGACAAGCAGGTGGTTTTGGTAAACAGAAATCTGGTCTGTGAGATTTGTTTTGCCTGTCAGCCAATTTATCTTTGGAATTACAAGCATCATAGACATGAACATTTCTTATTCTCATATATTGACTAACCACATGCACTCAATACACATTTATTATAGGCCTGCTACATGCCAAGTACTATAAAAATTAGACATGCTCCTAAGGAATTCTCATCATATTAATAAGCAGAGAAATTAACACATATACAAATTTTTAGAATGCAATGGGATGAATACAATGCTAGAAGTCTATGTACATAATCTGGGGTCACAGAAGCCATCTTTCTCTCAATAAATAAAAGATAGCTTTGGCTGGGCATGGTGGCTCACGCCTGTAATCCCAGCACTTTGGGAGGCCGAGGCAGGCAGATCACTAGGTCAAGAGATCAAGACCATCTTGGCCAACATGGTGAAAACCCATCTCTACTAAAAATACAAAAATTAGCTGGGCATGGTGGCATGTGCCTGTAGTCCCAGCTACTGGAAAGGCTAAGGCAGGGGAATTGCTTGAACCCAGGAGGCAGAGGTTGCAGTGAGCCAAGATTGCGCCACTGCACTCCAGCCTGGCGACAGAGTGAGACACTGTCTCAAAAAAAAAAAAAAAAAAAAAAAAAATAAGATAGCTTCACAGAGGAAGAATCATCTGACTTCAGACTTAAACGATGAAAACACTTCACAAGGAAAGGGATGGGAAGGTGTATGCACATTTTTTACTCCGTCACTTGCTTTAAGATTATTTTTCTTCAGTTAATAGTAGGGAGCCATGTAATATCAGATGCTCTGAATGTAACATTGAAAACCTCTTTAGATTTCATAGTCAGTTCATCATCCTTTCATAGAGTCTACATTCTCTTTTTTTTTTTTTTTTTTTTTTTTTGAGACGGAGTCTTGCTCTGTCGCCCAGGCTGGAGGGCAGTGGCACGATCTCCGCTCGCTGCAACCTCCGCCTCCCAGGTTCACACCATTCTCCTGCCTCAGCCTCCCGAGTAGCTGGTACTACAGGCGCCCACCACCACGCCCGGCTAGTTTTTTCTATTTTTAGTAGAGACGGGGTTTCACCGTGTTAGCCAGGGTGGTCTCGATCTCCTGACCTCGTGATCCACCCGCCTTGGCCTCCCAAAGTGCTGGGATTACAGGCGTGTTCCACCGCGCCCGGCTACAATTCTCTTAAATTGGCCAAATTGTCTAATTCCACTCTACCTGCCATTAAGTGGATTGGTAACAATGCACTGTTGATCAATAAACATTAAGCTTCATTAATAAGCTCCTTGATTAATTTACCCCTGCATTAGTAGTGTCAGGAAGCTCAGCTGCATGGTGAGCCACTCTCATGGAACCATCCATGTGGACTCTAGGCAGTCTTATGCAAATCTGTTTGATTTGAGGCATTTATCTCCAACTCTGTTGTAAACTGTTCTATTATAACTACTGCATTTTCCTTTCTGGTTGAACTACAGTTCAAGAAGTATAGTTGAATTTTGGTCGAATTTTAAGAAAAAAAAGTACTGCCTGTTATCTACACTGATGCTGGCTACTTTCCCAGTTAATTTGTTTAAATGGAATTTATAAAATGGTAGTAATGACTTTCTAAGATACTGTATCATCACCCTGTCTTCCTCTCTTATTGGTGTTGATGTAACATGGATCACTGAACAACGTAATCTCCATTTTATAGTTGAGAGTGATGGTTTCTAGTCAACTGATACATGCGATTTATTCAGAAATCATATCAACTGAGAGGTTCCCAATCAACTATGTTGTGTGCTCTCTTTTAAACATTAATTGAGTTTTGAAAAGGAATTTTATATTACTATAACTTATTTCTGATGGTCAAGCAAATCATAAATGGCCTATTGTCTAGAATCCTGAATGGCATCTACCTTGCTTATTTTTTGCTAATAAATGTTTCAGGTTATTTTAAGCTATGCTTGCATTTTCTTACATATTTGAATCAAATAAATAATAGACCAAGCTGAGTGTGGCGGTGCATGCCAGTAGTCCCAACTAAGCAGGAGGATGAGGTGATCACTTGAGACCAGTGGTTGGAGGTTGCAATGAGCTATGATTGTGCCATTGCACTCTATCCTGGACAACAGAGCAAAACCTTGTCTCAATAAGAATAATAATAATAATAAACGGACCAATACTTAGATGGTTTTTCTGTATAGCCTTATTTCCTTTCACAAAGTTTTATTCTGGATCTTCTCTATATCAGGAGGCTCCTTTAACTTTGATGTGTCTGCCTGGCAAGGGCTTAACGCTGTCATTGTCCCTGATTTAGACTTTTGTCCATCAAAGGCTGTGAACTTTTTCTAAGAAAAGGAAACCTTGTGAACAGAGTAGTTTAAATATTTGATATTCACTTGTAAAAATGAATTCTGTTGGACTTTCCAGTTCTAGGATTCTATTTGTGTAATGGCAGGGTGGAAACAACAGATTGTAGTTGCATGAATGTCATCTGGATTATGTCAGGCAAAGAAACATCAAATTTATCCTGAATTAGATCAAATAGAAAACTCCAAAGATTTTAATCGATGTGAAAAAGTCAATTAATAGAATTGGGAATTACAATTTTCAGTGTTTAGATAGTAGTATATATTGAAATAAAATTTTCTAAAAAATATTGATTAAAATTCTTCTGAGGGCTTTTGGATTCCATCACATGTATTTTATTTCTTGGACTCTTTTGCATCATCAGTGCTGGAGCATCTCTGCAGGCATGTATAATCACACTATGATGCTTCTGTGTGCGGTCCCTGACACAGTGATCTGTTCCCTGCAGAAACAGGAGGTCATGACAACTAAGAAAGCAGAGATTCTACTGTTAGTACAGACAGAGGAAAACAAATTATTTTTTGTCAGTGGATCTGCCTCTTTCCAATTTTTGCAGGAGAATTTCTTTGCAGGTTATTCAGGAACAAATTAGGTATTTGGTCAATGCAAAACTGAATCTTTTTCTTTTTTTTTTTTTTTTTTTTTTTGAGACAGAGTCTTGCTCTGTTGCCCAGGCTGGAGTGTGCAGTGGCACGATCTCAGCTCACTGCAAGCTCTGCCTCTCGGGTTCACACCATTCTCCTGCCTCAGCCTCCCAAGTAGCTGAGACTACATGTGCCCACCACCACACCTGGCTAATTTTTTGTGTTTTTAGTAGAGACGGGGTTTCACCATGTTAGCCAGGATGGTCTCCATCTCCTGACCTTGTGATCCACCCACCTTGGCCTCCCAAAGTGCTGGGATTACAGGCGTGAGCCACCGCGCCCAGCCCAAAACTGTATCTGTCCGTGAATTATACATATATATATTTTAAAGAATGAGTCAGTAAGGGAGTGGCTTTTTTCTGCACCCAGGAAAATGTGTCCATCTTCTTGTGATTAACATGCGGCCGAGTGGAATTGCCTAGAGTGTTTCATTAGCAACACATACAGTAATGTTTCAACACCACAGGGCTAATTGCCTGTCTAATTCAACTGCTTCAGGGAAATCTTGTTTTCTTCCTAAGCAAACCTGAAGATGAATAATAAAAATATTAATATTAATTTCTAAAATTAAAAATATCTATTTATTGACATTAGGGTAATGATTGTCTGATAGCCATAACTTCTTCCATACCTCTCAGTAAATGCCAAATCTTACCTCAGTAGCCTGTTTTTTTCAAATGTTCCTCTAATAAGGAATAGACTCACACTAAATCTTTTTTTTTTTTTTTTTTTTTTGCGATGGAATTTCGCTCTTGTTGCCCAGGCTGGAGTGCAATGGCAAGATCTTGGCTTGCTGCAACCTCTGCCTCCTGGGTTCAAACGATTCTCCTGCCTCAGCCTCCCAAGTAACTGGGATTACAGGCATGCACCACCATGCCTGGCTAATTTTGTATTTTTAGTAGAGACAGGACTTCTCCATGTTGGTCAGGTTGGTCTCCAACTCCTGACCTCAAGTGATCTGCCCGCCTCCGCCTCCCAAAGTGCTGGGATTACAGAGGTCAGCCACCATGCCTGGCCTAAATCTCTTATCTAATAATAATAAAACCTAACTTTTGTTGAGCAATTAATATGTACTTTCCCAAACACATGTGTATAGTATCTCATCTAATCCTCACTACAACTCTGTGAGGTAGGTACTGTCAATAATTCATTCTACAGATGAGTAGATTGAGACACAAAGTGGCTAAATGACAGCTTGAGGTTACGTAACCAATAAAAAAATGGAGATGGAGAATATATTAAAAGCCAGATAGAGAGATGACTGTCACTTTGCAAGGAAGAAAAGCTTAGTCTTATAAAGCAAACAGAAAATGAAAGAGCTTCCTTTCTGCCATATGAAGACTATAATGAATTTTTTCCTGAAAAATTATTTTAGAAAGCAGGAGTTGCACCAAAACATTATATGTACTAAATTTGGAGAGGAGGGGAATTCCTTCAGGCAGTGACCTTTATTACTAAGGCTTGATTTGGAAGCCAACTTTTATAACTCAGTTAAAAACTGCTAAACCCAAGCACTTATATAAAAGAAATGCTGACATGACCTTAATTCCAGAGGTGCAAAGGGTATAATTGAATTTAAGAACAATGCATCTTACACATTAAGTCATTAAATAGATTGTAATAACCTGACACATTTGGTAAGTACTACATGAAAGTGATTTACAATGATATGCAAGTAAAATGAGCTTGCACTATTAGCTACTGTATTTTAGGTTGTGTTTGCCAAATATAACATTAAATTATAATACAGTCATTTAGAAAATGTTATGGTAGTATATCTAAAATGTTCCTGGACATGACGCCAACATAGAGAGAGGGGCTGTTAGAATCTACAGAATATTGCCAAATGCTTATGTATTCAGATAGCTTATATTTACAGTTTTAAGAATTAAACCTAATCAGAAATACACATCTTTTTGACCCAAATTTCTGGAGTTCCTCAGGTGACATGGTACGTCCGGTTGAAGAGTGTATATAAGGATGCCAAGTAAATGCCAAAACTGGAACATTCTTCCACACAGTTATATACTTGGCACTAGAGAAAAAACATCCAGATGTTTGGCATTATACAACTAAATGCCTAAATCCAAGTGAAATCATGAGTTAAACACACAGTCATGGAATTTAATCAATGTAGTCATCCAGTTGGGTTTAATTCTAGCTCAAACAAAATAAAACAAAGCCAAAATTCTTCTCTTCATTTCCTTTTTTTTTTTTTTTTTTTTTTTTTTTTTTGAGACAGAGTCTCACTTTTTCGCCCAGGCCGGAGTGCAGTGGCTCTATCTCGGCTCACTGAAAGCTCTGCCTCCCGGGTTCATGCCATTCTCCTGCCTCAGCCTCCCAAGTAGCTGGGATTACAGGCGCCTGCCACCGTGCCCGGCTAATTTTTTGTATTTTTAGTAGAGACGGGGTTTCACCACATTAGCCAGGATGGTCTTGATCTCCTGAACTCGTTCTTTTCATTTTCAAGGGCAGGGCTGAAGACCTGGATTTTCTATTTATATTGTCTCTGTATTTAATCTGACTGCTTATAGGATCAGTAGTGAAGTGAAATGCACTAATCATTTCAGTGCAACAGAAAATCCACTAGTGGAAAATGCGTTAGCCCTCAGAATTCCAACACTTATTTTGACTGGACCTCCTGCTTGTTTTATTTCCCTATGTAAATGCTAATATAGCAAATGCGAGTTAATACATAAATAAGAATACATCTAACAGCTTTTCCAGGTAAGAGCTGGTCACAATAATTGCAAATATATTCAAATGTTTTATTTTAGGTTTATGTGTAATCAGTGAGCTATGGATGTGAATATGTGCATATATGTTAAAACATAGATAACTCAGTGACCTAAAAATTGCAAATTTCAAAAAAATCACTGCATAGTAAAATAGATTTTTAAAAATCAAGGGCTTAAATTGAATATGTGACTCAATTAGTGTAGTAGATCATGGCAAAATGGCTCCTCTTTTTCCTACTCCTTACAATGTGTATATGCAGCTCTTCCCATCAAGATGTGAAATTCATTAGTCCTCATGTCCACCCCTTGAATCAGGCTGTCTTGTAGATTGCTTTGGTCACTACAATGTGGGGGACATGATGGGATCCCATTCATAGCCAAGGCCTCAAGAGGTGTTATACGCACTCTCTCACTTCCTTCTCTTCCTTTGCCATGAGAACAGCTCTGGGCTACCTGCTAAAGAATGAGAGACCACATGAAAGAGGGCCAAATCATCCCAGCTGGGGCCATCCTAGACCAGCCAGCACCAGCCCACCCCCCGAGCTGATCACAGAAACATAAGCAAGACCAACTAAGTATATCTGAGCCTGATGCAGACCAGTGAACTCATCTGGCTGACTTGTAGGCTTATAAGAGAGAAATAATAAATGGTTGCTTTAAGTCAATAAGTTTAGAGGGTAGTTTCTTATGCCACAGTAGATTACTGATACAATTAGTGTCAGACAATATTTTTATAGCAAAATAATGAAAATATCACAGTTATCTCTAAATATTAATGATCCTTGAATTTACATACATTTAATATTTTGTAATGTACTGTCACAGACTTGGCCTGTAGGCAAGACAGATGTGATTATCCTCATTTTAAAGATGAGATAGGCCGGGCGCAGTGGCTCACGCCTGTAATCCCAGCACTTTGGGAGGTCGAGGCGGGTGGATCACGAGGTCAAGAGATCGAGACCATCCTGGCCAACATGGTGAAACCCCGTCTCTATTAAAAATACAAAAATTAGCTTGGCGTGGTGCCGCGCACCTGTAGTCCCAGCTACTCCGGAGGCTGAGGCAGGAGAATCGCTTGAATCCTGGAGGTGGAGCTTGCAGTGAGCTGAGATCGCGCCACTGCACTCCAGCCTGGCAACAGAGCAAGACTCCGTCTCAAAAAAAAAAAAAGAAAGAAAAGAAAAAAAATCTGCATCCTGGCCGGACGCAGTGGCTCACGCCTGTGATCCCAGCACTTTGGGAGGCTGAGGCGGGCGGATTACGAGATCAGGAGTTCAAGACCAGCCTGGCCAACATGGTGAAACCCCATCTCTCCTAAAAACACAAAAATTAGCCAGGCATGGTGGCGGGTGCCTGTAATCCAAGCTACCTGGGAGACTGAGGCAGTCTCCTGCCTCAATCACTTGAATCCAGGAGGCGGAGGTTTCAGTGAGCCAAGATTGTGCCAGTGCACTCCCGCCTGGCTGACAGAGCAAGATTCCGTCTCAAAAACAAACACAAAAAAATCTGCATCCTGGTACTGAGACAGCTAATAAAGCAAGCTCTATCCCCACCATTAGGAAAACTAGGGTATCGCTCCTCCAATAAACCCCCTAAAATCAAAAAAGAGAAAATCTCCCGAAATCCTACACATAATTTAATATTAATTGTTGTTGTTTTGTTGTTGCTGTTTTTGCTGTTGACTATCTTAGGCTTCCAAGGAAGGTGTTTACTTTCATTGAGAAGATAAGAGAGCCGGGGAAAAATTCACCTGTCTTCCTTTGGTGCCAACCTTTAGGCTACTTAATAAACCAACTAAATTAAAGATTTAGAATGTACAAATCTTTACACTGAGATAACTACTGAGCAATCAATGATAATTAAAAAAATCAATTGGTCTTCTGTAGTAATTAAATTTGTCCTCTTAGATATAATTGATATTGTTTGCAACTAATTATCCAAGAAAGGTCTCTGAGGGACTTTTTAAAGACTAAAGGAATTGAGCCAAAGAATCTTCCTAATTTGAAATTGGACTGAATGCCATGTTTTCTCAAAAACTGATTAAGTCTTCCCTAGAAACACAGTATTGAACAAACTCAAATACAGTCAGGAAATCAGTATTTCATTAGAGACAGTTGAGCATAGTAGCTAGTACTCTGTGTGACCATGGGTGATCACTTAATGTCTGTGTTTCAGTTCTCTCATCCATAAAATGGAGATAATAACTATATCTACTTCACAAGTTGTTGTAAGCACTAAGTTAATATTAGTAAAACATTTAGGACAGTGACTGCCTTGTAATAAGCCTCATGTTAATATCATTATTATTAGTGGTCTCTTGGCACTACTTTTAGGAAGAAGGATAAGATAGTCACCAATTACAAGTTCATTTTATTGTTTTATTCTCACTTGTACCTAATTCCTATAGGCATTTTATATTCAAGGGTGACTATACCACCCTTTCCCACATTATGAGATTCTACTGTTCTTGGGAAGAAAGAGGGCTAAAATAAGGACATGGAAGTTCACATCGCTGCATGGAATATCTGGTTACAAGTTATTAAGCCATACCCCTTTCCGTCTCATAAGCAATTCATTTCTCAGCACCGGAGGGGAAAAGTAATAATACAATAAAACACAGGATCATCTTATCACTGATGCTCAGCATTTGTATATTCACTTAAAAATGTGGCAGAGCAATTTACTGCAGCCCTCAGGCAGCCTAAATGACATGTTAGCAAGTTATATGGATATGCTATTACCTATTTATTCTGATATTCAATGCAAAAATGTCAGGGAGATTCCTACTTAAATACACTAAATTACTGACTCCTGGGGCTGGAAAGTACACTAAGAAGCTATTAGCTATTGAACCCATCCCTCGATAAGAATCTATGGCCCGAATAAAGGCAAACCTTTCCAAATTCTGAAGAAATCTATTAAACTATCTTCTGCATTACGCTCCTCAGTCTTCCAGGAAATTCTTTTTAAGGTATTCTGGCTTCAGCTTAAGTACATGTGCATTTGTTCTGTCATTTGATGAAATGAAAACAGCTGGTGAACCTTCTGCCCTATGCAGCATTCCTTGAATTATCATCTTAGTCCCAGACCTGTATTTCCCAGTTCTAACCAGACAGCTTTATTTGAAAGTCATCCACTTATTCCATAACCTGTTTTCCCATATGAGATTAAAGTAAGAATATCCTGACTGGGTGTGGTGGCTCATGCCTGTAATCCCAGCACTTTGTGAGGCTGAGACGGGCGGATCACGAGGTCGGGAGATGGAGACCATCCCAGCTAACACGGTGAAACCCCGTCTCTACTAAAAATACAAAAAATTAGACGGGCGTGGTGGCCAACACCTGTAGTCCCAGCTACTCGGGAGGCTGAGGCAGGAGAATCGCTTGAACGCAGGAGGCGGAGGTTGCAGTGAGCCGAGATCGCACCACTGCACTCCAGCCTGCGCGACAGAACGAGACTCTGTCACAAAAAAAAAAAAGAAGAAGAAAGGAAAAGAATACCCTATGCCTTCTCAGAAAATACAGAAATAATCAGTTGAGCTTTGCAGTCCAGATATGCCTTCTCCAGCCTTCTAAAATACCCATCAGTCAAATAACGGTTAAGGAAAAAGAATAGCCCCAAAGTTAGACACTTCTCTATTGTTACTGCCAATGGTAGGTTAGGCTATTTAGCCAAGACTAAGAATATGAGCCAGAAGACCACCAACAAATCATAGTACAGTTCATGACATATTGTAGATCCTAACAAACATAGAATTAAAAACTGTTTTAAAAAAATAATAACAAATAAGCGTACAAATTACGCTCAAATACAAGTGCTGGTTTTTACTTTTTATTTTTTTATTTCATTTTTTATTTTATTTATTTATTTATTTTTTTTTTCTTGAGATGGAGTCTCGCTCTGTCGCCCAGGCCCGAGTGCAGTGGCGCAATCTCGGCTCACTGCAAGCTCCGCCTCCCGGGCTCACGCCATTCTCCTGCCTTAGCCTCCTGAGTAGCTGGGACTACAGGTGCCAGCCAGCAGGCCCGACTAATTTTTTGTATTTTTAGTAAAGACGGGGTTTCACCGTGTTAGCCAGGATGATCTCGATCACCTGACCTCGTGATCCGCCCGCCTCGGCCTCCCAAAGTGCTAAGATTACAGGCGTGAGCCACCGCGCCTGGCCTTTTTTTTTTTTTTTTTTTTTTTTTTTCTTGAGTTGGAGTCTCGCTCTGTCACCAGGCTGGAGTGCAGTGGCACGATCTTGGCTCACTGCAACCTCTGCCTCCTGGGTTCAAGCAATTCTCCTGCCTTAGCCTCCGGAGTAGCTGGGATTACAGGCACCCGCCACCACGCCCGGCTGATTTTTGTATTTTTAATAGAGGCAGATTTCACCATGTTGGCCAGGATAGTCTCGATCTCTTGATCTCGTGATCTGCCCACCTCAGCCTCCCAAAGTGCTGGAGTCAGGCCTGGGATTACAGGCCTGAGCCACCGTGTCCAGCCTACTTTTTATTTTTTTATTTTATTTTTTATTTTTCTTGAGACAAAGTCTCACTCTATTGCCCAGGCTGGATTGCAGTGGAGCGATCATGGCTCACTGTAACCTTCCGGGTTCAAGCGATTCTCCTGCCTCAGCCTCCCAAGTAGCTGGGATTACAGGTGCACACCATCATGCCTGGCTGGGTTTTTTTGTTTTTGTTTTTGTATTTTTAGTAGAGACAGGGTTTCACCACGTTAGCCAGGTTGGTCTCAAACTCCTGAACTCAAGTGATCCACCTGCCTCAGCCTCCCAAAGTTCTGGGATTACAGGCATGAGCCATTGTGCCTAGCCGAGCTCTGATATTTGTAAATCTACTTCTTAACTAAGGACTTCCAGTATAAAACAGTTGTGAACACCTGATGTCTTTTTTTTTTTTTTTCAGACGGAGTCTCACTCTGTCACCCAGGCTGGAGTGCAATGGTGTGATCTTTGCTCACTGCAACCTCCACCTCCTGGGTTCAAGCGATTCTCCTGCCTCAGCCTCCTGAGTAGCTGGGATTACAGGCACACACCACCACACCCGGATAATTTTTGTGTTTTTAGTCGAGACAGGGTTTCACCACTTTGGTCAGACTGGTCTCGAACTCCTGACCTTGTGATGCGCCCACCTCAGCCTCCCAAAGTTCTGGGATTACAGGTGTGAGCCACCTTGCCCGGTCACCCTGATGTCTTATATAAGAAATTAGATTTTGGCCAGGTGTAGTGGCTCATTCCTGTAATCCTAGCACTTTGGGAGGCTGTGATGAGAGGATTGCTTGAGAGCAGGAGTTCAAGACCAGCCTGGTCAACAGAGCAAGACCCAATCTCTGAAAAAAAAAATTTTTTTTTAGAAGAAATTAGATCTTTATTTTTGACATTAAGGGCTGGGCGTGATGGCTCATGTCTGTAATCCCAGGACTTTGAGAGGCCAAGGCAGATAGATCACCTGAGGTCAGGAGTGTAAGACCAGCCTGGCCAACATGGTGAAACCACCAGCCGTGGTGGCTCGCGCCTGTAATCCCAGCTACTTGGGAGGCTGAGGCAATCTGCTTGAACCTGGGAGGCAGAGGTTGCAGTGAGCCGAGAGCACGCCACCGCACTCCAGCCTGGGCGACAGAGTGAGACCTCGTCTCAAAAAAAAAGACATTAGGAAGCATCCATTTTGAAATGACAGACTAAGCACAGTACCACCACCACCACCATTTTTATCCCAATGTCACTAAAATTCCTATTTATTAATATACATTGTGCTAAAAAACAAGAAAAATGAACTAGTAACTGACCAGAAAGTTGAAAGAAATATTAGAGAAAAAAGGATAAGACTAATGGAGACTAATGGAGAAAACAGAAAAATCTATAGCCCAAATCACCAAAAGGTAAGGAAAGAACTTTCCTAGCAAGCTCTGGAGAAGACCTAATTTGGACATCAAAATGGAGCTTTCAGACACTAATCAAGGCCATTAATTAAAAAAATTTTTTCAGAAAAATAAGGCAGGTTGGATCTCTTTTCCCACTTCATAAAAGCAAGATATGTAAGACTAGCATCTGGTTTTTGTCCCAATAAAAAAATCCCACAACTTTCAAGATATCACTCTAGCTTTCTAAAGTAGAAAGGCAATTCAGGCAACAAAAAATATTTTTTAAAAATCTAGGCCTGGCATGGTGGCTCACACCTGTAATCCCAGCACTTAGGCAGGCCGAGGTGGGTGGATCACGAGGTCAGGAGTTCAAGACCAGTCTGGCAAACATAGCGAAACCCCATCTCTATTAAAAATACAAAAAATCAGCTGGGCGTGGTGGCACGCACCTGTAATCCCAGCTACTCGGGAGGCTGAGGCAGGAGAATCACGTGAACCTGGAAGGCAGAGGTTGCAGTGAGCCGAGATCATGCCACTGCACTCCAGCCTGGGCAACAGAGCAAGACTCCGACTCAAAAAAAAAAAAAAAAAAAGATGTTATTTGATGTTAATATATTAATGTTTTACATGCATATGAGAGTCTCATGGAAAAGGAAGTAAAAACCCAAAGAAGCAGTGAGGCCTGAGAGCTTATATGCCATTTTAACAATGAACAACAAATTTGTGGAGAAGTGACAAGACAAAGAAAAAGAGCTCGGGTTTCTAGGGGTGATAAATATATGCAGGAAAGTAAGTGGAAGATAACAGCTATTTTAGTGAGGTTTGATTATGCAGATTCAAGCTAGTGCCATCTCTAGCGATAAGAGTCATCTCTTTCTGGTGTGGGAGAGGGGTTGGGGGAAACCTTCACAAAGAGAAAATTTATTCCCTGCTTTTAGACAGAAAAGAGAAGGGTAGAGAGCTTTTCCTGTATGTGCTGTTTCTCAATTGCCTTCAGCTCAGAATCATCCTCACACCAAAGTGGCATATTTTGAGCTAGCATGTTCTGATCCCCTTCAGAAACAACTCATCAACTCAACTCATGATTCTTTTTGTTTTTTTTTTTTTTTTTTTTTTTGAGATGGAGTTTCGCTCTTGTTGCCCATGCTGGAGTGCAATGGCGTGATCTCAGCTCACCGAAACCCCTGCCTCCTGGGTTCAAGCACTTCTCCTGTCTCAGCCTCCTGAGTAGCTGGGATTACAGGCATGCACCACTGCGCTTGGCTAATTTTGCATTTTTAGTAGAGATGGGGTTTTTCCACTTTAGTCAGGCTGGTCTCAAACTCCCAACCTCAGGTGATCCGCCCGCCTCGGCCTCCCAAAGTGCTGGGATTACAGGCATGAGCCACCGTGCCTAGCCCATGATTCTTGAATCTGGTAAATAAAGAGAAGGAATCAACCATTTAACTTGTCCTTTTGTATTTGATACTTAAGTGCACCACTCAGATAGGCCCCTTCACAAC
Organism: Homo sapiens; assembly: GCF_000001405.40. Taxonomy (NCBI): domain Eukaryota; kingdom Metazoa; phylum Chordata; class Mammalia; order Primates; family Hominidae; genus Homo; species Homo sapiens. Next base: position 35,024,109 of record NC_000015.10, on the reverse strand, counting down.
TGAGATGCTCGTTCAGTCCCCAGGAGCCTCCACTGCTAAAGTTCCTCAGCTGAGCCACTCCCAGGAATTGTTATTGGGTAAGGGGAGCTGTCTTACTCAAGATTACATCCTCAACCCAAGGTCAGCCCACAGTGATTAGTCAATGCATGGGCGGGGTGGAGGGTATAAAGGCACAGCCTTAACTTTGAGGAGCTATGCCGGCTTTAAAGCTCACTGTAGGATTGTCTGGGTTCTTTAAAATTCCATCACAGTTCAACTTCTTTCTCACTCTGTCCAGCACTTTCCTCACTTTCTTACAGGTGTTGTTCCCTAGGGCTTCCTGCTTTAAACCTGTGACATGCAATTTTCATCTCAGAGTCTGTTCTCCTAGAAACTGAGCTATGATACTTTCCCACATGAAATACACCTCAGGGTAACAAAATAGTTGATGAGGGAAGGTTCTCTCAAGAATAAATAGAGACTACTCTGGGCACACTGCCTATGGGTTATCCCTGCTCCACAAGGAGCAATACCAAAAAGGAAAATAATAATTAAAAAATAAATTTGTAATGAAAAAAGAATCAATAATGGCAGGGCACGGTGGCTCATGCCTGTAATCCCAGCACTTTGGAGGCCAAGGCGGGCGGCTCAGTTGAGGCCAGGAGTTCAAGACCAGCCTGGCAACATAGCAAAACCCTGTCTCTACTAAACACACACACACACACACACGAAGGAAAAAGAATAAATAGAGAAACAACGATATAAGAATAACACCACTGGCCGGGTGCGGTGGCTGGCTCACACCTGTAATCCCAGCACTTTTGGAGGCCGAGGTGGGTGGATCATGAGGTCAGGAGATCAAGACCATACTGGCTAACACAGTGAAACCCCGTCTCTACTAAAACTATAAAAAATTGGCTAGCAGTGGTGACATGCACCTGTAGTCCCAGCTACTCAGGAGGCTGAGGCAGGAGAATCATTTGAACCCAGGAGGCAGAGGTTGCAGTGAGCCGAGATCATGCCACTGCATTCCAGCCTGGGCGACAGAGAGAGACTCCGTGTCAAAAAAAAAAAAAAAGAATAAGACCACTTTGCAAATTTCTAATTACATACTCTAGGCAATGATCATCAGTGGCTGCTAATATCACAAAAAGAGAGACCACTAGATATTATATGCCTCCTGATGGAAGTACACACCACCACCTGAAGGTATTCTTGCAAAAAATTTTAAACTGAATCAGACTAAATCTCTAAATCCAGCTAACAGTTTATAAGAGATACAAATACGCAGAGGATACAATCAGAAAAATCCAGAATGTAAGAGACTCAACTGGACAACCGAATTTCTTCAACATATAGCTTGCAAGGGAAAAGAGAGAGAGAGGAAGGAAGGAGAAACTTATGAACAAATTACAAACAAAGGGACTTTATTTGGTTTGTGATTTTTTTAAAAAGCAAAAACTTTTAAAATTTTTTTAGACAATCAGAAACTTGAACCCTCATTAGGTATTTGATAACATTAAAGAAATACCAGCCACACACGGTTCAAGCGATTCTCCTGCCTCAGCCTCCCAAGTAGCTGGGATTACAGGGGCCTGCCACCACATCCGGCTAATTTTGTATTTTTAGTAGAGATGGGGTTTCACCATGTTGGCCAGGCTGGTGTTGAACTCCTGGCCTCAGGTGATCCGCCTGCCTTGGCCTCCCAAAGTGCTGAGATTACAGGCGTGAGCCACCGTGCCTGGCCAACAATTAATACTTTTTTAGTGCAATTATTTCTCAAATATTTTTACTTGCTAAATCTGGCAACCCTACTTCAAATTCTTTTTCTTGCTTTTGCAGTTAATCATTTTTTGTTTTTTTTTTTTTGTCACAATTTGACTGCCTGTCCTAAAATGTTATCCATATGGTACTTCATTAAGGCAGCTAATATTTAAAACCTCTCATGTTAAGAAGCCGAGGGAGATTTCTAGTATTGTCACCTTAGAGATGGCAGTTCTGGCACAGGTATTTAATTTTGAGATCTCAAAATACCAGCAGAAAAATTGTCCCCTAGAGAATGAGGAATCTGGAAAGTGTTTTTGACAGATCTACCACATTCTTATACCACAAATGCTGCCACGTTGTTCTCTCTCCTCCTCCCCTTTCCTTTGCAATAACACAAACTGTATTAATCAGCCAGATAATGGCAGTGGTGAGTGGCGTTGATGAGAGCCTCCACTGTACTGACTGTGCTTACCCTCCCAGAGGTATGGCTTGAGGTGGGAAAAATGGAAACCAGAAAGTGGTCCCTTTAAAGATGACACATCTCTTCTATGTCTCCACAAAAGGAGACTCATATTTGTATTGTTTCAAAGCACTGTACTTTCCTACAGTTTGCTACTCAGAAAAGCTGGGAGTGGTTGAAGAGGTTAAACAACTGGCAAAAGGTTACACAACTTCGCTGGATCTTATATTTCTGATTTGCATCCCAGGATTCTTGGCACCATAATCTGGATAAGGTTGAGCTTTGGTAAAGTTAGAGAATCTATACACTGGAGTTCCTATGAACTGATCACAGTTCCAGTCCCAACTTTTAATCCTTCTAAGTAAGGGGCTCACTATGTACATAGCCTCAGACTCTCGGCTCATTCAATCACTCAGTACAGATTTCATGAACGTTGGACTAGCTATGAAGAAACAGTGATGGACAAAACAACAAAAGTCCTGTCTTCAGAGAGCTCACAGTTTAGGGGGAAACAGATAATTAAATATGTAATGACGATGAAATCTGATGAGTGTGGTGATAGGTGTCAGAACATACACTAAGAGTCTCTAACCTCTATGTTGAGGAAGGCTCCCAGAGAAAGCAATGTTTAAGCCTAGACCTAAAAGATGAATAAGAATGAGATAGATAGGTGTAGAGAGAGCGAGCAGGCAGAAGAGTGTTCCAGGTGGTGGGAATGGTGTGCAAAGGCCTGGAGGAGAACAGAGGTAATGCGGGGATGGGATGAGACAGAGCAGAACTAAAATGCAGGGATGCATGAGACAGGTCAGTAATTTTGTGCCTCTTCAAACTAATCTTTTTGACATATCTTTTTTTTTTTTTTTTGAGATGGAGTCTCGCTCTAACACCCAGGCTGGAGAGCAGAGGCACGATCTCCGCTCACTGCAAGCTCTGCCTCCCGCCTCCCAGGTTCAAGCCATTCTCCTGCCTCAGCCTCCCGAGTAGCTGGGACTACAGGCACCCGCCACCACGCCTGGCTAATTTTTTGTATTTTTTTAGTAGAGACGGGGTTTCACCGTATTAGCCAGGATGGTCTCGATCTCCTGACCTTGTGATCCACCCGCCTCAGCCTCCCAAAGTGCTGGGATTACAGGTGTGAGCCACCGCGCCCGGCTCTTTTTGACATATCTTAAAAATATTTATTTAAAGGAAAGGTTTATTAAGTCTGGAGAAGATGTGAAATGTAGTGGAGAGAATGCTGGTGGCTCCCCAGTGACTCCTTTGTGATCCTAAACAGGGACATTTGCATGCCTTGGACCCAAATCTGCAAAGCAAATCAGCCAAACAAAAGGCCTGCACCTAAGACCTGACCTCCTTAGACGCAGTTAAATGACCATTGATTGTGACTGAAGCAACTCCATGGGGTGCTTGTCCCCTCCTCCCAGTCACCACCCTAAGAAGCTTCTTCTTCTTTTTTTTTTTTTCTGAGACGGAGTCTCACACTGTCACCCGGGCTGGAGTGCAGTGGCGCAATCTCGGCTCACTGCAACCTCTGCCTCCCAGGTTCAAGTGATTCTCCTTGCCTTAACCTCCCAAGTAGCTGAGATTACAGGCACCCGCTACCACCCCTGGCTAATTTTTTTGTATTTTTAGTAGAGATGGGGTTTCACTATGTTGGCCAGGCTGGTCTTGAACCCCTGACCTCGTGATCTGCCCACTTCGGCTTCCCAAAGTGTTGGGATTACAGGTGTGAGCCACCTCACCTTGTCGAAGCTTCATTATTTCTATCTCATTGTATTTATATTTTTTGTTTTAGCACTCTTCCTGACTGGCTGGCTTTCCCAAATTCTGACTTGGTGGGAGGGAGATATGAGGCTGAGGAACTGGCAGGGGCCAAGAGTGTGAAGTTCACACATAGCTCACTCACTGGGCTGAGTCTTCAGGCCCATGCACAAGAGCACATCTTGACTAATTGCTGATGTGGGAGCAGCAATGTGGAAGAGAGCTGCAGTCCTCGAACCTCCTTAACGCCTTACAGATTCCTTGGTCCCATTCCTGACATAATTAAAATCAGAATTTCTAGGGATGGAATTTTGGAATTTGTATTTTCAAATTTCTTTCTGGGTGAATCTGGTATTAAACAACTCTGGGGCTCACCAGACTCTGTTGTAAAAAGTACACATTTCAGAGCCACTAAAACCTCAATTCAAACTCTGGCTCCAGCATTTACCTGTGTGATCTTGGCAAGTGGTTTTTTGTTTCATTTTGTTTTGTTTTGCCTGAGCTTCAGTTACTCCAGTTGGAGGAGGAGGAGGAGGAGCAGGAGGAGGAGCAGGAGGAGGAGCAGGAGAAGAAGGAGGAGGAGAAGGAGGAGGAGGAGAAGAAGGAGGAGGAGGAGGGAGGGGGAGGAGGAGGAGGGAGGGGGAGGAGGAGGAAGGGGAGGAAGAAATAACCTGGCAAATGGTTTTTTGTTTCATTTTGTTTTGTTTTACCTGAGCTTCAGTTACTCCAGTTGGAGGAGGAGCGGGGGGGGGGGGGGGGGGCGGGGCGGGGGCGGGGAGGAAGATATAACACGGCTAACTTCATATTATTAAAGGGTTAAATGAGATCATTAATAGCTAGTACTTGACCCAGTAGTCTATAATAGTAGTAGTCCCTATCTTACCTGACCTCACCTTCCCAGGATGCCAAGCTCAATTCTGGTACTAGCTCCCCCTGCAGCCCTACTTGCCCTCTGCTTTTATTTCCCAAGAACTTGTATTTTAACCTTTTTTCATCTTATAAGCAGCTTCTGTGGGGAATGACAGAGACAGTGGTCACTCCCTGCTGAGAAGAGGGACTGAAATTGAAGCCATGGGAAAAGGAGTCTGTTTAAACATTTCCCACCCCTGTCTGAGGCCCCACCTCAGGCACAAAAATCTTCCCAAGGAGCTGGTCATCCCTCCTAGTGAATGGATAAAGTTGCTGTAGGCTGATGAGGGTCAATTTGACTTTTTCTTGAACACCAGGCTCAGCACACAGAAATAGTTCTAAGGTAGTGGTGGCACATACACTGTGTTCCCCTAATGATTGGGGGGATCACTTCCAAGCACATCCATTCTTTTATTTATTTATTTTTTTATTTTTTATTTTGAGACGGAGTCTCGCTCTGTCGCCCAGGCTGGAGTGCAGTGGCGCGATCTCGGCTCACTGCAAGCTCCGCCTCCCAGGTTCATTCCATTCTCCTGCCTCAGCCTCCCGAGTAGCTGGGACTACAGGCGCCGACCACCACGCCCGGCTAATTTTTTTGTACTTTTAGTAGAGACGGGGTTTCACCGTGTTAACCAGGATGGTCTCCATCTCCTGACCTCGGGATCCGCCCACCTCTGCTTTCCAAAGAGCTGGGATTACAGGCGTGAGCTACCGCACCGTGCCTACATCCATTCCTTACTAAGAAAAAAACTGTCTATGGAAACAAACATCAGAATTCCCTTTAAACGCTGGGTGCAGTGGCTCACGCCTGTAATCCCAGCATTTTGGTAGGCTGAGGCGGGTGGATTGCCTGAGCTCAGGAGTTCATGACCAGCCTGGACAACGTGGTGAAACCCCGTCTCTACTAAAAATACAAAAATTAGCTGGGCATGGTGGTGCATGCCTGTAATCCCAGCTACTTGGGAGCCTGAGGCAGGAGAATCACTTGAACCTGGGAGGCAGAGGTTGCAGTGAGCCGAGATCATGCCCCTGCACTCTAGCCTGGGCGACAGAGTGAGACTCCATCTCAAAAAAAAAAAAAATTAAAAATTAAAAAAAAAAATTCCCTTTAACATAAGTACTGGGATTGCTTAGCACATTTTTGTCAGAATCGAGAGTATTCAAACTTGTTTCCATTTTCCTCTAAATATCCTTATAAACTAAGCTAAAGCACATTGTTTTATTAAAAACAACATCTTTTCTGATGGTAAAATTGGTATATGTTCATTAAACACAATTCAGAAAATAACAAATATACTATGTAAAGAAGAAAAGTTAAACCATCTCTAATCACCACCATGAAATAATAAAATTAACATTTTGATTTATTTCTTTCAAGTATTTTATATGCTTGAAAGAATATTTAGTAAAATTTGCATAATTCAATAGACTGTTTCTAAATCATGTTTTTTCACAATATTATATTGTGAATCTTTAGTATATTGCTAACAATTTTCAAAACTAAATTTTTATTGTTAACAATACTCTAGCATATAAATATTCTATAATTTATTTCCCTGTTGTTGGACTTTTGAGGTTTTTTTTTTTTCATTTTTTCTGCCATAAATATTAAGAGCTAAGTTTCTTGTTTACACTTTATCTTTGGGAAAACTGACTTAAAGAGGTTAAAGGGCTTGCTGCAGGGCTGGAACTGGAATACAAATTCTATACTACAGTCTAATTCCCTTTTTCATAGACCACAAATATTAATTTGTTGTAACACTATTAATCAATGCTTAGAGCATATTTGCCACTTCAATACATTTTATTTCCTGGCCTTTATTTTATTTATTTATTTATTTATTTATTCATTTTTTTGAGATGGAGTCTCGCTCTGTCACCCAGGCAGGAGTGCAGTGGCATGATCTCGATTCACTGCAACCTCCGCCTCCTGGGTTCAAGCAATTCTCCTGTCTCAGCCTCCCACATAGCTGGGATTACAGGCTGCACCACCATCCGCAGCTAATTTTTGTATTTTTAGTAGAGATGGGGTTTCACCATGTTGGCCAGTCTGGTCTCAAACTCCTGATCTCAGGTGATCCGCCCACCTCAGCCTCCCAAAGTGCTGGGATTACAGTCATGAGCCACCGCACCTGGCCCTGGCCTTTATTTTAAAAGTAAGCATTGGCTGGGTGCAGTGGCTCATGCCTGTAATCCCAACACTTTGGGAGGCAGAGGCAGGTGGGTCACCTGAGGTCAGGCATTTGAGACTAGCCTGACCAACATGGTGAAACCCCATCTCTACTAAAAAAAAAAAAAAAAAACACTACAAAAATAAGGCAGGCATAGTGGCATGTACCTGTAATCTCAGCTACCTGGGAGGCTGAGGCAGGAAAATCGCTTGAACCTGGGAGGCAGAGGTTGCAGTGAGCTGAGACTGCACCACTGCACTCCAGCCTGGGCAACAAGAGTGAAACTCTGTCTCAAATAAATAAATAAATAATAAAAGCAAGCATTACCAACAATGTGGGAGAATATGAGTGGAGTATGTATGTGGTCCCAAAGTTGGGGTAAGTGGGAGTGAGGAACCCCTGTAACTCCCATCTTCATTTCTGCCTCTTCTCATTGCACCAACTTCCCCAACTGAAACACCTTATACTGATAATATCCCTTCCTGGTTTGATTCATAAAACAAAATAAAGTTTCTCCAGTGCTTGGCATATTCATCAAGACATCAGCCCCAGCATTTACATTTTAGTGCTTCCCTTTCTTTACTTGATTTCCAGTCTCTCTCTCTCCCTCTGTCTCTCTCTCTCTCTCTCTCTCTCTCTCTCTCTCTCTGTCTGTCTGTCTCTCTCTCACACACACACACGCAGGCTGATTGGTCTTTGATTTTCAGTAGAAATTGTTGGTATTTGTAGCTGTGCTTGATCACATAGGTGAAAAGATATACTTACAGAATAAGAACTACCCTATGACCGTCCTTCTTTCATGTTGCTTAAAGCTATACTTCAAAGGAATACAGCACCACTTTAAGGAAAGACTCAGGCCTGAGGACCTAGAAGCCCAAGTTCCAAGTTTTGGGGCTGAGCTCTGTTACTAACTTCAGTCTGACCTTGGACAAGTTTCTTGTCTCTGTGATCACATTCCATCTTTATTAGAGGATTTTGAGGATTCCTTCTATTTCTGACATGAAATAATTTTAAACAGACTTGTTCCTTAGATGCTCTTTTAGAACATCTCTGAACCTTCCCAATTTAAAAAAATAACTTGTTTGAGGTGGCTTCTCTCTGTTCATCAAACATCTTTGCTTCCATTCCTTATATAGGTCCAACCCAAGAGACAACACCTGTAGGAGGGCCTCGTCCCACAGTTTTCTTGTCACCAGCACTGCTTTTGATCCAGTCAACTTGACTGAGATTTCTTTCCTGGGTTCTGTGCTTCAGAGGACCCTACTCTGGATCCCCTCTGGTACCCACTCTCCCCACAGAGTAATAGGTCTGTATGGCCAAGGGGATTGTTCCACCTGGAACCTCCTTCCCTCTTCTAAATAAAGTTCCCCTTACTCAGGAAACCCATAGTTCCCTTGCTGTGAAGTCTGAACCTGCTTCCAGGGGTTGCTTGAGCTTCTGCCCTTCTCTTGTCTTTTTAGGGGTGGATTATACTGCCCAAAATGTGGTCAAGGGGCAGCTGTGTATGGTGTTTGGAGTTGTGGATAGAGCTTGGATATGTGGGGTAGAGTCTGAGCACTTACAAGTCTCTGTGAGGTCAGTATGGACAGAAGGGTGGGTGTTCCATTGGAGCAGGGTGAGAAATATCCATTGGCACATTCCCATTAAGCTCACAAATGTTGAGAATGAGCCTACTTGTGAGATACACAATTTTGCAAAGAGAGATATAGAGCAGTCAAGAAAAGTGGCTCTTCAAAGGTTCTATGAGTTACCTGTGGCCACATAGGAGGACCCCTCTGTCTGAAGCGAGTGCGCAGTAAAAAGAGGATGACTCATCTTTGGCTCTAGCTAGATTAAAATTCTGGACACAAAGGTAACTTATAATTTCTTATCTGGACTTCATACTGCCAAGCTAGAGTCATGATGTTATGCACACAAAGTATGATATTATATTAACAGTAATAATAATGACAGTAGATTATTGAGCCTAACCTCATTCCCATGCTGACATTATGTCTCTCTGTTTGTGTTGGTCCATTTTCTTTCAACTGCCCCTGCCCTCCACCATAGAAGTCATTAGGTAAAGCAAAGCAATCTCTTTAGGTTGATTTAGCCAACCTTCAATTAACTAGTAAATCTGAGACCAGAGTTTTAATACATGGCCTATTAAAAAGCATGTAAATAACGAACCTCATTTAGCCATTTCTTACATCACAGTGTTTTTCAGGATTAAAAGTGGTGATTTTATAAATTTGGTTCTGTAAATTATATTATTATATTTCAAAAGGATCAAGATGTAAAAGTATGTGCTCTTTAAAATGGTTTCAGTTGTAGTTCTATTCAAGTCAAAAAATTAGCTTGGGAAAATACTACCCAGTCTACAAATTAGCTGGATGACTCTGAACAAGTTATTTACCCTCTTGAGAACTCAATTTCTTTAACTGTAAAATGAGGGGGTAGGATTAGATGGTCTCCAAGGTTCCTTCCAAATCTAAGGTTTTATGATTGTCTATGATTTTATAAGCAGTAATGCCTAGAGCTATTTAGCAGAGAAAATTGCAGAATGTAAAAACCTTTAGGTCTTAGCAAAGAAATGAAAAGACCATTCATCAGGAAATGGGGTCAAGTTAGAGAGCAAAGAGTGTAGTTGCCTGAGCAACTCAAGTTTGAAAAGAAATTATTACAGAGCTAAACACAGGCCTTTGCAGGCCAAGGAGAAAGAAAAGAAACAAGAGCTTCATATTTTCCTGATGCTGTCCTGGAAGAGAAATAATAAGATAGCTTTGCTTCACATTCTGGAACAAGGTGAGAAATAAAAGAAACAAACAAATACATAAAATACCCAACTGTAAGTTGGCTACAGTTGTATCTGCTGTAGTGTCTTTTCTTAGTATATTAATCATAGTCTAAAAGTTTGAAAGCTAACTGTCCATGGGTTCATCAGTGGCTAGCCACAGCATTCTAATTTTCCCTCCCTCTTTCAGCATCGAAATTCCCCATCTTAGCTGGTTTGGGCTGCTGTAATAAAATACCATAAACTGGGTGGCTTATAAACAAAAGAAATGTATTTCTCACAATTCTAAAGGCAGTGAAGTCCAAGATCAACATACCAGCAGGTGCTGTTTCTGGTGAGCACCTGCTTTCTTGTTCATAGAAGGTGCCATCTGGCTAAGTCTTCACATGGTAGAAGACGCAAGGACTTGTCTCTCTTGGGCCTCTTTTATAAGGACACTAAACTCTGCCCTCATGTCCTAATAGCTTCCCAAACGCTCCACTTCCCAACACCATCACCTTGAAGGTTGGGATTTCAACATATGAATGGAGAAGGGGGTAACACAAACATTTAGACCATAATATACTCCCTAACTCCTACAATTTGGATTCTGTGCTGAAGCTGAGGTTGAAAGCCAGTGTCAACCCCTCAAATCTTTTTAGTGATAGTATGAGGAAATGAGACATGCAAGATTCTTGTGAAATTAAATCATGATGTACAGCCAACCAAACCACGTGTTTAACTCAAGGCTATAGTCAAAATACTCCAGAGAATGGGGATGCCCCCCAGATGGAGTGACCCATTAGTCCTCCTTTAGAGGAAGTCAGGAACCATACGGTTTGCCTTAGAAGTCTAACCATATTTAGAGAAAAAAATTTCACACCTGACTCCACGTGCTTTGTAATTGATAAAAATACAGGAGATTGCGGGGATGGTGTAGGAAGAAAATAGTAATAAAAGATATGTAAGGCCGGGTGCGGTGGCTCACGCCTGTAATCCCAGCACTTTGGGAGACCAAGGCAGGTGGATCACAAGGTCAGGAGTTTGAGACCAGCCTGACCAACATTGTGAAACACTGTCTCTACTAAAAATACAACAATTAGCCTGGTGTGGTGGCCGGCAACTATAATCCCTGCTACTCGGCAGGTTGAGGCAGAAGAATCTCTTGAACCCAAGAGACAGAGGTTGCAGTGAGCCGAGATCGTGCCACTGCACTCCAGCCTGGGTGATAGAGTGAGACTCCGTCTCAAAAAAAAAAAAAAAATGTAAAATCTCAGCCGGGCGCAGTGGCTCATGCCTGTAATCCCAGCGCTTTGGGAGGATGAGGCGGGCAGATCACGAGGTCACAAGATCAAGACCATCCTGGCCAACATGGTGAAACCCCATCTCTACTAAAAATTCAAAAATTAGCTGGGCGTGGTGGCACGCACCTGTAATCCCAGCTACTCAGGAGTCTGAGGCAGGAGAATCGCTTGAACCCAGGAGGCAGAGGTTGCAGTGAGCTGAGATTGTGCCACTGCACTCCAGACTGGCAACAGAGCGAGATTCCGTATCAAATAAAAATAAAAAGAAAAAAGAAAAAAAAGATATGTAAAATCTCAGATCTGGATAATCAGCTCTTCAATAAATAAAATGTGGCATTATTTCTGACAGTTATAATATTAACATTTGAAAATATAGGATATAAATATATACTGTCAATGAATTTTCTCTTATTTTCTATTCCTAAAATTTTCTCTTATGTTCAGCAAATCAAACATTTCCTGAGAATCCAGATAATTTTCTTTTTTTTTTTTTGAGATGGAGCCTTGCTCTGTCACCCAGGCTGAAGTGCAATGGTGTGATCTTGGCTCACTGCAACTTCTGCCTCCCGGGTTCAAGCGATTCTTGGGTCTCAGCCTCCCATATTACAGGCACCTGCCACCACACCTGGCTAATTTTTGTATTTTTAGTAGAGACGGGGTTTTGCCATGTTGCCCAGCCTGGTCTTGAGCTCCTGACCTCAGGTGACCCACCCACCTTGGCCTCCCAAAGTGCTGGGATTACAGGCATGAGCCACATGTCCGGCCAAAATCCCGATAATTTTCATTGCACTTGTGTTTCCTAATCAATTTCTTTCTTTCTTTCTTCTTTTTGACAGAGTTTCTCTCTTGATGCCCAGACTGGAGTGCAGTGGTGCAATCTTGCCTCATTGCAACCTCCGCCTCCTAGGTTCAAGTGATTCTCCTGCCTCAGCCTCCCAAGTAGCTGGGATTACAGGCATTCACTACCATGCCCGGCTAATTTTGTATTTTTAGTAGAGATGGGGTTTCACCATGTTGGTCAGGCTGGTCTCCTGACCTCAAGTGATCCACTCACCTCGGCCTCCCAAAGTGCTGGGATTACAGGTGCGGGCCACCGTGCCCAGCCAGAATCCAGATAATTTTCACTGTACTTATGTTTGTTAATCAATTTCTTCTATGTGTTTTTACAAATCTTCTCTTCTTATTAGAATGTTTTGTTGAACACAAAGAATGTGCTAACAACTGTCTGGGAATCAGACACCTAGTATCTGTCCATTTTTTTTTAACGTAAATAAAATATCACCTCTTCTTTATCTTTTTTTTGTTTGCTTTTTTGAGACAGTTTTGCTCTGGCTCTGTTGCCCAGGCTGGAGTGCAATGGTGCGATCTTGGCTCATTGCAACCTCTGCCTTCAGGATTCAAGCGATTCTTCTGCCTCAGCCTCCCAAATAGCTGGGATTACAGGCATGTGCCACCACTCCTGTCTGTTTTTTTTGTATTTAGTAGAGACGGAGTTTCACCATCTTGGTCAGACTGGTCTCTAACTCCTGACCTCAAATGATCCACCTGCCTCGGCTTCCCAAAGTGCTAAGATTACAGGCGTGAGCCACTGCACCGGGCCCCATAAAATATCACTTCTTATGAGAAGTTTAGACATCCAGAACAGACCACTGAAATATAGGGCTTCTGTGAGCACAAAGAAGCCTCTACAGTGGAGGGGCTGGTGAAGAGGAGGGATTTTCACATGATATTTTGAGCAACTTCAGCTATATTTGAGTTTGGGAAGGTTTCAGAAACAACTGCTTCTTTAGGAGACTAGGAAGAACAACCACAATGCCTATGTCATTGTATATTATTTTATTTAACAAACACCCACACAGCACTTATTATGTGCCAGACCCTGTAAGTGATTTACAAATATTAATTCTTGATTTTTCATAACAATCCTACACAGCAGGTGATATCATCTTCATTATCATTATCTTCATTTGAACAGATGGAGCAACTGAGGCACAGAGAGGTTAAGTTCTTAGCTTAAGGCCCACAGCTAACAAGCAACAGATCCCAGGATTTCTGGCTGCCGAGTCCACACTCCTAACCACCACGCTGTACTCCTCTAAGAGCAGGTCATATGTAAGGAGGGATTGGGGGTTAGGAAATGTCTAGATGCCAGGTTCCTTTAGCATGTCACTTCTCCATTGTGGAGACATTGCTTTTAACTTCTGCCAACTTCTACCTCTTCAGCCTGGGGATTCTTTCTCAGGTCTGTGCCTCTCAGATGTTCTTAGGAGAAAAGATATGATCCAATGAAGATCAAAGAAATTTAAAAGTAATCACCAGAATGACCTAGCTTAAGACATTGAGACTGGTGAGCTAAAGGTGAAAATAGCAAGATATTTATGGTTTTGATTGGGTCTGAACCCCCTTGGTTACTTTCATAATTTGCATAAAAATTAATAAGATGCTTTTGTTGCTGTATTTATAGGTTAACATGAATGACTTCTTTTTGGTTTAAGTGAAAAAAGATATTCGTTCCTGCAAAATGTAACCTTAGCCAAGGACCTTAGAGAGTAAGTTTCTGTAAGTACTAATAGAAAGTAGCACAAGAGCTGGGCACGGTGGCTCACGCCTGTAATCCCAGCACTTTGGGAGGCCGAGGCGGGTGGATCACAAGGTCAGGAGATCGAGATCATCCTGGCTAACACAGTGAAACCCCATCTCTACTAAAAATACAAAAAATTAGCTGGGCATGGTGGTGGGCGCCTGTAGTCCCAGCTGCTCGGGAGGGTGAGGCAGGAGAATGGCATTAACCCGGGAGGCGGAGGTTGCAGTGAGCCAAGATGGCGCCACTGCACTCCAGCCTGGGTGACAAAGCAAGACTCCGTCTCAAAAAAAAAAAAAAAAAAAAGAAAGTAGCACAAGAATGTTAATTTGAATGATCATTTGCCATTTAAAAAAAAACGTAAAAGGAATCTATTTACCCATCAGTAAAGGAATGGCTAAAATTAAAGAACATCCATGCAATCAATGGAACCCAATCATTAAAACAAATAAGGGCTGAGCACAGCATCTCACATCTGTAATCCTAGTGCTTGGGAGGCCAAGGCGGAAGGACCCAGGAGTTTGAGGTTACAGTGAGCTATGACTGTGTCACCAGACTCTGAGTTGGGTGACAGAGCAAGACCCTGTCTCTAAAAAATAAAAAATAAAAATAAATAAGGTCAATCTATACATACTTCCCTGAAAAATATGTAAAAGTGTGTATGTAACATATTATTATATGTAATACATACATACATATTAAAATTGTATACATACATACATACACATTAAAATATGTATGTAACATACCCGAAAAATATATATGTAACATATTATTAAGTGAAAAAGAACATTCTCCTTAAATTTAGAAAATTAATAACTGATGGCTTAAATTTTTAAAAATTAAAAAATTAAAAAAAAAAACCGGGCTGGGTGCAGTGGCTCACGCCTGTAATCCCAGCACTTTGGGAGGCTGAGGTGGGTGGATCACGAGGTCAGGAGTTCAAGACCAGCTTGGCCAAGATGGTGAAACCCCATCTCTACTAAAAATACAAAAAATTAGCCGGGCACGGTGGCAGGCGCCTGTAGTCCCAGCTACTCAGGAGGCTGAGGAAGGAGAATCATTTGAACCCGGAGGGTGGAGGTTGCAGTGAGCTGAGATGGTGCCACTGCACTCCAGCCTGGGTGACAGAGTGAAACTCCATCGCAAAAAAAAAAAAAAAAAAACAAGGCCAGGTACGGTGGCTCACACCTGTAATCCCAGCACTTTGGGAGGCCAAGGCGGGCATATCATCTGAGGTCGGGAGTTCAAGACCAGCCTGACCAACATGGTGAAACCCCATCTCTACTAAAAATACAAAATTAGCAGGGCATGGTGGTGCACGCCTGTAATCCCAGCTACTTGGGATGCTGAGACAGGAGAATCGCTTGAACCCAGGAGGCAGAGGTTGCAGTGAGCCAAGATCTCACCATTGCACTCCAGCCTGGGCAACAACTCCGTCTCAAAAATAAATAAATAAATAAAAATAAAAAAGAAAGGCCAGGCATGGTGGCTCACGCCTGTAATTTCAGCACTTTGGGAGGCCGAGGTGAGCGGATCACTTGAAGTCAGGAGTTGGAGAACAGCCTGGCCAACATGGTGAAACCCTGTCTCAACTAAAAATACAAAAATTAACCAGGTGTGGTGGTGGGTGCCTGTAATTCCAGCTACTCGGGAGGCTGAGGCAGGAGAATCACTTGAACCTGGGAGGCAGAGGTTGCAGTGAGCCTAGGTTGTGCCACTGCACTCCAGCCTGGGCCACAGAGTGAGACTCTATCTTTAAAAAAAAAAAAAAAAATTATCATAGCATTACACCATTTTTATAGAAAAAGCACGCAATAACATTTGTTTTTGAAGGTCTATAACATACAGGCATGTGGATATAAATAGAAAAAGTCTAAAAGAGTACATACAAACCTCTTAAGAGTAGTTATCTCTGGAGAATTACCTGAACAAGGCTGGTCATGGTGAAAAGGAAATAAATTTTCACTTTCCAGACTTCTGTTTGTGGTAGGTAAGATTCACCAAGTGCATACAAGCTAAAGCACAAGCAAGCATATGGGAACCATTAAACAATTGGAGGGAGATTAAGAAATAATTAATTATAAATAAGCTGTGTATAAAATTTGACCAACTAACTCATGAGACAGATCATATAACCACTTAATGCACCAGTTATTTTATAATTATGCATAAATTATTCTGCTCGCTTTACCAGACTTCTATTCCATGATGCTATGAATTTTAGGGTTTTATTTTTATTAAAACTTGAAGAAGGGAGAAAAATGCCTTCCAAGGACTGTTAAGTCAATACTTACTGCATTGGTCTTTTATTCCTCTATATTCTTTTTAGGAACTGACACAGATATTTATATGAACTATCACCATATTTCACACCATTAAAAAAAACAACAACAACAACTTTAGTCCAGGCATGGTGGTTCACACCTGTAATCCCAGCACTTTGGGAGGCTGAAGCAGGCAGATCACTTGAGGCCAGGAGTTCAAGACCAGCTTGGGCAGCATGGTGAAACCCTATCTCTACTAAAAATACAAACATTAGCCAGGCGTGGTGGTGTAGGCACCTGTAATCCCAGCTACTCGGGAGGCTGAGGAAGGAGAATCACCTGAACCCGGGAGGGAGGCAGAGGTTGCAGTGAGCCAAGATCACACCATTGTACTCCAGCCTGGCAACAGAGTGAGACTCTGTCTCAAACAAAAAAAAAAGGAGACAAATTAAATTTAGCAGAGTTTATTTGAGCAAAGCAGTGTGAGCAACAAGTTTTTATAGGCCAAACATAGAAGCAAAGTAGAAAAATCACCTGATTGGCTACAGTTAAGTGGCTGCCTTATTTGGGGATGGTCTGATCACTTGGCTGCCTGTCATTGGCTGAAGCTTGGCTGTTACAAAATATACTCCTAAGTTAGGCTTTCCATTTGTTTTGCACCAAGTTAGGTTACAGTTTGTTAAGTATATAGGAACTCAAAGTACGGAGACAGCCTCAAGCTAGTGGTTCCTGCTCATTTAATTTAACATCACTGATCGAATGGCAGTGTGGTATGATGAAAACAACATGACATAGAGTTAGGGGACCAATCCAGATTCTTTTGCTGAGTCTCTGGATAACTCCTGCTGCTTAATATCTGCAGGTTAAATAGGATTAAGATTTAATCCTATTTAATCTTAAAAATAAAATCTATGATTCAAGAAGCAAGAGAACGGTATCTCTTGGTGGACATGCATCTCAGATGCTGGCAAAAGCTTTGTTAATCAGCTTACTAAGCAGAGCTGAAGATGACATCTGAAAGAGTGTCCTCTCCCTGCCTTTAGTATGTGTTGCCTCTGCTTCCTCCATGATCCATTCAAGTGTCACATTGTGCAGTCATGGGAATCACTAGGGCCAGTCTCTCATACCTCTCCACCTCCCCTTCTCTTTCTCCACGCTCAGGAATGACAGAAATCCCAAACCCAGGACTTCCTGTGCTCTGTTGCCCAGGAGAGTCCAACCTGCGCATTACAGCCAGCATGGTCTTCCTAAAACATGTGTCTAATCATGTCATCCCAGTTTAAAATCCCTTGTTACAATTCCTCACCATTTACAGCCAAGTCCATCCTCTTTGCTTGGCATAAAAACCTTAATGCTGTGGCTCCAGTGCACCTTTTCACCTCCTTTCTTGCCTTCGATATTGTACTGCTGCCAACTCCCCACCCCATTCCCCACGTGCAAAATCTTTGAGACATATAAAAATGTCTCCAGTTTACTATATGCAGGCCCATATTCTCTTAGCAAAGCTCCCAGAGGCCAGAGGTATTTCCAAATTCATAATTTTTTTCAGGTTTTTGACAAGTAACCCCATGCTTGTATCATATAGTACACAACACCTAGCAGGGTCTAAGACATCAATTCATCATTACAAACATAAACATCTCTGCCAGAAACCTAAATATTCACATTAAGTATGAATACATTTGCAAATGACCTTAGGTCAGTTCAGGTCTGGTTTTCCACTTAGCAAGGGCCACTTCCTTTGGCCCCTCTAGATCTATTTTCTATCCTTTTCCACCTGCTCTGTGCCACGGGAAACTGACCTATCTGGACTTCAGCTTCGCACTCTGTTGCCCTCAGGCTACTGATGGGGTATAACCAACGGGGAGCCCATCAAGCTCCCCAGGAAGGTTGGGGTATTTCCCTTGCCTGAAGAACATTCTGAGACTCACTGTTGCTCTTAGGCAGTCATCTTCCCATGACTCTTTCCTTCTGAGTTCTAAGAAGCACTCCCTCTTCTCATCTCTTTGCATCTAGGAGTCATAACAGTTCTGTTCTTTCTAGTGCTAGGGTACTGTCTCACTTTCACACCACTATCCCTTGTGCCAACACTATCCCCTGTGGTTTTTTGTTTGTTTGTTTTCTTTTTTGAGACAGAGTCTTGCGCTGTCTGTCATCCAAGCTGGAGTACAGTGGCGCAATCTCCGCTCACTGCGACCTCTGCCTCCCTGGTTCAAGCGATTCTCCTGCCTCAGCCTCCCATGTAGCTAAGGCCCCTGTCATCATGCCTGACTAATTTTTGTATTTTTAGTAGGGACGGGGTCTCACCATATTGGCCAGGCTATTCTTGAACTCCTGATCTCGAGTGATCCGCCCACCTCGGCCTCCCAGAGTGCTGGGATTACAGGTGTGAGTGCCCGCCCCGCTTCCCATGGTTTTTCTGCACCTCACCCACACCTGTATACAAAATCTCTTTATTAAATCTTCTTCAAGTGATCCCAATTTGAGAATGCCACTGTGTCCTGATGGGTCCCCGACAAATGCAGCACACCCATGAGTTCAAATTGAGTTGGGTCTGGTTTTCCTGACAAATAGGTTAAGAAAAGCTTTGAGCTTTTTGAACTTTTGGGATTTCAGAATGAAAGATAAGATTTTGTGAATCCATACACTATACTGTCTTTTTCTTCTGTTTACACACACTGTTCTCTCCACTTAGAATGTCCTTCCTTTTCTTGTCCACCTGGCTAACTTTTATTTAGCCTTTAAACATCATCTGTCCAATGAACATCAAGGGTAAATTACCATGGACCAATCCTCTGTAGACAACCCACCATCCAACAGTCCTGGGCATGTGTAAATGCAACAGCCTTGGAGAACTTGTGTGAGAATGGGGCTTGGAGCCTCCACCTCTTCGTTCAAGTGATTCTCCTGCCTCAGCCTCCCAAGTAGCTGGGATTTACAGTCATGCACCACCACACCATGTCCCGCTAATTTTTTTTTTTTTTTTTTTTGAGACAGAGTCTGACTCTGTCACCCAGGCTGGAGTGCAGTGGTGCGATCTCAGCTCATTGCAACCTCTGTCTCCCGGATTCAAGCAATTCTCCTGCCTCAGCCTCCAGAGTAGCTGGGATTACAGGCATGTGCCACTACGACCGGCTAATTTTTTTTTTGCATTTTCTTATTAGTAGAGATGGGGTTTCACCATATTGGCCAGGCTGGTCTCAAACTCCTGACCTTGTGATCCACCTGCCTCGACCTCCCAAAGTGCTGGGATTACAGGCGTGAGCCACCGCACTCGGCTCATTCTTGTATTTTTAGTGGAGACAGGGTTTCACCATGTTGGCCAGGCTGGTCTCAAACTTTTGACCTCAAGAGATCTGCCCACCTCAGCCTCCCAAAGTGCTGGCATTACAGGCATGAGCCACTGCACCAGGCCCACATCACTTTTTAAGAATATTGCCTGGGTGCGGTGGCTCACGCCTGTAATCCCAGCACTTTGGGAGGCCGAGGCGGGTGGATCACGAGGTCAGGAGTTCGAGACCAATCTGGCCAACATGGTGAAATCCCATCTCTACTAAAAGTACAAAAATTAGCTGGGCGTGGTGGCATGCACTTGTAATCCCAGCTACTCGGGGACTGAGACAGGAGAATCACTTAGACCCGGGAGGTGAGGTGGAAGTTGCAGTGAGCCGAGATTGTGCCACTGCAGTCCAGCCTGGGCGACAGACTGAGACTCTGTTTCAAAAAAAAAAAAAAAAAATATTATAATCACACCCCAGAAATGGGTTACCATGCACAGTGCGGAATACATAAAACTAAACAAGATTTATTGACAAACGCTTTCAAACTTTGTTGAACAATGAACCAAATTGTTAACTAAAATTTTAAATGCAGCTTCATTAGTTTTTTGCCATTTCCACTTTTCTTACTGGTTCTTCCCATTTTCAGTGGCTTGCTCTCCTGAGCAGGGACAGGAATTCCTGTCCTAAAGTTGGATGACATCTGGCTGGAACCATAAGATGTGTGCTGTGACAGAAACCAGAGCAGCTGGCAATCTGGGAACTGGAACTGTCTTCGTCGATTTTGAATATTTGGTCACCTTATCTGAGATTACCCATAAACTCACTTTTTTTAAGTCTCTCTGAAGGCAGCTTTTATTGTGTAATTTAAAAAGAATTTTTTTATGTTTTTTAATGATCTGGGTTAATTTTAAACAAGGATTTATGAAATGTGAGCTGGTGCCAGGAAAACGTGGATCAATTGTTGCTTCCCTAGAGGAAATAGTGGTCTTTTAATAATAGATCTTAATAAAGTGTCTATATTTCTTTTAGGACTTAAAAAATAGACAAAGCAAAATATGGGTTAAGTAAGGTTTTGTGGTTTGCTTGAAAACTAAATTGTACATGGCCTGAATAAGAAAAAAAAAAGTTCTAATTAGACTCTTGGTTCTAGCAAGTAGATACTCATTTAGATGTCCTTAAGAAAAGGTGTTAATTATATGAGTATCATATCACTTAGGATTAACATTGGCTATATGTGACAGACATCCAAAACAGTGGTGGCTTAAATTAGATAGTACTTATCTTTCTTGTAAAACTCCAGAGATAGGCAGTCCGGAACTGGCCTGGCTCCACGTCAATGGACCAGCATACTTTTCTGCTGCAGACTACTAGGATTTCGGTCAATACATAGAAAATCTAGCCAACCGAAAGGAAAGGGGAGGATAAATGGAATTTCCCCTTCCTTTAAAGATGTGTCTAGGAAATTGCATACCCCACTTCCTCTGACAGCACATTAAACAGAATATAATCAAATGGCAGAGCTTACCTGATTGGAAGTTTGAGCAGTGTAGTTCTCATACCAGAAAGCTATGTCCCCAGCTAAAAAGTGAAAGGTTCCTTAGATAGGAAGATGGCAAAGACAGATGTTGGGGAAAATGAGTAGTTCTTTTAAACTTAAAGAATTATCCATCCCATCTGATAAGCCGTTAGGCTCAATTTCTGCAGCCTCTGCCTTTCCTTCTTAAATAGCCAGCCATCTCCTTGTTCTTTAATCTAGGGGTAAAGAGAATTACAAAAAGAATTAGTCTTCTATGTTTACTTGACACTTTGCCCCTGTAGGGCAGAGCCTGCCATGTCAGGACAGTTTGTGGGTGGCTGGAGCTGGAACCAATCAAACCCTAACCATGAGCCTGGAAAACAAGGTCTAGTTAGGAATCACGAAGAGAAAAACGAATGCTGCGGAAGCCATCAACAAATACCACAATGTCTAAGAGGCAGCTCTTAGTTAACATGTTCAAATCAGAATTCTTCATTTCTCTTCCAAATTGTACCTCAAAGTGCCCTACCACCCACCCAGTTGTTTAAGCCAAAAATTGAAGTGTAATAACTTTAGCCTCTTTTCCTTCACTCCTTACATCCAGTCTGGACCAGTTACATAATTTGCAGGTCCAGTGAAAAATGAAAACACAGAGCTCCTTGTTAAAAAATTATTAAGAATTTCAAGACAGCAATAGCAGAGCATTAAACCAACTGTGGGGTCCTTCTAAGTGTGAGGCCCAGTGTGACTACATAGGAAGGCAGCCCTGCATCCAATATATATCTATATGTTTTGCAAGTTCTACCTCTGTGATGGTAAATTTTGTGTGTCCACTTGACTGGGCCATGGTGTGCCTAGACTTTTGATCAAATACCATTCTGGATGTGTCTGTGAAGGTGGTTCTGGATGAGATTAACATGGGAATAGGTAGAGACAAAGTAAAGCAAATTGTCTTCCCTAACGTGTGTCAGTCCCATCCGATCATTTGAAGGCCTGAATAGAACAAAAGGCTGACCTTCCTGGGAAATAGAAGGAACTCCTTCTGCCTGACTGAGCTGGGTCATTAGTCTTTTCCTACTTGCAGACTTAAACTGAAATATCAGCTCTTTTTGAGTCTTGAGCCAGGCAGCATTCAGACTGGGACTTTCACCGTCTGTTCTCTTGGTTCTCAGGGCTTCAGACTCAGGCTAGAACTGCACCATCAGCTATCCTGGGTCTTCAGCTTGCCAACTGCAGCTCTTGAGCCTTCTTAGCCTCCATAATTGCATGAACCAATTCCTTATAATACTTTCTCTCTCTCCTTCCTTCCTCCTTCCTTCCTTCCTTCCTTCATGCATTCCTTTTCTTCTTCTTTTTTTTTTGAGACGGAGTTTCAAAGCAAAACTCCAGGCTGGAGTGCAATGTTGCAATCTCGGCTCACCGCAACCTCTGCCTCCCGGGTTCAAGCAATTCTCCTGCCTCAGCCTCCCGAGTAGCTGGGACTACAGGCATCTGCCACCACGCCTGGCTACTTTTGTATTTTTAATAGAGACGGGGTTTCTCCATGTTGGTCAGGTTGGTCTCGAACTCCCGACCTAAGGTGATCCACCCGACTCGGCCTCCCAAAGTGCTGGGATTACAGGCATGAACCACCGCGGCAGGCCCTTCCTTCCTTCCTTTCTTTCTTTGTTTCCTCTTTCTTTCTCTCTCTTTGCATATACCTATATATAGATATAAATATATATAGATAGATCAAATACATCCATTTTATACATATATATATATATAACATCCTATTGGTTTATTTCTCTGGAAAACTCTAATACAACCTCCAAAACATTTCTTAAATCGGTACACTTCTCCCCATCTCCATGACAATGTCTCTGGATCTCTGGGTCTGGACTAAGTTCCCAGTACCTGCTTTCACGTTTGCCTCTTCTTCAATGATGTTCAATGAGAGAAGAAAACCACAGGGATAAGCCAGGCGCAGTGGCTCACACCTGTAATCCCAGCACTTTGGGAGGCCGAGGCGGGTGGATTACCTGAGGTCAGGAGTTCGAGATCAGCCTGGGCAACACAGTGAAACCCCGACTCTACTAAAAATACAAAATTAGCCGGGCATGGTGACACGTGTCTGTAATCCCAGCTACTCTGGAGGCTGAAGCAGGAGAAACATATACATACATATGTAACAAAACAAATATATAAAAATCACATGTTTTATGCATAAAAATGTAAATATATAATATATAACATTTTATAGAAAATCTACGTATATAAATATATTTAAAATATAAATATTGATAAAAATTTTAACTGTAAATTATATATAAATACACTTATATAAAATATAAATAAATTGATATATATATATATATATATATACACTTATTGTAGGACTTTCACCTTAGAAAACTGTGGGAGCTGATTAAACACTATATGTGCCTGGTGCCAGAGGTTGGGGCTGGTACTTAGAAGGGAGGATGAATGCAAACTGAAGACATAAGGATCAACTAGCATCTGGAAAGAGAAACATGAACCTACAAGGACAGACCTCTCAGTAACTCCAAGCTTCCACAGATAGTCTAATGTTCTGCCCTTAGTCATGGAGCTAAACATGTTTCTGGCCCGGGACTTGGAGAAGCTAAAGGAGAACATCTGGCAGGAGTTGAAGGAACTGTGGGCTGGATGTTGCCCAAGGCCAGCAAGGTGAGTCAGCAGATTACAAAAACATGGGTGAGCTGGGATGGGTGCCTGTGCCCTGCACAGACCTTCCAAGTGTAAAAACAAGCTACTGCTTCCTTCTCACCTTTCAAATACCATGCAAAATGCCTCCCATGAGGCTTGCTAATCCTGAGTCAGGTAGCAAAGGAAATTCTTGAAAAAAAATAAAAGGCCGGGCGCCGTGGCTCATGCCTGCAATTCCAGCACTTTGGGAGGCCGAGGCGGGTGGATCGCGAGGTCAAGAGATCGAGACCATCCTGGCCAACATGGTGAAACCCCGTCTCTACTAAAAATACAAAAATTAGCTGGGCATGGTGGTGGGCGCCTGTAGTCCCAGCTACTCAGGAGGCTGAGGCAGGAGAATCGCTTGAACCAGGGAGGCGGAGGTTGCAGTGAGCCGAGATCACACCACTGCATTCCAGCCTGGTGACAGAGCAAGACTCCATCTCAAAAAAAAAAAACACAAAACAAAACAAAACAAAACAAAAAATTTCGGTTTAGCCAAGCTGATACAATACAACCCCACACTCCTTCAACTAACTCCAACATGGCAGCAGTAGGGTTCATTTAAAAATACGAATCAGGCTGGGCACGATGACTCAAGCCTGTAATCCCACAGCTCTGGGAGGCCAAGGAGGCAGGATCACTTGAGGCCAGGAGTTCAAGACCAGCCTGTGCCACATAGCGAAACCCCATCTCTACAAAAAAATTTAAAAACTGGCCATGTGTGGTGGGTGACATGTGCCTATAGTCTTAGAAACTCGGAGGCTGAGGCAGGAGGATCACTCGAGCTCAGAAGTTGGAGGCTGCAGTGAGCTATAATCACACCACTGTACTCCACCCTGAACAACATAGCAAGATCTTGTTTCTAGAAAAAAATATATATATAATATATATAATATATATATTATATTATATATACCCACACACATAAATCAGACCACTTTTCTTTCCTAAAGTCTTCCAAATGTTTCCCATTGCATTTAGAATAAAATCTAAACTCTTTACTGTAGTTTACAACACTGCATAGGATCTGACCCCTACCACTTCTCAGAGCTCCTTGCATTTTGTACCACTTTCTCCTTGCTCACCATTGCTGAGCCACTGGCCTTCTTTTTTTTTTTTTTTTTTTTTTTTTTTTTGGAGACGGAGTCTTACTCTGTTGCTCAGGCTGGAGTGCAATAGCACGATCTTGGCTCACTGCAACCTCTGCCTCCCGGGTTCAAGTGATTCTACTGCCTCAGCCTCCCAAGTAACTGGGATTACAGGCACCTGCCATCATGCCCAGCTAATTTTTTTTTGTTTTGTATTTTTGTAGAGACCAAGCTGGTCTTGAACTCCTGACCTCAGGTGATTGCACGCCTTGGCCTCCCAAAGTGCTGGGATTACAGGCTTGAGCCACCACGCCTGGCCACCATTGGCCTTCTACCTATTCTTCAGTCACTGAGGTGATTCCTGCCTAAGAGCCTTTGCACCAGCTGTAACATCTGCCTGCAACATTCTTCCCATTGATTGATCTTCCGGTCACCAGCTCTTTCTTTTTATTCAGATTTCAGCTTAAACATCATCTCCTCAGAGACCTTCCTCCCTGACCACTTAATCTAAAGAAGCCCACCATACCTCAATATTCTCTGTCACATCACTCTGTCTTAATAGTCGTTTTCACCATTAGAAATTATCTTATTTATTGTTTGCTTGTTTATTTTCTCTTTCCCACCACCATCACTATCAGAATATAGGCTCTGTAAGAACAAGGATTTTCTTGTTTCTCTGCTTGGCACATGATAGTGCTCAATAAATGTTTGTGGAGGCAACTGTAAACCAAAAACAAAATTCTAAGCCCCCCAACCGACTGGATCCTTCATCTTAGCCAAGGGCGTTCCAAAGTTAACCTCCAAACTAGTTAAGGCCACGATAGGAAGGGGGAGTTGGACGTGCCTCATCATACTCTTCTCCCGCTGGAATTCAGGCACAGCTGACCAGCATTGACATTAAAACAGAGACTTTAAGACTGACAAAACAGACTGTAGCAATAAGATACCAACATGACAGATGGTAGGCCCTGAAAAAAATAGAAGTATTTTACCCCCAAATATATTTCTTTGATGTATTTTGAAATGGCCCTACAAAGTTGTCTCTTGTGGGGGAAATCTACATTCTGTAGAGAATCTACTTCCTTTTCTAGGTCTTTTCCCTGATCCAGGAGACAATTAACTAAGAGCGTGACAGCTTTCTAAGTCTGATAAGGAACATCTACAACAAGCTTGTTCAATCCACGCACCAAAACAGCTATGAATGTGGTCCAACACAAATTTGTAAACTTTCTTAAAACATTATGAGATTTCTTTGCAATTTTTATTTTTTTTAGGAAGGAGTCTGGCTCTGTTGCCTAGGCTAGGGTGCAGTGGTGCGATCTCGGCTCACTGCAACCTCCGCCTCCCTGGTTCAAGTGATTCTTCTGCCTCAGCCTCCTGAGTAGCTAGGACTACAGGCATGCACCACCACGCCCGGCTAATTTTGTATTTTTAGTAGAGACGAGGTTTCACTGTGTCAACCAGGCTGGTCTTGAACTCCTGACCTCAAGCAATCCGCCCATCTCGGCCTCCCAAAGTGCTGAGATTACAGGCGTGAGCCACTGTGCTGGGCCTTGCAATTTTTTTTTTAGTATATTCTATGTGTGACCCAAGGCAATTCTTCTTCTTCCAGTGTGGCCTAGGGAACCCAAAAGATTGAACACCCCTGATCTACAATGTATTCTCTCTAAAGCCTGCTACCTGGAGGCTTCATCCACATGGTAAGAACCTTGGTCTCCACAATCCCTAATTCTAACCAAAATACTCCCTTCTATTAATTCCAGGTCTTTAGATAATAGCTTAACTCTTTCAACCAACTGCCAATCAGAAAATATTTGAATTCACCTATAACCTGGAAACCCCCACTCCGAGTTGTCCCACCTTTCC
The DNA here is from genome assembly GCF_000001405.40 of Homo sapiens. Lineage (NCBI taxonomy): Eukaryota > Metazoa > Chordata > Mammalia > Primates > Hominidae > Homo > Homo sapiens. The sequence goes on along the minus strand of NC_000015.10, from coordinate 34,997,698 downwards.
AGACAGAACCAGAACAATGAGCATCTGACATGTATTGCTTGATGTCTTATGTCTCCCTAAAATGTATAAAACATTCTAGGCATGGTGGCTCACACCTGTAATCCCAGCACTTTGGGAGGCCGAGATGGGCGGATCACCTGAGGTCAGGAGTTCAAGACCAGCCTGGCTAACACAGAGAAACCTCTTCTCTACTAAAAATACAAAAAATTAGCCGGGTGTGGTGGCGGGCGCCTGTAGTCCCAGCTACTCGGGAGGCTGAGGCAGGAGAATTGCTTGAACCTGGGAGGCGGAGGTTGCAGTGAGCCGAGATGGTGCCACTGCACTCCAGCCTGGGCGACAGAGCGAGACTCTGTCTCAAAAACAAACAAACAAAAACCAAGCTGTAGCCTGACCATCTTGAGCACATGTTCTTAGGACCTCTTAAGACTGTATCTCGGGTCATTGTCAGTTATATTTGGGCTCAAGATGAATCTCTTCAAATATTTTACAGAGTTTGACTCTTTTCACTGGCAGAATGAAAAAAAAATTGGATTGATATGAGTTTATAGGTCTGCCATAACAAAGTACCATAAAATGGGTGGTTTAAAATAACAGAAATTGGGCCGGGCATGGTGGCTCATGCCTGTAATCTCAGCACTTTGGGAGGCTGAGGTGGGCAGATCACTTGAGGCCAGGAGTTCAAGACCAGCCTGGCCAACGTGGTGAAACCCCATCTCTACTAAAACAAACAAACAAAAAAAATTAGCCAGGTGTGGTGGCTCATGCTAGTAATACCAGCTACTCAGTAGGCTGAGGTAGGAGAACTGCTTGAACCTGGGAGGCAGAGGTTGTAGTGAGCCGAGACTGCACCACTGCACTCCAGCCTGAGGGACAGAGCAAGACTCTGTCTCAAAAAAAAAATAAAATAGGGCCAGGCGCAGTGGCTCACGCCTGTAATCCCAGCACTTTGGGAGGCCGAGTTGGGTGGATCACGAGGTCAGGAGATCGAGACCATTCTGGCTAACATGGAGAAACCTCGTCTCTACTAAAAATACAAAAAATTAGCCGGGCATGGTGGCGGGCACCTGTAGTCCCAGCTACTTGGGAGGCCGAGGCAGGAGAATGGCGTGAACCCGGGAGGCGGAGCTTGCAGTGAGCCGAGATCGCGCCACTGCACTCCAGCCTGGGCAACAGAGCGAGACTCCGTCTCAAAAAAAAAAAAAAATAAATAAATAAATAAAATAAAATAACAGAAATTGGCAAGGTGCAGTGGCTCACACCTGTAATCTTGGTACTTTGGGGGCCGAGGCAGGCGGATCACCTGAGGTCGGGAGTTCGGGACCAGCCTGACCAACATGGAGAAACCCCATCTTTACTAAAACTACAAAATTAGCCAGGCATGGTGGCACATGTCTGTAATCCCAGCTACTCCGGAGGCTGAGGCAAGAGAATCGTTTGAACCGGGGATGCTGAGGTTGCGGTGAGCCGAGATCGCACCATTGCACTCCAGCCTGGACAACAAGAGCAAATCTCGTTAAAAAAAAAAAAAAATCCACATCTACCATCTTCAAGTCATTCATGCGACCTCATTCCTCCTGGATGTCAGACAAGAATTTGGGTGCCATGAGTGCAGGTGCAAAAGGCTGTCACACTGACCCTCCACTGCTGTCCACAGACTGCAAAGCTAAAAGGGCACTGAAACACTCCTTCTGCAGCTTCATAGGTCACAGACAACCCCCCAGCCACTGCAGTGGGGGCTGCATGGAGTTTTGCTCCTGCTGGTGCCCAAAAATGCTCACGCCAGCTCCTGAACCTATTCATCTGTACTTCACCTCCAGCAAGGGGTAGATCCCGGAGGGACCAAGTTAATTGAGTCTGCCCCTGCCGGCACCAAAGTGGCCAGCTAGTTCTAGTCCCTGTGTACTCCAGTTTCTGCCCATGAAGGGGTCAGGGAAATATCCTGCTTTTCATAAGGACACCAGTCATTGGATTTACGGTTCATTCTAAAACCTAGATGATTTCACACTGAAAATCCTTAATTACATCTGCAAAGTCTCTTATCCAAATAAAGCCACATTCAAAGCTACTCAGGGTTAGGACTGGAATATATCTTTTTAAGGGACACAGGACAGATTTCAACTCATTACAGGGCTGATTAAAGGTTTCTATCATGCTTGCTTCTTCAACTGAGACAGAGTCCCTTATACTATCAGGCTTATAGATTAGACTCTAAACTTGAAACTGCCTATTAGGACTACTAGTGAATGCTTTATGCCACAAGAAATACAGACATTTTTAGGTAATGAAGAAAGGAAGATTTTTATGTTCCCCTAAAATATTAATATTACAGGGGTGTCAGTGGGGGTGTGAACAATAATTAATAATTAATTGAATTAATTCCAGAATTAGGAATTTATTTGATTGCAAATCTGTCAATGCACCTCTCAGGGTACGCTGAGTACCTGAATGCTTAACAATACTTGGCAATGTGATAAATTGCCTGGATTTGTAAGTAGAGTTTCTGACAATGTAACAGCTGGAAGGAGAAATGACCTTTGTTTTGCAATTGTGTTAACACTTAAGAGGCTTTAGAAACAAACCATTCTACTTTGCTGTTGGGAAGCCATTTGGAAAAATCAGGCTTGTTGGAACAAGTTGCTATGGGAGGAACTTAAAGCAAAGCATTGCTGGATAAGCTCAAAACTTCCTGTGAAAACTTGAGATATCCTCCCCACCTCTTGTTCTTCAAGAAGTCATTAAAGGGGAGGGAGAGAGAAGACTGAGTATTAAGAGAACTGTTCAGGCTGGGCGCAGTGGCTCACGCCTGTAATCCCAGCACTTTGGGAGGCCGAGGCAGGTGGATCACGAGGTCAAGAGTTGGAGACCAGCCTGGCCAACATGATGAAACCCCGTTTCTACTGAAAACACAAAAATTAGCCAGGCATGGTGGCGTGTGCCTGTAATCCCAGCTACTCGGGAGGCTGAGGCAGGAGAATTGGTGGAACCCGGGAGGCAGAGGTTGCAGTGAGCTGAGATTGCACCATTGCACTCCAGCCTGGGGGACAGAGCGAGACTGTCTCAAAACAAAACAAAACAAAAAAAAACTGTTTAGTGTTAGAAACAGAGGCACCATTCCAGCCATACAGAGCTGTCAATGAGGAAGATTACCTTTAGCCACCTGAGTTCAGATTTCTAACTACTAAAACCGTTGATCATAAGGTAAGTAAGTTCTTACTTTGGGTCAGAGAACACAACAAAAAAGCCCGGGACCTTAAATAAAAATCATGCTTACTAAGTATTTACCTAATTGGGAAGCCAGAAGAGATCAGTAACATCTCATATATTTACCCCTAGAATCTGGCAGACACCGGAGACAGACTTAAAGCCCACAACACTACTTGCAGATGGGGACTGAGAAAGGAAATGCTTAGTCTGTTCTGGCTTTTGTGAAGAAGGGCATTTTTTTTTTTTGGTAGACTCTACCTGTGAGAACTCTTATCACCGGCCTCCAGAAAGTAAGATCCAGAAACAGGAGAAAGTCACAATGTCAAGCTCACTTGACTCCATAAGCAAAAACTATCGTTCCTCCCACCCTCCTTGGTTGGCTCAGACCCTTGTCCTAAGAGTCAGAGTGAAACCGCCTTTGCAAAAATTACAACTGAGAAAATTGTGGTTGACCTAATCGACTCCATCTTACTTTCAAACCTTCAAGTTGTGCTTGTTCATTCTTGGGTGTGGGCCCAATGAACTTTGGGAGGAACTTAGTTTATAGTTTAGCTTTGAAACAAAGACAATAACAGCTCTTTCCCAAAATAAACACCCTTCCTGCCTGGGGGGCTAGACTGCTTTTTTTTTAAAGGACTAACAAATTAGCTACAGGATTAGAAATTATGGTTTAGGAGTCATGCAGCTGGAAGTGGCAAGATTCTGAACCTCCTCAAATTGTTCCTGGGAATAACATAACTATTGTAGAACCTAAGATCAGTGCTTGACGTATTTTGTAGACCCTACACTTCATGGATCGGCTAGCACCACCCAGATCAATAAACTGGCTCATCTGGTCTTGTGGCCTCCACCAAGGAAATGACTCAGTATAAGAGGACAGTTTCAACTCTCTATGATTTCATCTGTGAGTCAACCAATCAGCACTCCCGATTCACTGCCCCTGCCCCAACCAAATTATCCTTAAAAACTCTGATTCCCGAATTCTCGAGGAGGCTGATTTGAGTAATAATAAAACTCCAGTCTCCTGTACAACCAGTTCTGTGTGAATTAAACTCTTCGCTACTGCAATTCCCCTGTCTTGATAAATTAGCTCTGTCTAGGCAGTGGGCAAGGTGGACCCTTTGAGTGGTTACAAGGGGTGCATTCAGTGGTGTCGAGAGGTTGGTCTTGACTCTAAGGATGAACAAGTACGGTCAAAACCCTATGGGGGATTTCTGCCTGCTTCCAGGTAACTCTGGAACCTCAATACTACCGAATTTGAACCAACACATGGGAAGTGAGGAAGTGGGGCAGGAGTCGGGGTGTGGAACAGTGCAATACCTAACCAGACCCAGAAATCCAATAGGTATTATCACTAATGGAGCTTTAGAGATTTCCAGCAATCCTTTAGGAGACTGGGGCTAGCCTGTGAGCTGTAGACAGTCCAACTGTCCTAAGTAAAATACAGTACAGCCGTATTGTGCTTCATCTTCTGATCTCAACTTATCCTCCACCCTCTCCCTGCTCCCAGCTGCCCCACTCCTACACCACAATGCTCTCAGAAGTTGTGTAGCACAATGTACAAGAAGTTGCAAGTATTATTCTCAAGGAAGTACAGTATATGATGGGAAGGAGAGGGTTCTATTCACCAAAAATCATCTTAAGAAATAAGGATTTCTACTTTGGGAGGCCAAGGTGGGCAGATAACCTCAGGTCCGGAATTCGAGACCAGCCTGACCAACATGGTGAAACCCCGTCTCTATTAAAAATACAAAATTAGCTGGGCACGGTGGCGCATGCCTGTAATCCCAGCTAATCGGGAGGCTGAGGGAGGAGAATCACTTGAACCCGGGAGGCGGAGGTTGCGGTGAGTCAAGATCACGCCATTGCATTCCAGCCTGGGCAACAAGAGCAAAACTCCATCTCCCCTCCCCCCAAAAAAAAAAAGAAAGAAAGAAGGATTTCTTTGTTGAAAAAATTCTTTGACAGTTGCTTGGGGGTAGAAACTAACACCTGAGGGGTACAGATTTGGGTGGACTATCTGCAGAAGGCAAGCAGATGACTTTGTATGTTGTTCCACAGAGGGAATGGGAAGAGGAGAAAGGAAAGATAAGAGAGACGGGATGGAACCAGGAGATGTGAGCTCCTTGCCAGCCTGTCACTTAGGGCAGAAGGCAGCTTTAACACCATTAAAAGTCAATTTCAAAAAGTGTCTGTTTTTTAGCCGGGTATGGTGGCTCATGCCTGTAATCCCAGCACTTTGGGAGGCCAAGGTGGGCGGATCACCTGAGGTCAGGAGTTTGAGACCAGCCTGGCTAACATGGTGAAACTCCGTTTCTACAAAAAAAAAAAAAAAAAAAAAAAAAAAAAAAAAAAAAAATTAGCCAGGCGTGGAGGCGCGTGCCTATAATCCCAGTTACTCGGGAGGCTGAGGCAGGAGAATCGCTTGAACCTAGGAGCCGGAGGGTGTAGTAAGCCGAGATCGTGCCATTGCACTCCAGGTTGGGCAACAAGAGCAGAACTCCATCTCAAAAAAAAGTTAAAAAAAAACTCTGTTTTTAAAATATTCCAAAAAACATACAAAATATCCTAAAATTATGGACTCCTTTGAAGTACAATTATTTTGGTAAAAGATGAAAGATTTATAGGATCTGAAGAGAAACTAGAGAATCAAGTACAATTATTTGGATAAAAGATAGAAAAAGAAGAAGAAAATTTTTAAAAAGAAAACATTTGCATATAACAACTTTCTGAGCTTCTTGTTAAGAACCTGGTGAGCAGTAGGTGCTCCAAATTATTTCCTGCGTGAGTGACTCTCCTGCCACTCCCCACTTTCCCAACCTGTACTTCACACTCCAGCAACTACTTGTATTTCCTGTTTGCCATGCCTTTTCTCACTGTGTGTCTGTTGTGGTTGGAATATTCTCTGCCTATCTTTCCTTTCCCCACCCTCCTCCAAAAACACACTCTCTTGCCCACTAAGCAAGTTACTACTCATTTTTATCCCTGCCTCCTACTGTCTCCCATGGGAAAGGCAGTCTCTCATTTCCACCAGGTTTCAACTCAACAATCACAGAACTAGGCTGAGTGCAGTGGCTCATGCCTGTAATCCCAGCACTTTGGGAGGCCGAGGCAGATGAATCACCTGAGATCAGGAGTTCAAGACCAGCCTGGCCAACATGGTGCTAAAAATGCGAAATACTAAAAATGCGAAAATTAGCCGGGCATGGTGGCAGGCACCTACAGTCCCAGCTACTTGGGAGGCTGAGGCAGGAGCATCACTTGAACCTGGGAGGCAGAGGTTGCAGTGAGCTGAGATCGTGCCAATGCACTGCAGCCTGAGTGACAGAGCAAGACTCTGTATTAAAAAAAAAAAAAATCACAGAACTTCTCATTAAGGCCATCTCTGGCCATCTACTAAAATGCCAGCATCCCCACCCACACCCTCAAATCTTCACAGCCCTCTTCTGTGCTTTTCTCCTCAGTTCTTACTAATATTTAACATATTATATATTTTAACTTATTTGATCTGTTGTCTGTCTCCTTCAGTAGAATATAAAATCTATGAAGACATGGATTTTTGACTTTTTGTCTGCTACTCTGTCCCCCTTGCCTAGAACAGGACTTGATACACAGCGAGTGCTTAATATATGCAGAACGGATGGATGGATAGATGGCTGATTGAAGCTGCAGCTCAGGGACCATCTGTACCTGGAACCTCCAAGCAGATTTAGATGTTCTTTCCTCCTATATATATCTGCTCTTATCATATTGTATTAATACTTGTTTGTATGTTATTTTCCCCTCTGGGCTAGAAACTAATTTAAGGTTCAGGGCCTAACTGCTTCATCTTTATATAATTGGAAGTGAATATTTAGAGCTTGGTACCTGATATGTCTTTTCTTCTTTTTCTTTTTTTGAAACAGAGTCTCGCTCTGTCGCCCAGGCTAGAGTGCAGTGGCACATCTTTTCTATTTTTATTATTATTTATTTAAGACAGAGTCTTGCTCTGTCATCCAGGCTGGAGTGCAGTGGCATGAACACGGCTCACTACAGCCTTTAACTCCTGGGCTAGAGCAATCCTCCCACCTCAGCCTCCTGAGTAGCTGGGACTACAGGCACGTGCCACCACGCCCGGCTAATTTTTGTATTTTTAGTAGAGACAGGGTTTCACAATGTTGGCCAGGCTGGTCTCGAACTCCTGACCCATGATCTACCCGCCTCGGCCTCCCTAAGTGCTGGGATTACAGGTGTGAGCCACCGCGCCCAGCCTAGGTTAAATAACTTCTAAGGACACAACTAGTAAGCTGCAGCATTAAGATACTAATTCAAACGTATGTCATGCACCCCCTTTATTTTTCATTCTCATACTATCTTTTCTTCACCCTGCCACCTCTGCCCTACCATGTTCTGTCCTGCCCCCACATTTTTTATTTATTCATAGTCTACCCACTACTGCTAGTTCAAATTTCACATATTCAATGAAATCTTCCTTGATTACTCTTATTCATGTTAATTTCTCTTTTTTTTCCAGAAGGCTCCTGAGATAGCTCTCACGGTAAATGGGGGAGGTTATGACATGGGGCATGTGGCCTTGGAGAATAGCCTATTCAAGTCCTAACTGCTTTCACACTCAATATATATTCAGACTCTCCATGCAAAGGCCAATTTGTTTTGCAGGTAATGGATAAAGAACGAATCTCACCCTCCAGTGGTCCCCAATTTCAGGTAGTGTTTTCTCATGATATGGATGTATCTCCTAAGGCTGATGTGGCTGATGATGGATGCAATTGTTTGCATTATTTGGCTGAGTTAAGTTTCCCAGGAGTAGCTGCAGAATGGAGCAGATTTACAAGGGTTATCCGGACAAACAGCATCCCCACTTTGGGACTAGCATTTAGGACACCAGAAGTCTTTCCTTTCCCTTCTCCACCCCTGCTTCTGTTGGAAGCAGACTTCAACCCCTCCCAAATCTGACTCCTTCAGGGTTCCTACATGAGAAGCAAAAGCTCATTTCCTATTCGCCATTTCCTCATGCTAACACATCCAAAACAGAGAATTTTTGTTGGCTCAGCTGCTTTAATTTTTTTGGTAGAGGAAAATATATCAACATTAGAAACCATTGATTTTTGTTGCTGATGGTCCTTAGAAAGTAATGCAAAAAGTTGCTTAGAGTTAAAAAAGTATGCCTGATAATCTGCTTTCATTTCCTCCTTTCTCAAGGTGATACAATTACAATCAGAACCTGCAAAAAATCCACAGTAAATTCTTCTCTAATGCCTTTTGCACTTAAAATCTTTAGTAGATACCTTAGCATCTTATTCAGTAATAACATGCCAACTTAGTCTGTAACTAAATATTTGGTCTTCAATTGTGACTACATAAAATGCTGAAATATCTATAACTTGGGAAGCAGCAGTTATAAATGCAGGTCTGGTATTAGACAACCTGTGTTCAAATCGCACCTCTATCGTTTATTAACTGTGTGACATTAAGTTCCTTAACGTCTCTGATAGCCTCATTTTCCTCATCTTAAAATGGGATCCTATCATTTCATAAAGTTGTATTCTATATGAGTAATTAATAATGATAATAGTTCTTTGAAGGCCTACTACACTAGGAATTATGTTGAGCACTTCACACTCATTTTATCTAATTGTGAGAACAGGGCTTCGTACACTGTAGACAACCAAAACATACTGAATGATTGAGGCGGGGCTAATGAGGTCCGCAGCTGGCACGCCATTAGAGGAGTCGCGAGTGGAGCTCAGTCATGTCTGCCCACAAAGCGCCTGCGCTTGACCTCTACGTTATATTTACTTTGGCAATGTACAAAGTGGTGAGGACAGTCCTAGCCCGGAGGGCCCCTAACACATTGTCGTCTTCTTATCCTCGGCCCTCTGCGTTAGAGAGGGCTGCCCCGAATCGGCTTTGAACGCTGACTCGCCCTTTTCCAGTCGGCCCTTGAGCCCACTAGTCAGGGCTACAGCGTTTTCCTAACCGAGGTTCAGAGGTGAGATGGAAAATGTACCCGTCTTTATTCTGTTCTCTCCCCTGCAATGACAGGGTGAATGGCGGTGGGGTTGGGGGCACGTCTCCAGAGTCCCAGTCCGCTCGGGACCCGCGGACCGCCCGGAGGCGACAACGGCCCTGAAATTGGGGGGAGCTTGTTTCCAGCCGGACTGTGTCCCTGGGCGCGCCAGAGCGCCGCGCCTGCGCGCTCAGCCCGTTGCCGCGCCGGCCCTGCGGACGTGCGCGCGCTGCCTTCGCGGCACCTGGGCCTGAGGTGCGTGCCTCCCGGGCCCTCGCCAGCTCCAGATGCGTGAGGAGGACTTCAGAAACCCGACTGAGAAGTGGAGCGACCCCCAGGGAGGGTCGGACCTGCCTCAATACCGCCAAGGTGCCTGGGGACCCAAGAACGGGGGCTCCACAACCTCAGTTCCTGAGCTCCTTTTGCTTTCTCACTTCCCCACCTATTGAGTGCGTCTCACGCGGAGCAGAAATTTGAGAGGAAGGCGTAGAGGGATTTTTTTTTGTTGTTGCTGTGGGTTGTATCACATGTGGCGTTTTCATCCTGGCTGCAGCCAAAGCAGTTTTTACCCTTACCCTTCCTTTCCTGGCGTGGGATTTTGTGGTTTCTGGACTCGGCTCGACCATTACGTGCTTATTATTGGTTGTGGGCCTTTAGAACGAGGACTGTGTGTCAGTGTCCTTTGTCCAGTGTAGTCCACTGGGAGGGAGAGGTGAGGGTTCAAGGCCAAGAGAATGGGCCCGGGGCGAGTGGGGCAGAAGCAGCCGCCGGAGATTATTCCCCAACTGAAAGTTGTGTGTGTTTCTCTTAGGTCTTTCATTTCTTGTTCGCTTACTTTCGTGAAATCCTCACATCGTTTTAATGGTACTAGTCAAGACAAGAAAATCAACAGGCTTTCAGCCTTGAGGCAACATTGGATATTATTGAGGTCAGTTTTTACAGTTTTTACAGTCTTCACGTAGAGTATCTTGTTCTTGTCAGGATAAATTCTGGATTGAACCACTGAGCAGATCTACTATTCTTTTATTTCAGTTTAAGATAAGAAAAATTACAGTCTTTTTTATTTTTATGTTATCAACAAAAATCGGTTGAAATGGGATTTGGAGCTCCATGAGTGCGTGAGGTGAGGATCCCTAACCTGACTCTCATAAACAGGAGATAGGATCACCACTTGCCACTAATGGTTCTAACAATCTAGGGCTCCCAGTAAGTGCTTTTCCACGTGGTGGGAGGCAAGTGACAACAGTTATCCAATCTTAGTGCTAACAATGGATGATTAACCGTAGCTCCTTTTTGGTACAGGAGCTGTAGGTAGCCAATCCCTGTTTTAATCAGAGGTAGTTGTGGTGTGTGATTTTTTTCTTTTAGGCGTGTTCCACGAAAGCATTTATTAAAGGGAAGAAGAAACATACAAAAGGAATTGAATCTGGCTTTATACCAAAATCCTGTGTGATCATTCAGTCCTGACATTGGACAATTACCAGGCTTTGCCTGACTGGCCTCAAGGGCCAAGCTGTCCTCCCACACCATACTCGATATGGGCCGGTGCATTGCAGTTTTCTGGAGGGGGTTGCAGTCAAGGACTTGCCCTGCCCCTCCTGCTAGATATGCAAATCCCATAACTTCTTTCCTAGCCTGGGTACCTCCATTTGGAGGCCCTCCTAGGAAGGACCGTGGCTAAGACACTTTTCTCCATTTTTGACCCAGCTTCTTTCACTCCTAGACCTTCCCCTCCCTTTCCTATTCTGAAGTTCCATAAGAGGCAGGAGATTTTTGTTAGGGGCTCCTTTCAGTGAGAGGATTACCTCATATGCACTGCATCAACTGACCCTCACCCAGTGTCCTTGTATTTAGTAGACCACTGGGGAGCCAGTGCCTCTTTTTACCACTTGCTTGCACTGTCACAGTAAGTGAATAAAGGCTTGATTACTTTTGGTTTGACTCATTGTCCTGATTGACTACCTTGGCACCTAATTGCTGCCAAGTTCTTTGCAGTTCACTGGATTCATGACTTAATTTTAATTATCATGACTGTTGCTCTGTATCGGCATGTTTAGAGACTTTGGAGCTTGTTCACCTCTAATTTCTCTAATTCAAGCTACTGAAAATGCATATTCATAGCACCAAGAGTTGATTGTTGGTTAACATTGATATCTGGGTTATATGATATATTTTACTACTATACTGGCTTACAGTCAGATTGTTTTATTTTGCGTGGATTTATGTGGCATTTTCCATTTGGCCTGTAATTAGATGATTTTTATTTAAAATAAATATTTTGGAATAATATGGGTCAAGTGAAGAAAACCAGACACTTGCTTTCTTTAGTAATCTTGTCTCATACTATGGGCCCCTATCTTTCTCACCTTAATAGATCACTTGGCCACTTTGAATAAAGTGGTCGATTTGTTGTAGGTTCCTTTGTCTAGTATGAAGAGGCATGTTAAGAACAGCTTTCATAAACTTTTTTACTTCTTCCTACAGAAGTTTCACAAAACAATATTTATCCTTGCTATATAGTATGCAGTCTGATACTTTCTACTATTATTTATCCCCTATTTTTATTTATGTATTTATTTTTAAATTTTTTTTGAGAGTCTTGCTCTGTCTCCCAGGCTGGAGTGTGGTGGTGCAATCTTGGCGGCTCACTGCAACCTCCGTCTCCTGGGTTCAAGCAATTCTCCTGACTCAGCCTCCCAAGTAGCTGAAATTACAGGCATGTACCACCACACTCAGCTAATTTTTGTATTTTTAGTAGAGACAGGGTTTCACCATGTTGGCCAGGCTAGCCTCGAACTCCTGACCTCAGGTGATCCCCTGCCTCGGCCTCACAAAGTGCTGGGATTACAGGCATGAGCCACTATGCCAGCCTCCGCTCTTATTTTAAATAACAAAGTGCTGATCATGATCTGCTAAGTTGAATTCACAATCCATTAATGAGTAATATCCTGCAGTTTGAAAAACACTGTGATAAAGTAACTAAAGATATTTGTTCAGTAATTTTTTTTTTCTGTTTCTGATTCACATTGCTAAAGAACCACAGTGGGTATGTTTGTGATTTGGGGTTGAAGGTATCTTCTAGGAGAAAATAGTAACACCGTGTTTGTTGGATGTTTGCCAGATCAGCTGACAAAAGAACTCCAGACTTAGAACTCTCTGATCTAGAAGATACATTATATTGAAAGAGCTAGCACAGCTTTTAATTTTTTTTTGAAAAAATCTCTGACTCCTTTATTTAAGGGCAGTGCCATAGTAAAGTAATAATGAAAAGAAAATTGGCTTCTCTGATAGAAGATAGAGTATAAGATAGTTATGAAAGTGCTTGCTAAACTTTTTTTTTTTTTTTTTTTTGAGACAGTCTCTCGCTCTGTTGCCCAAGCTGGAGTGCAGTGGTGCAATCTTGGCTCAGTGCAACCTCCGCCTCCCCAGTTCAAGCAATTATCGTGCTGCAGCCTCCCAAGTAGCTGGAATTAACATATGTGCACTACCACGCCTGGCTAATTTTTGTATTTTTAGTCGAGACGGGGTTTTGCCACGTTGTTCAGGCAGGTCTTAAACTCCTGGCCTCATGTGATCTCCCTGCCTTGGCCTCCCAAAGTGCTGGGATTACAGGTGTGAGCCACTGCACTGGGCCAGTTTTTTAAATCTTTATATTAACGCTTAAGACCAAAATGACCCTTTTACTATATTGCCTGATGGGCAAAGCACACTCAAGTTTCAATTACTTAGTCATAGATAGCTATATAAGTAACCAATTTGTCGATCTTATTACCTCTATGCTTGTCTTTTGGGAATTTCACAACAAAGTGAAAAGGAGAATTTTTTTTTTTTTTTTGAGATGGATTCTCACCCAGGCTGGATTGCAATGGCACGATCTCGGCTCACTGTAACCTTTGCCTCCTGGGTTCAAGTGATTCTCCTGCCTCAGCCTCCTGAGTAGCTGGGATTACAGGTGTGCACTACCACACCCGGCTAATTTTTGTATTATTACTAGAGGCGGGGTTTCACCATGTTGGCCAGGCTGGTCTCAAAATTCCTGACCTCAGGTGATCCACCAGCCTCAGCCTCCCAAAGTGCGGGATTACAGGCGTGAGCCACGGCGCCAGGTGAGAAATTTTTAAAACCTGTAAATTTAGTCAGTGGGTTTATCTCTTATTGAGAAACGCTTAAAAATGTTACTAAGACGATAAGGATAACATTTTAAAATTTGATTAGTGTTGAGCTAAATAGTTCCTTAGATTTATGTATTGCTTCACTGTTTTTTAGCACATTCATATACATTATCTCCATTGATTTTTGACAACAGCTTGTGGTGGTAGACAATCCAGGAGACCTTTTCCCCATTTTACAGATGAGAACTCTGTATTTCCTTCTTCCTACCACCAAGATCGTATAGTGGCAAATCCAGGACTAGAACCCAGGTCTTCTGTGAATTTTCTCCTAGTCCACACTGTCCTTGTTGGTCTAAAGAAGTAATTGAGAATAACTCATGTTAAATTTGTGGCTAAGAAATCCACCTATGATAAGTGAAATGTTCTATTCTAAGAGCATATTTACAATGTGCTATAATTGAATGCAAGTATATCTTATTTTTAGTATTATGTTTTGATTTGTTACCTTTCTAGCCCATTTTTTAAAATGATGGCAACTAAATACTGGCAAATCTACCTAATAATGAAATAGGAAAATTGGAATTAAAATATCTATTTCATGTTAAGAAATTCAGCCTAGTCCTCATTTAATGTAGCATCTCAATTAGAAAAATAGCTTAAAATTGTATTGATTTTTAGATATTTCTTTTAAAGACTCATATCTCTGTATGTATAAAATTAGTATTATTATTCTAAAGTATTACTTAAAATGATTATTAACTTGTAAACACTAAGTCCAGATTCTCCTTTGCCTTTAATATCTTCAGCCAAAGAACAACTTAAGTTACTTTTCATATGAATAAATAATTTTAAAATTAATACTTTTTTTCCTTTAATTTTTAGACATCTGTGGAATTTAAGAACAGTATGGAGCTCATCAGAGTATATCATTGAAGAATATGATGGCTGAAAACAATTTAAAAATGCTAAAGATTCAACAGTGTGTGGTAGCCAACAAACTACCTAGAAACAGGCCATATGTTTGCAATATTTGTTTTAAGCACTTTGAAACACCATCAAAATTAGCTAGGCACTATCTCATTCATACTGGTCAAAAGCCATTTGAATGTGATGTGTGTCATAAAACCTTTAGACAACTAGTTCATCTGGAGAGGCATCAACTAACTCATAGTCTGCCTTTTAAATGTAGTATTTGTCAGCGTCACTTTAAAAATCTGAAGACATTTGTGAAGCACCAACAACTTCACAATGAAACCTATCAGAATAATGTTAAACAGGTCAGAAGATTGCTGGAGGCCAAGCAAGAAAAGTCAATGTATGGAGTGTATAATACTTTTACCACAGAGGAAAGATGGGCATTACACCCGTGCTCTAAGTCTGATCCCATGTATAGCATGAAAAGAAGAAAGAATATTCATGCATGTACAATCTGTGGCAAGATGTTTCCATCACAGTCAAAACTTGATAGGCATGTACTTATTCATACTGGTCAGAGGCCTTTTAAATGTGTCTTGTGTACTAAATCTTTTCGACAGTCAACTCACTTAAAAATCCACCAACTTACACATTCAGAAGAAAGACCTTTTCAATGTTGTTTTTGTCAAAAAGGATTTAAGATTCAAAGCAAACTTCTGAAGCATAAACAAATCCATACTAGGAATAAGGCTTTTCGGGCTCTTTTATTAAAGAAGAGGCGTACAGAATCTCGCCCCCTGCCTAATAAGTTAAATGCAAATCAGGGTGGTTTTGAAAATGGTGAGATTGGTGAATCTGAGGAGAATAATCCACTTGATGTCCACTCAATTTATATTGTCCCTTTTCAATGTCCAAAGTGTGAAAAGTGTTTTGAATCAGAGCAGATTCTCAATGAACACAGCTGTTTTGCTGCTAGAAGTGGCAAAATTCCAAGCAGGTTCAAAAGAAGCTACAACTATAAAACCATTGTTAAAAAAATCTTGGCCAAGCTTAAGCGTGCTAGGAGTAAAAAATTAGATAACTTTCAATCTGAGAAAAAAGTATTTAAAAAGAGTTTCTTGAGAAATTGTGATCTTATTTCTGGTGAGCAGAGCTCTGAACAAACCCAGAGAACATTTGTGGGTTCTCTTGGCAAACATGGAACATATAAAACAATTGGCAATAGAAAGAAGAAAACATTGACTTTGCCATTTTCTTGGCAAAATATGGGAAAAAATTTGAAAGGCATCCTTACGACAGAAAACATATTAAGCATTGATAATTCAGTGAATAAGAAAGACTTGTCAATCTGTGGTTCATCAGGTGAGGAATTCTTTAATAACTGTGAGGTACTTCAGTGTGGTTTTTCAGTTCCAAGGGAAAACATACGTACTAGACATAAGATATGTCCTTGTGACAAATGTGAGAAGGTATTTCCTTCTATATCCAAACTAAAAAGACACTATTTAATTCATACTGGACAGAGGCCCTTTGGCTGTAATATTTGTGGGAAATCTTTTAGACAGTCAGCTCACTTAAAAAGACATGAACAGACTCATAATGAAAAGAGTCCTTATGCATCTCTTTGCCAAGTAGAATTTGGAAACTTCAACAATCTTTCTAATCATTCAGGTAATAATGTTAACTATAATGCTTCCCAACAATGTCAGGCTCCTGGTGTTCAAAAATACGAGGTCTCAGAGTCAGATCAAATGTCAGGAGTTAAGGCAGAGTCACAGGATTTTATTCCTGGTAGCACCGGGCAACCCTGTCTTCCTAATGTACTTTTGGAATCAGAGCAAAGCAATCCTTTTTGCAGTTATTCAGAGCATCAGGAGAAAAATGATGTCTTCCTGTACCGATGCAGTGTTTGTGCTAAAAGTTTCCGATCTCCATCTAAACTGGAAAGACACTACCTAATTCATGCAGGGCAGAAACCATTTGAATGCTCAGTTTGTGGCAAAACATTCAGACAGGCTCCTCACTGGAAGAGACATCAGCTTACTCACTTTAAAGAACGACCACAAGGGAAAGTGGTTGCCTTAGATTCGGTTATGTAAATTGTCGCAACCACTAACAATTGTGGTCTCTGGTGATCTTATTTTTAAAGCCTGTATTATTTAAAATGCATTTTTATTGAAAGGCCTGCATTAAACTGAATGGTTTCACAGGCATTTGCTTGTCCTGCATAGTAAGGAGGTAGAATACATAGAAAATTAATACAATGTTTTAGAAACAGCCAAGTTAATTTTAGAGGCAAGAACATGATTTGATGCTATAAAGTAGGCATTTTAATATTGTAAACATATACTTTGGCTGTATTGAAAAATATAAATCCATGATGGCTGTACAAATAATTTAGCCTCATTCATTTTTTAAAGGAATTATTCCTTAAGACATGCCATCTCTTTTTAGATATACTCAAAAGACTGAGAGGCAAAACTTGGCTTTTAGCTGCAGCACATAGCCCTGTTATATTTGATTTATTTTACATTTCATATGAAAGCATAATTTTGTCCACATGTGACTCAAATTGCATTGGTAATTTTTTTTTTTTTTTTGTAAGTTAAAAAAACTACAGAGACACTAAAGGTGAAAATGGATGAGACAATTATAGTATTATTTTCATTGGTCTTTTTTTTTGAGATGGAGTCTCACTCTTTCGCCAGGCTAGAGTGCAGTGGCGCCATCTAGGCTCACTGCAACCTCCGCATCCCAGATTCCAGCGATTCTCCTGCCTCAGCCTCCTGAGTAGCTGGGATTACAGGTGCCTGCCATCACGCCTGGCTAATTTTTGTATTTTTAGTAGAGACGGGGGTTCACCAAGTTGGCCAGGATGGTCTCGATCTCTTGACCTTGTGACTCACCCGCATCGGCCTCCCAAAGTGCTGGGATTACAGGCATGAGCCACCGCACCCGACGGTCTTTTCAAAGCTATTTATTTTTAGGACTATGTGGTAATTTCACCTTCAGGTGATAAGGATTTTTTTTTTCTCCCAGCTAGTGCTATCTTTCTCAAAATAATTTAAAAGTAGGCGAGAGGCTAGGATGTACCTATATTTACCATGTTTACTTACCAGGAATATTTTCTAAGTGCCATAGTCTTTTTCATAATACGTATGAGTTTTACCTTTTCAGAGGAATAATTTCAAGTCATTTATTTGCTCATTAATGATAGCAGTAGTCATAGACTTAAGACTATTCTAGAGATCTTCATCTCCATAAGACTTTTACATTTATTTTAGTAAACTTTTCTTTCTATGCCTCTTTAATGGAGTGGTTCTGTTATTTAAGCCTGTTCTAAGTTTGATCAAATGGCAATGACTAGGTCTAGTTTTAGTTTTTATTTTTGCAGGAGTCTATTGCTAAAGAATTTTATTTTGATGCTTGTTAAATTTTTATTTTAATTAATAAGGTAGTCATTCCTGTAGAGGGATAAGATGCTTGTAGAGTTGTGGGTATCATTCCAAATAGAACTGTTATGATTTGGGAAATATTCTTTACTACAAAGGACTTATTTCATAATTACAAATTTTCCTTCATATTTGCCTTTGTTTATAAAATCTTCAGGAATGACATTCTCTAGCAATAAAAGGAATGAACCGTTATGTTTCTAAGCTGAAAAGAGGAACAGGTGGGTAATTATCCTGCCATACTTAAATATAGTGGAAAATCCTCTATTGAGAATGTGGATAAATGAACAATTGTAAGTTTTGCATCATAAACTGAGAACTTTCTTTTGACAGGGGGGAGGCGGGAGGGATAGTAGGTGGGGGTGATCTGCTTGCTTCTTTTACCACAGGTGATTTTTAAGTAACTTGGGTTTAATTTACAGAGATGAAACATGACAGTCTGAGTAAAATACCCAGTGATGTAGAAGTGTGCCTGTTTATTATGTAGATACAGACATCCAGCAAAAACAGGAGAATCACATGCTTTAAAGAACACTTTCTCTTAGGTTTCCTTGAGATATGTTCCTCCAGTGCAAGCAAGATAATGGTTTACAGAATTTGCTTTACACAAAACTTGTCAAGAACTCATCTGTTAAAAGCAAGGAATAACTAGTTTATATTTTCCAATAATGTTCAAGGTTTTCTCCTTAATATGTTTGAAATTATTGATTTTGGCATTTTTCTAAGCAATTTATGTAATTTTATTTGAAGAAAATGTTTTGTATAATGTTTTTCCCAGCCTAAACAGGGAGAGTCCTAACAGTGTTGTGCTTGTATGATTCTGAGACTTTATTTGCGTAAGTGATACTACTATACTTTATTTTTGACCCATGCCTTTTTAAGCTGTTTCATATTGAAAGGTGGAATATTGTAAAAATTTTGTCAAAGATGTACTGTAGTGCTATTTGAAGTACCTGTAACAAAACAGTTGGCCCTCTGTATCCATGTACTCTGCATCTGTGGATTAAACCAATTGCAGATCAAAAATATTAGAAAAAATAAAAATAATACAAATAAAAATACAGTATAACAGTTATTTAAATAGCATTTACATTGCATTAGGTATTAGTCTAGGGATAAAGTATACAGGCGGATGTGCGTTGGTTATATACAAATATGTCATTTTATGTAAGGGACTTGAGTATACTTGGATTTTTGGTATCTGTGGGTTGGGGGGACGGTCCAGGAACCAATACCCCATGGATACCAAGGGACAACTGTACTTATTTACCTTTATTGTCATTGCAAGCTTCTTATGGAAACTTTATAGGAATGAAAATATACATGTTAAGAAGATTAAACATTAGATAGTAGATGGTTTGTTGCATGCTAGAACTGTTAGTATTGTTGAATCAATTACTTTGGTTTCATGAAAAAATAAACGATAAATATCTTTAAAGAGAACTAGAAGAATTTTTTGTTTGAGTGATTCCAGGCTGTAGTATGATCATTTACTGAAGTAGTTTGATTGGCTGGCTAACTTAGAATTATTGTTTCTTGTTTTGTACTGCAATAGGGGTTATAATTGTAAGATAAAAATGTGTGTGTGTTTAAGGGAAGTAGGTGGTGGTTAAAATTCTTGGAAAATTTTCAGAATACTTTAAAAATAAAGTTCCAAGTTACACAGTTTGGCCTTTTTTTTGGGGGGCGGGGCGGGAATTACAAAATATTGGAGCCAAGGTACTGATTGTCGGATACTTTTATAGGTCCACTCCAATCTACCTTCTACACCAAATTTACATGGATATTTGATCATTTACGCTCTTGTTCATGTTACATTTCCATGCTGTTCCCTTCTGTGGGAAAAAAAAATCCTTTGACATCTTCCTATCACCTACAAAAGAATATGTTAACTCCATTGTATGTTGTATGGTCTATGTATTTATCTGTTTATCCTCCTTTTTGGCCTTTCTCTTCAGATTTGTACTAAAGAAATACAGAATTAGGGGCCGGGCACAGTGGCTCAAGCCTGTAATCACAGCACTTTGGAAGGCCGAGGTAGGAGGATTGCTTGAAGCCAGGAGTTTGAGATAGTCAACAAAGCAAGACCACCGTCATTTAAAAAAAAATTTTTTTTTAAGCCACGTGAGGTGGTGACACACACCTGTGGTCTCAGCTGCTCTCAGAACACAGAGGCGGGAGGATCGCTTGAGCCCAAGAATTGGAAGTTGAAGTGAGCTATGATCATGTCCCTGCACTCCAGCCTTCCATGCCTGGGTGACAGAGCAAGATCATCTCTTTAAAAAACAGTATATAGAATTGGTTTCTCCAATACATACTAGTATTGTTATTCTTTTTGCTTTCCATCGTGTCTATCTTGTGTCAAATTAGAAACAGACAATCTGTTCAAAGTTTAGCTGAGTCAAGTTTCTTTTTTTTCATGATTATGGGGGAAAACAAAAGTGCTTAAAACTGACTTGCACAGAACACGGATTTCAATGTACATGTTATATAACACAACCAATTAGAATTATATTTTTAGGATGCAGCAACAGTCTTTGAAATCTTTTACAAGAATCTTTGTTAGAAATAACATTTGCCAAGTACTGTTTTATGATGCAGAATGGTGTCTGCTTTTTTGAAGCTACAGGGAAGGAACATTTAATCCCTAGCTTGTTGAGATTTCTC
This sequence comes from Homo sapiens, assembly GCF_000001405.40. Lineage (NCBI taxonomy): Eukaryota > Metazoa > Chordata > Mammalia > Primates > Hominidae > Homo > Homo sapiens. The sequence goes on along the minus strand of NC_000015.10, from coordinate 34,977,338 downwards.
CTTATTGCCAGTTAGAAGGGCTTAGAATTTAAGGGCTAATTCTATTAAGGGAATTCTATTAGCAGTAAGAGAAAAAAAAGGAAAGGTAACTGAAAAGTAATATAATGGTATTACATGAAATATAGAACATGTAATATTTTGCATCTAAATTGGCAATCTATTTGTTCTTTGAAGTTTGAGCTTAAATACTACCTCCGGGAGCCTCTCTGATTTACCCAAGTTCTCCATCCCCTGTATTCCCCTTAATTTTTGTTTATAACTCTGTTGATCTTCCACTAGAAACTAGTGGTTTTCAAACTTTAGTGTGAATTGGGCTTGTTAAAAGCATGGATTGCTGGCCTGCGTCCTCAGAGTTCGTGATTCAGTGTCTCTTAGGACCCCAAAATTTGCATTTAGTGACTAAGGTTAGCTGTTGTGAGACTACACTCTGAGATCCACTGAACTACATGCTTCTGGAAAGCAACAGAATGAATCTATATCATTTATAGGGAAGGCTTAATACTGTGGCAAACATTAGGTTCTCAAATATATGTTGAATGTATGAAGGAAGAAATTAATGAATGGAGCAATTATTACCAATCTTTTATGTTTTCCTTAAATCCACAATTTCACTTAGATCCTTTCAGAGGATGAATTTGCCTTCTACTGTGTTGTGATCAAAGCTTGTCCAACATGCCCTCTCTAAACTTGTCTTCACTCAAAACTTTATCTTTTCTCTGTTTCTCTTCATCTGTCTCAGAATAATGTTCCTTCATGTTTCTGAAGCTAGCTTTTTTTCTTGCCCACTTCTGGGAACTTAATAGTCCCTTTTTCTGGTATCTAGTTTTTCTCTCTCCAATTGTTCTTTCCCCTCCACCTAAAAACAATTTCATGTGTTCCCTATTCAGTAATGGTGCTTTTGGCTGCAAGTGACAGAATACCTGACTCAAACTGCTTTAGCAATAAGGATCTTAATGGGCTTACGTGACTTGAAAGTCTAGTGAATAAATAAGCTTCAGAGTTGTTGAATCACATTGTTGAACTGATTGTGCGTGCTTCTGTCTGCTCTACCTTTCACAATGGCATGGCTATTTTCCTGTGGTTTTAGGATGCTTTGTAATCAATACCTCATGCTCCCTTCACAGGGGGTAGGGCATGGCAGATAGTGAGTGAGAGAGCTAGAAACTCACACAAGACCAAGGGACAACTTTCCCAAAAGCCTATAGCAAAACTCTCTTCTCATCTGCCAGAATTGCTTCACAAAACACATTTTTCTTTGTTTGTTGTTTTGTTTTTTTGTTTTTATGATGGAGTCTGTGTTTCGCAGGCTGGAGTGCAGTGGTGCGATCTCGGCTCACTGCAACCTCTGCCTCCCGGGTTCAAGCTATTCTCCTGCCTCAGCCTCCCTGAGTAGCTGGGATTACAGGTGCGTGCCAGCACACCCAGCTAATTTTAGTATTTTTAGTAGAGATGGGGTTTCATCACATTGGCCAGGCTGGTCTTGAACTCCTGACCTCAAGTGATCCACCGGCCTCAGCCTTCTAAAGTGCTGGGATTACAGGTGTGAGCCACCGTACAGGTGTGAGCCACCATGCCCGGCCCACATTTCTGAACCAATCACTGACAAGGATAACCTGGAACCGGGGCTGGAATTCAACTTCCTTTTAAGCACATGGTTTCCAGGGAGTGATACGTATTACTGGTCAAATTTGAAGTTGTGTTTAGAAAGAGAAATGAATGGATAAGCAATCTATGTTGTTCTCTGTACCTAACTTAAAAAGGTGTGTTTGTGGGGACAAACAACTTTAGTTTTGTTATTCTGGATACTGTCACAATTGACTTTTTTTCTTTTATGGTAAGAACTATTGCAAATTTATCTTCCATCTACTTCCTTCATGGCCTTTTCACTCACTAACTTCTTAGCCCTTTATTATTGAATACATGTTTTCTTCACCATCCTTTGGGAGTTGCTCTCTCAGTGGCTATTGTAGTGGTCATTGTTGGTTGTAACCACATCTCCTTCTCCCTTCACTGTATATCAGCCAAGTAGTCAGGGTTAGACTGACCTAGTTGCAGCTCAGCCATGGGTCGTGATCAGTCTAAGGCTGTCAGAATACTCACATCTCTCTTGCCATGATGACTGTTCAGAAATAGGTAACCCAGGTCTAAGCCAGGGTAATTGGCTTGGGGGTGAGCACTGACCTAAGTTAATTCTATCAGAGCAAAACCACGTACTTGCTGTAGTGATTCAGGAAGGATTAGTGGGTGTACAGAAGAAGCTCCCTCCATTTTGGTACCATGAGGGACACTCATCTGGTGAAGTCAAAACACAGAGGGAATGGGGTAGGGGGGCAAAGAAAAGAATCACAGAGTAATGGAGCTGGAAACCTGATTCAACTGCCTGAAGCCTAACTTATCACCCCTATAGATTTTATTACCCCTATAGATTTTACTTACTGTTAACCAATTTAGAAGTAGATTTTCTTACAACATATCCCAATTAATAATGGTCACCAATGGTCTCCTAATTGCCAAGCTCATGGTCTTTTTGAAATTCTTGTCCTTTCAGATTTCTTTGAAGCATTTGACACTAGTGACAATCTTGTCATTTGAAACCCTATCTTGACTCCCTGGTTCCTTTGCTTTCTGTCTACAAAACACATTGTAGAAAGCTTGTAAAGAGGAAACCATAAAATATACATAATTTTAGAATGTCCGAAACCATCAGTCAGAAACTTAGTTAAGAGAAGTTGGTAAGAAAAGTAGATAGAGATGAGAGCAAGAGGGAGGGGAGATATTATGATACTACGTTTTGTCATAAATCTGCTAGGTATTATAAATTAGAACCATTTACATGTTAGATCAGTAGAAAGCTACATGTGATCTGTAGCTTATTGGTTTAATTTTTTTTTTTTTTTTGGAGATGGAGTCTCGTTCTGTCACCCAGGCTAGGGTGCAGTGGTGCGATCTTGGCTCACTGCAATCTCTGCCTCCCAGGTTCAAGTGATTCCCGTGCCTCAGCCTCCCTAATAGCTGGGATTACAGGTGTGTGCCACCACGCCCAGCTAATTTTTGTATTTTTAGTAGAGACGGGGTTTCACCATGTTGGTCAGGCTGGTCTCGAACTTCTGACCTCAGGTGCGCCATCCACCTTGATCTCCCAAAGTGCTGGGATTACAGGCGTGAGCCACCACACCCGGCCCCTAATATTCTCTTGGCCACAAAATCATGAGATACATTATGAATTTAATAAACATGTAAATTGGAAAATAAACTTTATCATCACCTGGCTGTCTCCCTGCTACCTCAGACTCTCCATATAAAGGAATCATTTTTCCTTTTAAAACCTACTCTACCCTCTATCTTCTCTATTGTGCTTTATGGTTCCACTATTCTTGCAACTACTAAAGATTATTTCTCTTTTTCTGTCTTTCCAGTGTCTTCCACATTTATTCCTTCCTTTTCATTTTGACTGTCAGAACCCACATTTAGTCCTTTTTATTTTAGCTTTAGATTTGCGGTAGTCTCCTAGCTGATATTCCCATCCCCATAGTACCTGCACCAACCCATTTGACATACTACTCAGAAGTCATCTTCCAAAAATAGATTTACAATCAGTGGTTTCCCATTGTCTTCCACAATTGTTATTGTGGAAGAGAGCTTCCTCTCCCTAGCTTTCAAGGCTTTCAACACATCAAGCCTTATTGTTGACTCCTGACATAGCCCTGCATGACCTGCTTCGGTGGCTTTATCTGTGCTGTAACTATAGCATAGTATAGAAATACAGTCCCTGTGGTTTTTGCTAGTCAAAATGTTATATGTCAAGATTCATCATAAAAGCCATCAGAATCTTATTTTTCCTGTTTTATAGTGTGTTTGTAAGTAAAATGTCAATAGATATTATACATGCAAAATCTGTTACATTTAAAATTGTGATGATGCAAATTTTAATCACTAGCACTCTAAACTTTACACAATAACATAGGGGGAAAAAGGACTTCACATTTAATCTCCATTCCTACAGGCTTTTGCTTTCACGTTCACACTGTCTATTTTTGTTTTTATTTTTGTTGTTGTTGTTGTTGTTGTTGTTGTTTTGAGATGGAGTTTCACTCTTGTTGCCCAGGCTGGAGTGCAATGGTGCAATCTCTGCTCACTGCAACCTCCGCCTTCTGGGTTCAAGTGATTCTCCTGCCTCAGCCTCCCGAGTAGCTGGGATTACAGGTGCACACCACCATGCCCAGCAAGTTTTTGTATTTTTAGTAGAGATGGGGTTTCACCATGTTGGCCAGGCTGGTCTTGAACTCCTGACCTCAAGATGATCCACCTGCCTCGGCCTCCCAAAGTGCTGGGATTACAGGCGTGAGCCACTGCGCCTGGCCCACACTGTTTATTTTTTTACTGTTTTTTTAAATTTTTATTTTTTTGAGATGGAGTCTTGCTCTGTTGCCCAGGCTGGAGTGCAGTGGCCTGATCTCAGCTCACCGCAACCTCCGCCTCCCCAGTTCGAGTGATTCTCCCGCCTCAGACTTCCGAGCAGCTGGGACTACAGGCGCCCGCCACCACACCCGCCTAATTTTTTGTATTTTTAGTAGAGACAGGATTGTTAGCCAGGATGGTCTCAGTCTCCTGACCTTGTGATCTGCCCGCCTTGGCCTCCCAAAGTGCTGGGATTACAGGCGTGAGCCACTGCACCCGGCCTACACTGTTTATTTTTGAACATGTCATACATATTACAAAATTCTAAAGTTACAAAAAGGTATAAAATATGAAATAACTTTTCTCCCCTTCCTGTTGTCCCCTCCCCACAGTTCCTTCTTCTTGGAAACAATAGTGTTATCAGTTTCTTGCATGTGTTCATCCAGGGAGAGTTTAACTAGAGACACATGTTTAATTTACGTATGGATTTGGGAATGGTAGGGGTGTGCATTGAAACTCAGTAGTAAGAAACCAAGTTATTCAATTTAAAAAAGGGCAAAAAATATGAATAGAGGCTTCCCCAAAGAAGATATATGAATAGCAAATAAGCACATGAAGAGATGCTCAATTAGTCATTAGGGAAATGTAAATGAAAGTCACAACGAAATATATCACACACCTATTAAAATGACTAAAATTAGGGGCTGGGCGCCCCCGGTGGCTCACGCCTGTAATCCCAGCACTTTGGGAGGCCGAGGCAGGTGGATCACTTGAGGTCAGGAGTTCGAGACCAGCCTGGCCAACATTGCGAAACCCCGTCTCTACTAAAAATACAAAAATTAGCTGGGTGTGGTGGCGTGTGCCTGTAATCCCAGCTACTCGGGTGGCTGAGACAGGAGAATTGCTTGAACTCGGGAGGTGGAGGTTGCAGTGTGCTGGGATCGGGCCACTGCACTCCAACCTGGGCGACAGAGTGAGACTCCATCTCAAAATGAATATATAAATAAATAAATAAAGACTAAAATTAAAAGATTGTCCATATTCACATAGAGGGGAACAATGCACACTGGGGCCTTCCAGAGGGTTGGGTGGGTGGAGGGAGAGGATCAGAAAAAATAACTAATGTATACTGGGCTTAATACCTGAGTGATGAAATAATTTGTACAATGAACCCCTATGACACACCTTTACCTATGTAACAAACCTGCCCATCCTGCACATGTGCCCTTGAACTTAAAAATTTAAAAAAAATTGTCCATATTAAGTGTTGACGAGGTGGAGAACAAACTAGAATTATATGCTCCTGATGTGAATGTAAAATAGTACTACTTTAGAAAGATGGCAGTTTCTAAAAACTTAAACATATACTTGCCGGGTGCAGTGGCTTATGCCTGTAATCCCAGCACTTTGGGAGGTCAAAGTGGGCAGATCACGAGCTTAGGAGTTCAAGACCAGCCTGACCAACATGGTGAAACCCCGTCTCTACTAAAAATACAAAAACTAGTCAGGTGTGATGGCGCGTTGCCTGTAATCCCAGCTACTCAGGAGCCTGAGGCAGGAGAATCTCTTGATCCCAGGAGGCAGAGGTTGCAGTGATCCGAGATCACGCCATTGCACTCCAGCCCGGGCGACAGAGCAAGACTCCATCTCAAACAAACAACAAACAAACAAACACACCTATCGTATAACCCAAATATTTCACTCCTAAGTATTTAAGAGCAAAGGAAGTATATGTCCACATGAAGACTTATACACAAATGCTCATAGTGGCTTTATTTGTAATAACTGAGAACTTGGAACAACTCAAATGTCTATCAGCAGATGAATAGTTTATCAAACTGTGGTATATCAGTAAAATGGAACGAATGTTAAGCAATAAAAAAGGAATGAACTACTGATACATGCAACAACATGAATCCATCTCAAAATCATTTCGTTGAGTGAAAGAAGGCATGCACTGTATTATTTCATTTATATAAAATTCCATGAAAAGCAAACTATAGTGACAGAAAGCAGATCAGTGGTTGCCTGAAAAGTGGGTGGGAACAGTGAAAGGCACAGATAGCAAAAGTTCACGAGGAAACTTTTAGAGGCTTTGATATGCTCATTATGATTTTGGCAATAGTTTCACAAATGTATGTTCATGTCAAAACGCATCAAATTTTACAACCTAAATATGTGTGGGTTATTGTATGTGAATTATTTTTATTATTATTTTATTTTTATTTTTTGAGGCTAGTCTCGCTCTGTCACCAAGCTGGAGTGCAATGGCGCAATCTCGGCTCACTGCAACCTCCGCCTCCCAGCTTCAAGTGATTATTCTCCTGAATCCGAGTAGCTGGAACTACAGGCGCGCGCCACCACGCCCGGCTAAATTTTGTTTTTTAGTAGAGATGGGTTTTCACCATGTTAGCCAGGCTGGTCTCAAACTCCTGACCTCAGGCAATCGGCCAGCTTCAGCCTCCCAAAACGCTGGGATTACAGGCGTGACTACCGCGCCTGGCTGGGTTATTGTATGTCAATTTTTACCTCCATAAAACTGTTAAGGCCTGTAATCCCTGCACTTTGGGACCCTGAGGCAGGCGGATTACCTAAAGTTGGTGAGTTCGAGACCAGCCTGACCAATACGGAGAAACCCTGTGTCTACTAAAAATACAAAAATTAGCTGTGCATGGTGGCGCATGCCTGTAATCCCAACAACACGGGAGGCTGAGGCAGGAGAATCGCTTGAACCCGGGAGGCAGAGGTTGCTGTGAGCCGAGATTGCACCATTGCATTGCAGCCTGGGCAACAAGAGCGAAACTCCGTCTCAAAAAAAACAAAACTAAACTAAAACACTGTTAAGGGCAGTTAAAACCCAGCCCATATTCCCAGGCTGTTTTTTTTGTTTTGTTTTGTTTTTTCTTTAGGGTTGAAAAAAAACTAAATCCCCATTCACCGCACACGGCACTCTTCACTAACCACGAGAAACCCCACCCAACACCATCCACCGGGTCCCTCCCTTGCCCTCCTAATCCCGCCAGCGAGGTGTCTTCTCTCTGCCGCCCGCTAGAGGGCGTGTACAGAGGAGGTCAAAGCTCTTGGCTCGCTAGCTCAGCCCCAACGCCTGCATGAACTTCCGGCTACACGCCATTCCGCTTCCCGAGGAACGCTTGGGCTGTTGTACGGGTTCCCTACGGGACTCTGAAGGCTGAGGATATCCGGCCCGGAGCGTTTGTGCGGCGCGGAGTTAAGCGCCCCGGCAGTAACTTAAGGGAAGTGGACCAGGGTTGCCGCTGCCCAGAGCGGTCCTTTAGTTTCCACTGGAGTGGAGGGAAGAGTGCTGCCATGGCAGCCCCTGCGCAGCCCAAGAAGATCGTGGCCCCTACGGTGTCCCAAATCAATGCGGAGTTCGTGACCCAGGTGAGCTCGGGCGAGTCTGGTGTGTGTGAGTGGGTATGGACGTCGTGGCCCCGAGGCCTGGTGGTGGGGTTTTTTTTCAGGATTTAGGAGTCCGGAGGAGGCATTCGTTTGTTAATTGATTCACACACGTCTTTTTACTGAGTATCAGCTCCGTGCCGGCCACTATGCTAGGTGCTGGGCATACCGTGGTGAAAGAAGCTGCCCTGCCCTGGGGAGTTCATGGCCCAAGGAAGACAGACGCATGAAAATAAAACTACTGTATGAGTTTTGCTGTGTTGGAGTTTGTCTCAGGAGCAATGGATTCAGAGAGGAGGGAACACCCCAGTCTATCTGAGACTGGCAAGTAGGCTTCGCAGCAGAGTGATGCTGGACTGCCTCTTCAAGTAGGAGTAGGCTTTTTCCTGGTCCTTAGAGTGTCCTGAGTTTTTGAGCAGCGATGAGAAACTGACAAGACACCTCCAAATAGACCTATCTAAAAACAGAGTAATTCTGTAGTTTGAGAGCGTTCATTTAGAATCTGTTTACTATCTTGCATTGTGAGCCACAGTTGGCTTTGGATAGGGAACCACAGTCCTGTGGTTGTCAGCATCATTCCTCATTCTTATTATTTATTTGTGAATTGCATAAGAGTGTAAGTAGTTCAATGTAGAAGTTATCATGCCCACCTGCTTCTTTATTCTTTATTCCTTGTCTCAACAGATTTGCCAGGGCAGAAGCCTAGGGAGTGATTTTGAATCCTCCCTTTCCCTTAGTCCCTACATTTCTACATTCTAAATATCTTTTGAATCTATCTGGTGTTCTACATCTCTGTCACCCTAAGCTTGGTTGCCATTGTTTTCTGCCTGGACCAAGGTATCGTAATCTGTTATATTGTCCTTCCTCTTGCTCTGCTCTAGCCCATTCTTCATGTTGCTTTCCGAGTGATTTCATACAAGTGCAAATCTCATCATATCACTTGCCTTCTTAAAATTTCTGCCTTCCGGCCGGGCGCAGGGGCTCACGCCTGTAATCCCAGCACTTTGGGAGGCCGAGGCGGGCGGATCACGAGGTCAGGAGATCGAGACCATCCTGGCTAACACGGTGAAACCCCGTCTCTACTAAAAATAAAAAGAAAAAAAATTAGCCGGGCATGGTGGCAGGTGCCTTTGGTCCCAGCTACTCGGGAGGCTGAGGCAGGAGAATGGCGTGAACCCGGGAGGCGGAGCTTGCAGTGAGCCGAGATCGCGCCACTGCACTCCAGCCTGGGCAACAGTGCGAGACTCCGTCTCAAAAAAAAAAAAAAATCTCTTCCTTCCTTTCCTTCCTTTTCTTCTTTCAAGATAGGGTCTCACTATGTTGGCTGGGCTCCAGTGAGCCTTCCACCTCAGCCTCCCTTGTAGCTAGGACTACAGGGACTACACTAAGGCTGGCTGTCCTTAAAATCTTCAGCCGGGCGCGATGGCTCATGCCTGTAATCCCAGCACTTTGGGAGGCCGTGGCAGGTCGATCACCTGAGGTCGGGAGTTCGAGACCAGCCTGACCAACATGGAGAAACCCTGTCTCTACTAAAAATACAAAAGTAGGCAGGCTTGGTGGTGCATGCCTGTAATCCCAGCTACTCGGGAGGCTGAGGCAGGAGAATTGCTTGAACCCGGGAGGCGGAGGTTGCAATGAGCCAAGATCGCACCATTGCACTCCAGCCTGGGCAACAAGAGCAAAACTCCGTCTAAAAACGAAGCAAAAAAAAAGAAATCTTTAAAGAATTCTAATTACCCTTAGGTTAACGGCTGAAATCCTTCATAGTGTTGTGTGATTTGACCTGTGCTTATATCTTCAGTTTCCTCTTTTTCCTCTTCCTTTCTAACTCTGTGCCTTAGCTGTACAGAACTTCGTTTATTTGAATGTGCCATGCTATCTTTCATCTCCTGGCTTTTCAACATTGTTCCTCTGCTAGGAATCCTCATTTTTTTTCTCCCCACCTTCCTTTATTCATTCTCAGCCTTCTACACTACTTTAGAGAGGCTTTTCCTGACAACTTAAACGAGATTAGAGGTCTCTTTCCCCATATACCTGCATTTTTGCAGTAGAAGTCATTTATTAGTTTACTTCTGTCATGGAACTCACATTTTAGAGGGAAGAACCAGACAGATGAACGGTATAGTTTCATACACTGATAAATGCTATGAGGAAAATGAAACAGGGCTGTGACAGACTGGTTTGAGGTGTATGAAAGACAGTCAGGAAAGTTCTCTCCGAGGTGACATTTGAGCTAACACCTGAATGCAAAGAAGGAGCCAGTTTTGAGAAGAGCAAGGAAATAGCAAGTACACACACCTTAAGGTGTGAATGTAAAGAAGGCCAGGGTGGGCCGGGTGCGGTGGCTTGTGGCTCGCAGTGGGATTACACCTGTAATCCCAGCACTTTGGGAGGCTGAGGTGGACGGATCACCTGAGGTCGGGAGTTCGAGACCAGCCTGGCCAATATGGAGAAACCCTGTCTCTACTAAAAATACAAAATTAGCCGGACGTGGTGGTGCATGCCTGTAATCCCAGCTACTCAGGAGGCTGAGGCAGGAGAATCACTTGAACCCAGGAGGCAGAGGTTGCAGTGAGCTGAGATCACGCCATTGTACTTCAGCCTGGGCAACAAGAGCGAACTCCATCTCAAAAAAAAAAAAAAAAAAAAAAAAAGGCCAGGGTGGCCTTGAAGGCAAAGATTACCTTTCTTTGCACTCTAGAAGAGCCTAAACAGTATCTGGCAAATATTAGACATTAATGTTTGTTCCCATGGCCCAAGATTGCTGAGAACCTTCCTTTCTCACACTACATCTTAATGATCTGGCATATTTGTTCATTAATTCACTTATGTATCCATTTGACAAATAGTCATCACACAGTGTGTGCCTAGTACAATACCAGGTGCTGGGAGTACATGGGGAATAAAACAGACATGTTCTCACAATCTAACACACAGTCTGTGGAAGGAGACTTTAAGAGACTTAAAGAACTCACTGTAGTTTAATGTGAGAAATGCCAGATTGGGGTATAAGGGAAGTGCTTTGAGAAAAGAGCATGAAATTATTACTTTGTTGAAGGAAAGAATTTCCAAGAAGAATTTTCTCATTGAGAAAGTATCATTTGAGTTGGACTTTGAAATGCAGAGAGGAAAGTGGGGGAATTGGTTTTCTAGGTAGAGGGGACATCTTGGGCTTAGGTGTTTTCTTCTTCTTTCTTTTTAATTTAATTTCTGAGCATCTGGCATACCTAGCCAGAAAAGGTACTTTTAAAATTATTTATTGAATGAATGAGATCAAGAGGTTAAAATTTAGTTTTAAGGAGATTGGAGATCTGAACTTTGTGACCTCACTTTTTTATACCATTATATTTTTATTTCCTTTTTTGTCTTTCAGTAAGGTTTACTTTAAACAGTTTATACTGTCATAGCTGTACTAAGTAGAGAATGGAAAGTTTTTATTTTACATGAGACTAGAGAGTTTGAGGGAGGGCAATGTGTATATACTGTGAGATCGTGATATTTGAGACATTACACGTTAGACCCCAAGGGAAAGGAGAAACTCAGAGAAGAGACATGATAGATGCTTAATAAATGTTTGCTAATCTTTAATCAAGTACAGATGTACAGTAAGCAGTTTAGATCAGAGATAGGATATACATTTTTATTTGTAATTTCCTGAGTCCATCATAACAGGTTAGACTCAATTCTCTTAATGGTATGATGTAAGAAGAAGATGACTGAATTTATGATGCCCATAGGGAGCAGAATGAGGAAATGAGGACACCACAGAATAACTGGGGGTGAGGTGAAGATTTTCTATTGAGTTGGAGAGTGATTGGTAATTTGGGAAGGTGTTATTTATTTATTTATTTTAGAGACGGAGTCTTGCTCTGTCGCCCAGGCTGGAGTGCAGTGGCTTGGTGTTGGCTCACTGCAATCTCCACCTCCCAGGTTCAAGCAATTCTCCTGCCTCAGCCTCCCAAGTAGCTGGAATTATAGGTGCACACCACCAAGCCTGGCTAATTTTTGTGTTTTTGGTAGAGATGGGGTTTCACGATGTTGGCCAGGCTGGTCTTGAACTCCTGACCTCAGGTGATCCGCCTGCCTCGGCCTCCCAAAGTTCTGAGATTACAGGCATGAGCCACCATGCCTGGCCGGAAGGTGTCATTTAAGTAGGAAGTTACTGTAATATTTTTAGAGGCTATTCCTCAGGGCCAGTGTCCTAACTGCCTGGGAGGCTCTTTAAGTGTGTTGTATGTGTTCATCACTGAGCTATAAAAGCAAAGAAAACAAGTCCCATCTCTTAAGTATTCCAATTAAATGAGAAGGAAAGATGGATAAGCAATCAAATATTTATAATATAGAAAGGTAAGATTATAAAGAGTTATATACAAAATGAAGAGAAGGAGAAAGCAATTGTCACCATCAGGTAGTGTTGAGGACAGCCTCACAGAAGTAACATTTCAGATTTTGCTTCATTTGTCCATCCATTCATCCATCAGACTTTATTAGTGCCTCTGATATGCCAGACACTGCAGAGTAGTCACCTTTTTATAAATATATTGAGTCTTTGTGCTTGCCAGTTTTCTATTTTTAAAGAGATTATAATTGGGTTTTAAAACAAAACCCTATGAATAAGACTATGCTGTTTCTTTAAATATGTAGAGAGAGTTATATATTTGTTTAAATTTCACAATTTACAGGTCAAGCCTAATCTGCTGAAATATGCCAGCTCTTATATTCTCTGTAATAAGCAGCCGATAGACTACAATTTTTTTTTTTTTTAGGTTTTGTTATGGGTGTGAACTAATCATTTAAAGGCTCATTATTTTAGGAAAGCATTCATGAAGATTTTGAGTATCATTTGTAATACTTGCTCAACTATTAACTAACTGTAATCTTGGGCAGATCACTTATTTTTTCTAGACCAGGGTTTCCTTATTGCCATGCTGAAGATGTTTGGCTCTGTGGTTATTAACTGAGCTGTATTGTTTCTCTAGGGTGGTTGGAGAGGATTTTGTTTGTTTGTTTATATCACAATGGCATGTTGTAGTGCAAAGCACTACTGGCATTTAGTGGTTTGGGGTCAAGGATGCCAACTGGCCTGCATGCCTGTGTAGTGCCTTCAGATATACTCTGTCCCCCAGTGCCGAGTAGGGCCTTGTTAAGAAACCGCTTATCACTAAATGATCTGTCTTCCAGCTCTACAATGGCAAGAATCTGGGACTTACTGTTTATACTGTTTACTTTGCAGTTAGCATGTAAATACTGGGCTCCCCACATCAAGAAGAAATCACCTTTTGATATAAAGGTAAGTATTTTTGGTTTCAACATAATTCTTGAGAAGTTACACTCCTTTTAAAGGGTTATTTCAACAAAAGCTTTCCATAATTTTTTTAAAATTAAAAACAACCTAACGATCTACAAAAAATACAATTTTTTGCTTATCAAACTTAGCAATGATTTATGTTAGGAAATTTGGAAGACATAGAAACTACACATAAGAAAATAATCACTACACAGAGATAACCTCTCTTACCATTTTGTTGTATTTTCTTTAAGCCTTAACAAAAATGTGTATGTGGCTGGGCACGGTGTCTCACGCCTGTAATCCCAGCACTTTGGGAGGCCAAGGCCAGTGGATCACAAGGTCAGGAGATCGAGACCATCTGACCAACACGGTGAAACCCCATCTCTACTAAAAATACAAAAAATTAGCCGGGCATGGTGGTGGGCGCCTGTAGTCCCAGCTACTCGGGAGGCTGAGGCAGGAGAATGGCGTGAACCTGGGAGGCGGAGCGTGCAGTGAGTCGAGATCGCACCACTGCACTCCAGCCTGGATGACAGAGCGAGACTCCATCTCAAAAAAAAGAAAAAAAAAAAGTGTACGTGTATAATTTACTTAACTGTTTTTCTGTTTATAGATTCTTAGGTTATTTTTAATTTATCATTATTATAAATGATCATGTAATAAATATCTTTGTAAATATACAGAAATTTTTGTACAAGTTTTTGATAGTTCATTTAGGATTAAATCTGTTGGGTTATCTTGTTTTTAGAGTGGTGAATGAGGTAAAGGTCTATAATAAAGATGGAAGGAGCAGCAGTTGTATAGTGTAATAACTTAAGTCCAGTAATATTCAATAAGGGAATTGAACTTATTCAATTGAATAAGTCCAACTGAAGCAATTTAGAACAAATAATATGACAAATTCCCAAATATAGGGTTAATTCTCATTGGATTAGGTTCTTAAAGAGAGGTCTAAGGCCAGGTGTGGTGGCTCATGCGTATAATCCTAGTGCTTTGGGAGATCAAAGAGGGAAGATCACCTGAAGCCAGGAGTTTGAGACTAGACTGGACAGTAGTGAGATCTCGCCTTTACAAAAAAATTAAAAAAATTGGCTTGTGCAGTGGCTCACACATGTAGTATCAATTGCTCTGGAAGCTGAAGCGGGAGGATGACTGACTGAGCCCAGGAGCTTGAGGCTGCAGTGAGCTGTAATCAGGCCACTGCACTCCAGCCTGGGCAACAGAATGAGACCCTGTCCCTTAAAGAGAGTGAGGTCTTTAAATGAAATAGATGTTGACACTGCATACCATTCAACAAGTAATGAAGACTCTTAAGCTTTGCCATTATAAATTTAATGGTGATGCTTTAGGCACTGTTGGTAAAACTGAACTTTTTACCCAAAATTTCTTACTTTATTTGAACTTAAATTCTTACGAATATATATTTGTTTTTGCCAGTAATCTTTTATTTATTTTTTTTTTTTGGAGGTGGAGTCTCGCTCTTGTCACCCAGTTTGGAGTGTAATGGCACGATTCTGGCTCACTGCAGCCTCCACCTCCTGGGTTCAAGCGATTCTTCTGCCTCAGCCTCCTGAGTAGCTGGGATTACAGATGCACGCCACCACGCCCTGCTAATTTTTGTATTTTTAGTAGAGACGGGGTTTTACCATGTTGGCCAGGCTGGTCTCAAACTCCTAACTTCAGGTGATCTGCCCACCTTGGCCTCCCAAAGTGGTGGGATTACAGGCTTGAGCCACCACACCCGGCCAACCAGTAATCTTTATTTTATTATTTAATTTGAAATTTGATGAAAACAATAACAGAGCATTTCATCTAGATTGAACAAGACTTGTTTTCCTTATCGCCTCCCTCCCTTTACCACTCACAAATACTTATTTCACAAATGTACTTGGAGCAATTAAAAGATATTATAGGCTAGGTACCATGGCTCATGACTGTAATCCCAGCACTTTGGGAGGCTGAGGCGGTAGGTCACTTGACTTCAGGAGTTCAAGACCAACCTGGGCAACATGGTGAAACCCCATCTCTACCAAAAATACAAAAAATTAGGTGGGTATGGTGGTGTATGCCTGTGGTCCCAGCTATTTGGGAGGCTGCGGCTGGAGGATAGTTGAGACTGGAAGGCAGACGTTGCAATGAGCTGTGATTGCACTGCTACACTCCACCCTAGGTGACAGAGTGAGACCCCATCTCAAAAAAAAAAAAAAAAGACATTATAGTTACCATACAATAATATTATAGCATGTTAAAGCACTTCATAATTTTACAGTAGTATTTTTTTTTACTATTATTAATGCTAGCACTACTACTGCTGCTATTGATAACTGTTAGTGAAGGCTCACTGTATGCCAGTATTTGTACTAATTGTTTATATGCCCTGTCTTATTTTATTTTCAGTAACCCTGTGTGGTAGTTTGTGTTATTAGATCTGTTTTGTGGGTAAGGAAACTGAGGCTTGGAGAGGTCAGGCACTTGCCTAAGAGTTCCAGCCATCAGTAGTGAAGGCAGATGTTTTGAACCAGTCTTCCAATTCGAGAGTCTGAGTTCTTTTTTTCTTTTTTTTTTTTTTTTGAGATGTACAGTTCCAGAGTCAGAATTCTTTTTTTTTTTTTTTTTTTTTTGAGATGGAGTCTCGCTCTATCACCAGGCTGGATGGAGTGCAGTGGCGCGATCTTGACTCACTGCAACCTCCGCCTCCCGGGTTCAAGTGATTCTCCTGCCTCAGCCTCCGAAGTAGTTGGGACTGCAGGTGTGCGCCACCACGCCCAGCTAATATTTGTATTTTTAGTAGAGACAGGGTTTCACCATGTTGGCCAGGATGGTCTTGATCTCTTGACCTCATGATCCACCCTCTTCGGCCTCCCAAAGTGCTCGGATTACAGTCGTGAGCCACCGTGCCTGGCCAGAGTCTGAATTCTTAAGTAGTACACCATTCTGCCCACCCTCACTCAAATGAATGGAAATTCTGAAGCTCTATCATATTCATTTGGATAAAGAGATGTAACAATTAGAATTTGTGTCTGTTATGTCTTCACACTTTTAAATTATTTTCTCTCTGGGTTTTGCAGGCACACAGTTATGACTCTCAAATGGAGTCTCATAACATTTATACACTTTAAGTTTAAAAAAAATCCTGATCTTGTGAATTTTTATTTTCCCTAAAAATCTTTATAAGCACATCATTTTAATGAATCTAGGGCTCTGTTTTATTATTTGTTTTTTCTACTTTGCTTTCTGTTAATTTCATATTTCGAGGAATATAATGGGATTATTTTAAATATCTCATTATTTCAATAGCAGTAATATTTGATGGCTTTCCTAAACCAACTTATTTTATATAATCTCACTCATTAAAAACTGTCAATTTAGGGTTGAAAAAAGTTGTTGAGATATTAAACATTTTTATATTTTTATAACAGGTTATTGAAGATATATATGAAAAAGAGATTGTCAAATCAAGGTAGGAATGAATTTAAATTTTATACAATGTGATTGGGGTGGACCAAGTTGGATCTTGGCTGAACTTCTAAATGTGATCATAACTTGAACCCTTTTTCTGTTTCAAACTGGTCGTCAGGGCAATGGTGACTAGAAAAACTTTAGGTGCTGAAGAGTCATAAATTATTTTTTGCCTTCTAACTTTTGGCTCAGATTAGAGGTATCAAATCCCATAGGGTTTATTTGGATTTAGATGGAATTTGAGAAAAAGTAAACATGAAGATTTTATTACTAGTATTATTTCTGATTCACCTTTTAAAAATATTCTTAAAAAGTTATGAAAGTAAGACATTATTAAATTTACAATAATATAGTATACATATGTAATGTATAAAATGTATAATAATAAACACAGAAGTGATAAAAATTATTTTTGAGCAATATGCTGTAAGGGGTGAGTTTCAATAAATCATCTTTTCTGCCCCCAATCCCTGGTTCATGTATATGGTTCATATACATCTGTTCTATTCCCCACGCCTTCACATGTTTTTTCAAACACAAAAGGGTTTGTACTCTACATGCTATTTTTCATCATGCTTCTTTTAAAAAATTTAACAGCGTGTCTTAGGCATCTTTTTGTATATACACCTGCAGACATGTATGTCCAGTGAGTATTTTAAAAGGATATTTGACTAAATGGGTCAAAGGCCATCTTCAGGATTTTGTTCTTTATTTGGAAAACAGTAGGAAGTAAGAAGAGTTGTAAGCACAGTGGTATTTGAAAAAGAGAATTTGGGTTTGTTTGTTTTTTTTCTTTTTTTGAGACAGGGTTTCACCATGTTGGCCAGGCTAGTCTCAAACTGCTGGCCCCAAGTGATCCACCTGCCTTGGCCTTCCAAAGTGCTGGGATTACAGGCATTAGCCACTGCACCCAGCAAGAATTTGGATTTGGAGGGAGCAAGAGGCAGGGAATTAATTAGGTGAGCATTGTAGTAGTCAGCTTCAAGATGTCATAGATTTGGCTTGTGTGGAAAGTTGGGAGCGGAATTGTCCATTTGAGAAAGATAGAGGTGGAGAGACTTGATGTTTGGATGTGGCAGATGTAGGAAAAGGAAGAATCAAAGATGATCCTAAAATTTTTTGCTTAAGTTGCTGAGTGATTAGTGATGCCATTACTGACTTTTGCCACGTTGTTGGGGGTAGGATTGGGTGTAGATCTTTATTTCACTTTTGGATATATTGAATTCTAGCTACTTAAGAGCTATGAAGATGGAGATATGGAATAGGCAGTTGGATATCCAGGTGTATAGCTCAAAAGAGATTGGGTTGGCTGGGCATGGTGGCTCATGCCTGTAATCCCAGCACCTTGGGAGGCCGAGGTGGGTGGATTGTTCAAGCCCAGTAAGTAGTTCAGGACCAGCCTGAGCAACATGGCAAAACCCTGTGTCCAGAAAAAACACAAAAAATTAGCTGGACATGGTGGCGTATGGCTGTAGTCCCAGTTACTCAAGAGGATGAAGTGGGAGGATCACCTGAGCCCAGGAGGTTAAGGGTTCAGTGAGCCACAGTTGTGCCACTGCACTCTAGCCTGGGCAACAGAGTGAGACCCTGTCTCAAAACAAACAACAAAAAGAGACTGAGTTGAGCCTACTTTGTATTAGCCACCTTTTCGATGCTAACAGTACAACAGAAAAGAGGGGAGATACGATCCCTGCTCTCCTGGAGCTTACATTCTAGTAGGTCAGACAGACGGACAGACAGATATCTATATATCTATATCTATATCTATATCTATATCTATATCTATATCTATATCTATATATCTATATGTAATGTAATGTCAGGAGACAGTAAATGCTGTGAATTAAAGTGTGGTTAGAGGATAGAGACAAGGGCTGGTATTTCAGAATAATTAGGCAAATTCTCTCTGAAAGTAGGACATTTGAGCAGATTTGTAACATATGGTCTGAAGGTGAGTATGAATGAAATTTCTTGAGAAAACTAAAGATGAGTGGGTGGATTAATTCTGGTATCATTTTTTCTTCTATATTAAGGTTATACTAGTTTGAAAATTATTTTGAATCTTCAGAATAGATTTTCACTCCAGTGGAAAGTGATTGTTTATTTTTTCATTTAAACCCTTGCTATTAATATTTCTTCTTCAGAGGTGATTTTTTATAACAACCAAAAGCTGCTAATGATTTTTAAGCCATATACATTTGGCTGCTTTTTATATGTAGCTCTCTTCTGTGTAGCCGAGATTGCGCCATTGCACAATGTGTGACAGGGTTGCTCTCTTTCACCCAGGTTTGAGTGCAGTGGTGTGATCTCAGCTCATTGCAACCTCTGCCTCCTGGGCTCAAGTGATCCCCCAACCTTAGCCTCCCGAGTAGCTGGCACCACAGGCACAAACCACCATGCCCAGCTAATTCTTTTTGTATTTTTGGTAGAAACAGGGTTTCTCCATGTTGCCCAGGCTGCTCTCACTCCTGAGCTCAAGCAGTCTGCCCACTTTGACCGCCCAAAGTGCTGGGATTATAGGAATTAGCCACCACACCCAGCCCCTACCGTTATTCTTTTTTATTTTTTGAGACGGAGTCTTGCTCTGTCGCCAGGCTGGAGTGCAGTGGCATGATCTCGGCTCACTGCAAGCTCTGCCTCCCGGGTCCACGCCATTCCCCTGCCTCAGCCTCCCTAGTAGCTGGGATTACAGGCGCCCGCCACCACGCCCGGCTAATTTTTTGTATTTTTAGTAGAGACAGGGTTTCACCATGTTAGCCAGGATGGTCTCGATCTCCCGACCTTGTGATCGCCCGCCTCAGCCTCCCAAAGTGCTGGGATTACAGGCGTGAGCCACTGCGCCCGGCCACCGCTATGTTATTCTTAGTTCTGAAAGAAGTAGCTGTCTTTGGCATGGCTAAGATTTATCTTGGCACTTTTAACAGTCGTTTTCTTATCTTGGACACGTTTTTTATTATTATTTTTTAATTTTTTTGTTTTTTATGTTTTTTTATGTTTTATGTTTTTTCATGTTTATGTTTTTTGTTTTATTATTATTATTATTATTATTTTTATGTTTTTTTTATGTTTTTTTGAGACGGAGTTTCGATCTTGTTGCCCAGGCTGGAGTGCAATGGTGCAGTCTCGGCTCACCGCAACCTCCACCTCCCAGGTTCAAGTGATTCTCCTGCCTCAGCCTCCCGAGTAGCAGGGATTACAGGCATGCTCCACCACGCCTGGCTAATTTTATATTTTTAGTAGAGACGGGGTTTCTCCACGTTTGTCAGGCTGTCACTCCCGAACTCAGGTGATCCGCTTGCCTCGGCCTCCCAAAGTGCTGGGATTACAGGTGTGAGCCACCACGCCTGGCCTACATTTTTTATTTCCAAGTACACTTCTGTAACACATAAACTATAGTATGTATTTAAAAATTTAACATGGTGAAACCCCGTCTCTACTAAAAATACAAAAATCAGCTGGGTGTGGTGGCACGCATCTGTAATCCCAGCTACTCGAGAGACTGAGGCAGGAGAATCGCTTGAACCCGGGAGGTGGAGGTTGCAGTGAGCTGAAATTGTGCCACTCTACTCCAGCCTGGGCGACAGAGCAAGACTCCGTCTGAAAAAAGAAAAAAAAAATTTAAATGACCAGTTTTTTAGGCTAGGTCCTGAGGAAATTATTTTGCTGAGCTATGTGCTCACGGCATTTTCAGTATTGGGGGAATGGCTTGATGTAACAGCCATGTTACTGTATGGTACATTACACAATTGATTCATATTTGCTGTTCTTGCCATTATCAGATTTGGCAGGCTTATCTTAATGAATTCTTCATCCAAGTTTGATTTTAAAAATATTTGAAAAATAATAGTTAAGTGCTTACTATGTGCCAGATTCTGCTGTAAGCACCTTGCATTCTGCTCTAAGCATCTAGCTCATTTATTCCCACAACAACCCTGTAACACTATTATTGTCCTCATTTTATGGATGAGGAAACTGAAGTGGATAGGTTAAATAACTTGCCCAAGATGTTTCCCAGTATTTAGAGGCACACCAGGTATTGAATCCTGGTTCCCTGGTTCTTTTTTTTTTTTTTTTTTTTCTGACTTCTTACTGAATATTCTGTTCTGTTCTTTTATTTTTTTGAGATGGAGTTTCACCCTTATTGCCCCAGGCTGGAGTGCAGTGGCGCAATCTCAGCTCACTGCCACCTCCGCCTCCTGGGTTCCAGCGATTCTCCTGCCTCAGCCTCCTGAGTAGCTGGGATTACAAGCATGTGCCACCATGCCTTGCTAATTTTTTGTAGTTTTAGTAGAGAAAGTGTTTCACCATGTTGGCCAGGCTAGTCTCGAACTCCTGACCTCAGGTGATCCGCCCACCTCGGCCTCCCAAAGTGCTGGGATTACAGGTGTGAGCCACCACACCCGGCCTTGAATACTCTGTTCTTAAATAAGAGTCCTTTGCCTTCTAGAAACCTCTTAACTAGTACACTCCGGTATGATGTTTAATCCTGTTATGAACCAACTAAGTGGTTTTTATGCTTTCAAAAAGGGTGATTTACAGAGTAATTTACTTTTCCCAAAGTGCTTATTTTTATTTGAAATGTATGGACTCTTTTATTATGAAATGTAACACAGAAAACAGCATGAAACAAATGTATAGCCTTACGAATTATAGTAATAATTCATAACCACCACCTAGGCTGAAAAACTCCACGAACATTGTCGGTGTTCCAGAAGCTCTCTGCTTGTTTCTTTTTTTTATCATTATAATATGTAAGTATGCAAACAAGAACACTATAATTTTGGTTCTTTTTCAACTTTAAATAAATAAATAGAATCACACACTATGTACTCTTTTGTGGCTGGCTTCATTTTTTTTTTTTTTTTTGAGATGGAGTTTCGCTGTTGTCACCAGGCTGGAGTGCAGTGGCATGATCTCGGCTCACTGCAACCTCCGCCTCCCAGCTTCGAATGATTCTCCTGCCTCAGCCTCCCTAGAAGTTGGGATTACAGGTGCCCGCCACCACGCCTAGCTAATTTTTTGTATTTTTAGTAGAGACGGGGTTTCGCCATGTTGGCCAGGCTGGTCTCTAACTCCTGACCTCAGGTAATCTGTATGCCTCGGCCTCCCAAAGTGCTGGGATTACAGACGTGAGCCACTGTGCCTGGCGTAGCTGGCTTCTTTTGTTCACTGTTATTACTTGTTGTTTTAATCATCTGCTTAACAGATCTGGAAGTAGGTAGCTCAGAAGTTAATAATGTCAAGGCCCTTGTCAATCTTGTCAAAAGGTTTTATTGATTTTTTCCGTATGGTTGTGGTGGGGCTGCCACAGCTCCAGACCTCGTATTTCACATAGTCGTCTGAAAAGAGGAGGTTGTTGGGATAGGGGGGAATGTAATAGAAAAGAACTCTCATTTGTGTGGCCCCTTCTCTTTTTCTTATCATATTTAATGATACAGTAATAGATCCAGTTTATCATACATAAATTATTCAACTTTGGAAGGATTTAATGAAATGCACGTTAAGTCCTTGGCACAGTGTCAGGCATAATGCATGCTCTCAGTAAATATTGGTAACTTAAAAAAATAACCATCCAAATATCCTTCAAATTATTTATATTTGTGATTATTGTTTGTAACTTTTCATACTTATTATTTATTTATTTATTATTTTGAGACGGAGACTCACTCTGTCACCTGGGCTGGAGTGCAGTGGCGCAATCTCAGCCCACTGCAACCTCCGCCTCCTGGGTTCAAGCAATTCTCCTGTCTCAGCCTCCTGAGTACCTGGAACTACAGGCACACACCACCACACCTGGCTAATTTTTTGTATTTTAGTAGAGACGGGATTCCACCGTGTTGTCCATGCTGGTCTCGAACCCCTGAGCTCAGGCAGTCCACCCTCCTTGGCCTCCCAAAGTTTAGGATTACAGGCGTGAGCCACCATGCCCGGCCTTCCATACTTATCTTTAAAATTCTTCTGACATGGTGTCTAGTTCATAGACCTGTTTTTTTTAATCTTACAAGTACACTTTCAGTTAAGCTGTTCACTTTATCTGTCTCAGAGAGTTCATTGGCAAAAGTATAAAACTCCAAATTTAATAAATACCACTGAGATTGCTAGAAGAGGAATTGAATGTTTTTCAGACTGCTTTTGCTTTATTTTGACTTACCAAGAGTTATTTTTCAAGGCCAGGCATGGTGGCTCATGCCTGTAATCCCAGCACTTTGGGAGGCTGAGGTGGGAGGATTACTTGAGCCCAGGAGTTTGAAACCAGTCTGGGCAACATAGTGAGACTTCATCTCTACTAAAAATCAAAAAAATTAGCTGGACGTGGTAGCACATGCCTGTAGTCTCAGCTACTTGAGAGGCTGAAGTGGGAGGATTGCTTGAGCCTGGGAGATTGAGACTACAGTGAGCTATGTTTGTGCCACTGTACTCTAGCCTGGGCAATAGAGCAAGCTCTGCCTCAGAAAAAAAAAAAGACTTATTTTTCACTTGTCTAGTTATCATAAAGGAAAGTTGGCTGCTCTACCATTTTTATACATGAGGAAACTGAATTGCAGAATGTTTAAAAGACGTCAGGTGTGGTAGCTCACGCCTGTAATCCTAGCATTTTTGGAGGCTGAGGTGGGTGGATCACCTGAGCTCAGGAGTTCGAGACCAACCTGGACAACATGGGGAAACCCCTATCTCTACTAAAAATACAAAACATTTGCCAGGTGTGGTGGCACGTGACTGTAATCCCAGCTACTCAAGAGTCTGAGGCACAAGAATTGCTTGAGCCTGGGAGGCGGAGGTTGCAGTGTACCGAGATCGTGCCACTGCACTCTAGTGTGGGCGATGGAGCAAGACTCTGTCTCAGTAAAAAAGAAAAAAATAAACAAAATGTTTAAAAGACATTGTCAAAGTAACACTGAGTCATTACTAGAACACTGGTATTCTATCTTATGAGCCAGGATTTTCTGTCTTTTATCATGAGGTCCTATTTGTGACTGAAGAAATTTAATGTAGAGTTTTGTGTATAGTGGGCAGTGAGTGAATTCTGTTGTCTAACATACAGTTAATTCAAGTGAAATGTCTGCAGTTGGAGATTTAGAGTGTGTCACTCAAGATGGCCTATCCACTTAGCATCTTGGCTGCCTGTAGAAGCCAGTACTTTGGCAATATTCTGTCTTTTGCATAGTAAAAACCTTCATTTCATTCTCACTAAAGTTTTGTGACATTGCATGCTCAGTGAAACTATGTAAGAGATCAGAAATCAGTGGAATAGGATTTTTGACAGGATAGTGGTTTCCTGGGGCATTATAAATTCATAATACATGTATTTTTAATTTTCAAAGCTGGAAACAATTATCTAGTGACAGTGTTCTGATCTATTTCCAATATTATAAAACGATAAAGCTAAATTAGTGGCCATTTGTGTCTGCTTCGGGACAGCGTAAGTATGTTTGGGACAAACATGACTATATCATTGTTTATTCATATAAAACAAAGTAATTCTATTTAAAAAAGACAGTATATTAAAGACAAATATCTGATATTTCCTCCACAATATTTTAGTATTTTAAGCTCACTGTCAACACTAAGAAGCAAGTGAAACGTCTGATTTTCACATTTGCAATATAGATATGTGTCCTGCGTGCTTTTAGGAAGGCATGACTCTAGCAAAGTGTTTCCATTTGAGTATTAAATGAAAACATGTTGGTCAGTGCTTAAGAAGTTGAACTGACATTAGAAGTTGTGATCTGATATTATGAATTTTGATAGATGGGTTAATATGGAAACAAAACATCCCTAAATGCATTTGTGTTAATAACTCTGAAACGTTTGTATTCTCTATTTTAAACATTTTATTTATTTTTATGTTTTCAGGTTTGCTATTAGAAAGATAATGCTCTTGGAATTTAGGTAAGTTATAAGGCATTCCATTGATGAAAGAGATAATGTGATTTCAGTTTTAGCTAAATTTTCTGTGTTATTTCTGTGAGTCACTAAGAAAATCTAAATTTGTGAAGATTTATATTTCTGTGATTGGCTTATTTTGGAATATGTATATGATAGCCTTTGTTTTCAAAGATGATGGCCCATTGCCAGAATAGCTTGTGTTTTGATTTGTTTCTTACTTGTTAAGCTAGCATGTGGTGAATAATTTCTGAACTCAAACTTGGTTTCTGTAGTGATCAGTGGAAATAAATTAGAGTGTGTTCTATAGCCACTTTTTCTCCCTGCCAAGCTAAAATGTTATCATCAAGGTAACATTGTTCCAGTCTAGCTACTAGTAATATAAATATTTCAGACAAAAGATAATGTATGATTTTTAGATTGCAAAGGTAGATTAGATTATGTTGCAACCAGATGTAGCCAGTATGCTGAAAATAAGAGCCAGGATTGTTGTTGATGATAGTTACATTTACCATTTCTCAAACAGAACACCAGTTTTGTGCTCACCACAGTGTTAAGCATTTTACATACAGAGTACTCACAACAATCCTGTGAAGTAAGTACTATCCTCTGTATTTACTGGAAACAGAAGCTGAGATCAGAGAGGTTAAATTCTTTGCTCTAAGTAATTGGCAGAGCTGGGATACCAATGTCTGATGCCAAAGCTCATGGTTTTCCACTTCTCTACACTTCCTTGACATCTGGTTTACATCAGAGGTCAGGGCCTCTGTGTTAATAATTGTTACTCCTACATACACATTTGATCCTTACAAAAAAAATGACATGAAGTAGATGGTCTTATCGTTTTTCTAGAGGGAAATTGAAATTTATTATTATGAATTAACTAGTAAGTTGAGTGCCTCCTGTATCCTAAGGACTGTATTATTATTAAATGATCTTATTTAATCCTGACAACAACACCAGTAAGATCTTCCTTATTTTGTAGGGGAGAAAACTGAGGCTAGAAACTGGACCCATCTCGCCCTGAGATAAATATGCTCTTTCCATCATATCGTGCCTCCTTTCAAGAAGACAGATTAAAATCAAGAGGCTACCAATATGCAGTTAGAATTAACCAGAATTCTAGAGTCCAGAAACCAAGAGAATGGCAGGAACTGAAGGAGAAAGCAACAAAACAGATTGAAAGCATCAATGACAGTGAATTTTTTTTTTTTTTTTTTTTTGAGACAGTCTCGCTCTGTTGCCAGGCTGGAGTGCAGTGGCACGATCTCGGCTCACTGCAACCTCCACTTCCCGGGTAGAAGCGATTCTCCTGCCTCAGCCTCCTGAGTAGCTGGGATTACAGGTGTGCGCCATCACGCCTGGCTAATTTTTGTATTTTTAGTAGAGACGAGGTTTCACCATGTTGGCCAGGATGGTCTCGATTTCTTGAACTTGTGATTGCCTGCCTCGGCTTCCTAAAGTGCTGGGATTACAGGCATGAGCCACCGCACCCAGCTGACAGTGAAAAATTTTTAATAGCTGAAAAAGTCAGTTGTTACCTTTCAGGAACTCTTATTTAATTTTATGTGACAATATCATTTTCCCTGGGCCAACTTCCAAACATAACCAGTCTAAAGTTTGTTGTAGAGAGTAATTGATGGTTTCTTGCTAAACTGGAAAGTAAGATGGCATGGAGAAGGTAGCTGGATATAGGGAAGTGAACTGAGAAAAGGGTTTCCATGGATGAAAATCATTAGAGGAAGGCATTATTTTATATCAGTATTGTATAGAATTTGCTGCAATTGCTGAAATAGGATCAGGAAGTTATTGAACAAATCCTTAAGTCTGAAGAAAAGAGATGTAGTTTGGAGTCAGGACCATACCTGTGTAATCAGGCAAATCATTGACTCTCATTACCTCAGTTTTCTCATCTAAGAGATTTTAAGATAGGTTTGGAATTTGCTGTGTAGTCAGATAACACCCAAGATAAGACTTTACTCTTAAAAACTGTGGCAAGCCAGTGACATCTGTGGGACATCTGGCAGAAACAGTTATAAAGATACTCTGGAAGCATATGTATTCCAACTATACTGCAGAAAACTCTATAAATAAAACCTTGGTAAAGGTGAGTTTATACTCCCAAATTACAGAGCACATTAGGGTAATATTCTCTACTATAAGCAAGAGTGAACAGCAGAGAACAAATATTTCCCCCCTGCCCCCACCACCAAGAACTTCAGATAATTAAATAATTGATACACACTGTCAAGTCATTATGTTTAAAATTATTATTGGCATAAGAGAAGAAATATAATATGTGAGAAAGAAACAAGATACTAAAAATGGATAGACGTGGGGGAGGGAAATGGAGATAAAAAATCACTGAAATTTAAAAACTCAATTAGCAAAATAAATAACATGTTAGACGCAGGTAAAGAAGGAATTAATGAACTAGAAAATAGATCTGAGGGAATGAACTAGAAAATAGATCTGAGAGAATTAACTAGAAAATAGCAAAGAGGGCCGGGAGTGGTGGCTTACACCTGTAATCCCAGCACTTTGGGAGGCCAAGGCGGGTGGATCACAAGGTCAAGAGATCGAGACCATACTGGCCAACATGGTGAAACCCTGTCTCTACTAAAAATACAAAAATTAGCTGGGTGTGGTGGCACATGCCTGTAATCTCAGCTACTCAGGAGGCTGAGGCAGGAGAATTGCTTGAACCCAGGAGGCAGAGGTTGCAGTGAGCCGGGATTATGCCATTGCACTCCAGCCTGGCAACAGAGTGAGACTCCATCTCAAAAAAAAAAAAAAAAAAAAAAAAGGAAAATAGCAAAGAGAAGTAAAAATGAAAAATACGAAAGGAAAATAAGGTATGTGGAGGCTAGAATGAGAAGGCTTAGTAGGAGTTTCAGAAGATTTTTTTTTTTTTTTTTAGTTTTGGAGATGGGGTCTCACTCTGTTGCCCACATTGGAGTACAGTGGCACAGTCATGGCTCACTGCAACCTCAACCCCCTAGGCCCAAGTGATCCTCCTACCTCAGCCTCCTGAGTAGTTGGGACCACAGGTGTGCACCATTACACCTGGCTAGTGGTTTTTTTTTTTTTTTTTTTAATAGAGATAAGGTCTCACTATGTTGCCCAGGCTGGTCTCAAACTCCTGGGCTCAAGCAGTCCACCCACTTTGGCCTCCCAAAGTACTGGGATTACAGGTGTCAGCCACCACACCTGGCCTCATTTTGTTTTAGAACTGATGTTTGTCAGGTATTTTTGGGTTTTCCTTTTTTTTTTTTTTTTTTTTTTGTGACGGAGTCTCACTGTTGCCAGGCTGGAGTGCAGTGGCGCGATGTTGGCTCACTGCAATCTCCGCCTCCCGGGTTCAAGTGATTCTCCTGCCTCAGCCTCCTGAGTAGCTGGGACTATAGGCACACGCCACCATGCCCAGCTAATTTTTGTATTTTTAGTAGAGATGGGGTTTCACCATGTTGGCCAGGATGGTCTCGATCTCTTGACCTCATGATCTGCCTGCCTCGGCCTCCCAAAGTGCTGGGATTGCAGGCGTGAGCCACTGTGCCTGGCCAACTTTTACTTTAAGAAGAGCCTTAAAGTTAAAGGCCCAGTGTAGTGGCTCATGCCTGTAATCCCAGCACTTTGGGAGGCTGAGGTGGGTGGATCGATCCTGAGGTTGGGAGTTCAAGACCAGCCTGACCAACATGGAGAAACCCCGTCTCTACTAAAAATACAAAAAATTAGCCGGGCGTGGTGGCACATTCTTGTAATCCCAGCTACTCAGGAGGCAGAGGCAGGAGAATTGCTTGAATCCGGGAGGTGGAGGTTGCTGTGAGCCAAGATTACGCCATTGTACTCCAGTCTGGGCCACAAGAGCAAAACTCCGTCTCAAAAAAACAAAAAAAAAGCCTTAAGTAAGGGAATATCCGGTGGTTTGGTGGTGATAATTATGTATGTTGGCAACGTTTGATACCTTTTTATTTGAATTTATAGGACTGTCATTCTCCAAAGCTGTATTTTCTATATATAAATTTGTAGCTGGTAGCAGTGACCTAGACTGCAGGTAAATTTGTGGAGGATTCCAAGTTTTTTTTTTTTTTTTTGAGATGGAGTCTAGCTCTGTTGGCCAGGCTGGAGTGTAGTGGCGCAATCTCAGCTCACTGCATCTTCTTCCCGGGTTCAAGTGATTCTCCTGCCTCAGCCCCCTGAGTAGCTGGGATTACAGGCGTGTGCCACCATACCCAGCTAATTTTTGTATTTTTAGTAGAGATGGGGTTTCACCATATCACAACTCCTGACCTCAAGTCAGGAGTTGACCTCCACCCGTCTCGGCCTCCCAAAGTGCTGGGATTACAGGCATGAGCTACCACACCCAGCCAAGGATTCCAAGTTATAAATAGAGATTTCCAAAATATTTTCAGAAAGTTGTAAATAATTATGCTTTTCTGGGTGAGTTATGTATTACAGTGAGTGGTGGTAACTAATGAAGTATTCTATGCTTTTTACTCTTTACAGCCAGTATCTTGAAAATTATCTCTGGATGAATTATTCTCCTGAGGTATCTAGCAAGGCCTATTTAATGTCAATCTGCTGTATGGTGAATGAGAAGTTTAGAGAAAACGTGCCTGCATGGGAGGTAACTGATTTAAAGTACTTCATAGCTTTCATACTGACCCACATAAGCCATTACAAAGTGGCAGAACTTTTACTGATAGTGGTGCTTTTAGAGCAGAACTTTACCCAGTAATAAAGCAAATATTGAGAAAAAGAATGGGTATGTGAAAGATATGTTTTCTTTTGGTTTCAATACTTTCTTCAAACGATTTAATAATTTACTATGAATTGAAAATTTATGAATGTGAGTTATTTTTCTGCTTTGTGTTTGAAACAAAGAATGGTATATGTTATAACAACTTACATCAGGAGCTGGCAAAATGGAAATTATATTAATAAGTACAAATAGGCTGAGTGCTGTCACTCATGCCTATAATCCTGCACTTGGAAAGCTGAGGTGGGAGGATTGCTCGAAGCCAGGAGTTCAAGACCAGCCTGGGCAACAAAGCAAAAACTTGTTTCTTTAAAAAAAGAAAAAATTAGCCAGGCATGGTGGCATGAGTCTGTAGTCCCAGCTACTTGGGAGATTGATGCAAGAGGACCACTTGAGCCCAGGAGTTCGAGGCTGCAATGAACTATGATTGCACCACAACACTCCAGCCTGGGTAACAGAGCGAGGCCTGTCTCTAAGAAGAAGAAAAAAAAGCACAAGTATATAATGTTCAAATGAGATATTTTTCAGTGTCTTTTTTCACAAGAGGGAGTTTATTTTTATTTTTTTTGTCTTATTTTTATTTTTATTTATTTTATTATTATTATTATTATTATTATTTTTTTTATTGATCATTCTTGGGTGTTTCTCGCAGAGGGGGATTTGGCAGGGTCACAGGACAATAGTGGAGGGAAGGTCAGCAGATAAACAAGTGAACAAAGGTCTCTGGTTTTCCTAGGCAGAGGACCCTGTGGCCTTCCGCAGTGTTTGTGTCCCTGGGTACTTGAGATTAGGGAGTGGTGATGACTCTTAACGAGCATGCTGCCTTCAAGCATCTGTTTAACAAAGCACATCTTGCACCGCCCTTAATCCATTCAACCCTGAGTGGATACAGCACATGTTTCACAGAGCACAGGGTTGGGGGTAAGGTCACCGATCAACAGGATCCCAAGGCAGAAGAATTTTTCTTAGTACAGAACAAAATGAAAAGTCTCCCATGTCTACCTCTTTCTACACAGACACGGCAACCATCCGATTTCTCAATCTTTTCCCCACCTTTCCCCTCTTTCTATTCTACAAAACCGCCATTGTCATCATGGCCCGTTCTCAATGAGCTGTTGGGCACACCTCCCAGACGGGGTGGTGGCCGGGCAGAGGGGCTCCTCACTTCCCAGTAGGCGCGGCCGGGCAGAGGCGCCCCTCACCTCCCGGATGGGGCGGCTGGCCGGACGGGGGGCTGACCCCCCCCACCTCCCTCCCGGACGGGGCGGCTGGCTGGGCAGAGGGGCTCCTCACTTCCCAGTAGGGGCGGCCGGGCAGAGACGCCCCTCACTTCCCGGACGGGGCAGCTGGCCGGGCGGGGGGCTGACCCCCCCACCTCCCTCCCTCCCGGACGGGGCGGCTGGCCGGGTGGGGGGCTGACCCCCCCACCTCCCTCCCGGACGGGCGGCTGGCCGGGCAGAGGGGCTCCTCACTTTCCAGTAGGGGCGGCCAGGCAGAGGCGCCCCTCACCTCCCGGATGGGGCGGCTGGCCGGGCTGGGGGCTGACCCCCCCCACCTCCCTCCCGGACGGGGCGGCTGGCCAGGCGGGGGGCTGACCCCCTCACCTCCCTCCCGGACGGGGCGGCTGGCCGGGCGGGGGGCTGACCCCCCCACCTCCCTCCTGGACGGGGCGGCTGGCCGGGCGGGGGGCTGACCCCCCCCACCTCCCTCCCGGACGGGGCGGCTGGCCGGGCGGGGGGCTGACCCCCCCGACCTCAAGAGGGAGTTTATATTTGTAGTTTTACATGAATAAAAAAAGTTACCAAAGTCAAGACAGATGCTTACATTATAATTTCAATGTTCTTTTGGTTTTTTGTTTTGAGACTGAATTTAGCTCTTGTTATCCAGGCTGGAGTGCAAATGGCGTGATCTCAGCTCACTGCAACATCTGCCTCCCAGGTTCCAGCAATTCTCCTGCCTCTGCCTCCCAAGAAGCTGGGATTACAGGTGCCCGCCACCATGCCCAGCTAATTGTTGTATTTTTAGTAGAGATGGGGTTTCACCATATTGGCCAGGCTGGTCTCAAACTCCTGACCTTAGATGATCCACCCGCCTCGGCCTCCCAAAGTGCTGGGATTACAGGCATGAGTCACTGTGCCTGGCCTGTTCTTTTTGTCCTTGATTTGGGATCTATTTTTCCTTTTAGAAATTTCTAATGCACTGATGTTTCCTTTTTGTGCTGGTGCAACAGAAGCTTGATCAGTAGGGATCCAAAATCTTTGTTTTCTTTGCCCGCCATATAATGGTCACTTCATCAAGAGTTTCTTCTCTTCCAGTCAGACTTTTTTAAATGAAAAAAAGGAATGGATGCCTGTCATCTGTTTTGAGTAAATGGTCACCAAAGTGAAAAGGTGATAGAGTCTTTAAGATAAAACCATGGACACTTATCTCAAATATTCATTAAATGACTACCATCTCAGGGCACATTAGAGCTCAGAATAAACTATGGGTTTTATGTCACTATCAAGAGAGCCTAGGGGTTTCTTCAAGTTGCTTCAAGCTATTATAGAAATACAGAAAGGAAGAAGGAAAATTTTTTGAGCCAGGGAATAACCTGGTCAGTTTACCTGTTATAAAGATCACTTTGGTGATTAGGCCTTGAAATAGAGAAATGATAATACAGATTTAGAGGATATACAGAGATGTAGAAGGTAGAATTGATTGAATTTGATAATCAGTTGAAGTAGCATTAGGAAAGGGTGTTATTTTCAATAACCTTCCAGGCTTGGGCAAATGAATATAATATATGATGGTGCCATTTACCAAGATAGGTAATAGAGAGTGAGGAATAATTTGGAGGATACAAAACTGTTGAATTGAATTTGGACATATTCAGTTTAAATTGCCTTTGGAATATCTAGATTAAGTCATCTAGTAGAGGAATCTAAGGTTTGAGAGCTCAGAAGAGAAATCTGGACTGCAGATGTATATTTGGAATCATTGGTATTTAGTGGTTGAAGTAATAGAGGGAGAAGAATGAGGCTAGAACCCTACGAATATTGCGGTTTAGATAACAGGCAAAAGAAGAAGAGCCTTCAATATGGTGAAAAGGAGTTGAGAGTTAATAAGGGTCCATAGGACTTGACAGCCATACAGCTTCAGGAGAGCTTGTCTTAGAGAAGTGAATGAAAACAACTAGTATAGACCACACGCTTGGAGCATTTGTCTGTGGCAGTAACTAGAAACAGAGGTAGGTCAAAGAGGCTTGAATATATTTACATTATTTACAAGTTAAGAGTAAAGAGCTAATATAAAGCAGGAGGGGCTGTTCTTGAGATTAATTACAGTGTGAAAACTACAATTTTTGCTAAAGATGTAGTTTCTTTTGTTTAAATCAGAGAAATTAAAACACTTCAGATCCTTAATAAGAAAACAAAGCCTAAGCTAAATACAGGCATAATCCACAGAGGAAAAACTAAAGAAATGAAAGCCATTATTTTATTAGCTAAAGGGTTCTGCAGCTCTCTCATAGTCCTGTCAGAAACCTGTATTTGACTTGCCATTAATTATAAGTAAGCACGTGATGCTTCTTTTATACATATACAAATAACCCTTTTGTAATTATTTGGTTTTTTTAATAGACTGCTAAAAAGCCTACTAGGGCTTCTTTAAAGCTTAAGTGAGCAAGCCAATACAAAATGAATTTTATTCTGTTTCTTTTCAGATTTTTAAGAAGAAGCCAGACCACTTCCCATTCTTTTTTAAACACATCTTGAAGGCGGCATTAGCTGAAACTGATGGTGAATTTTCACTTCATGAACAGACAGTCTTACTACTTTTTCTTGATCATTGCTTCAATAGTTTGGTACTTTTACTTTATATTTTGGGGTAATTTTCAAGTTTTCTTGTTCTTTTAGGTTGAGTTTAGATGAAATTACCTCTGTAGCCAACTCCATTCATCCATAATAGCAGGCAATAAGGATAATGCTAAAAGCTTGATTTCAGCCACTTATCAGTAAAACCATTTTATAAGTCTTTAAGATATGTTTTTATAAGATATGTTCACTTTTTAATAGATTTGAAATTGATACTTAATTTTTTCTATCTAGACTCTTAAGAAAAATGATTATAAGAACTGAAACTCTAAAGGGAGAGCACAAAAATGAGAAGCAGCAAGGAGACTGGTTATATGGAATTGGAGTAATGAGATCTGTGCCACAAACTGCATATACATACAGGAATGTAGTTTCATTGCTTTTCATCATGCCTTATGCATAGGCTGGTTAGTCAACAGGAGAGTTGTATTTTGAGTTGACTGATAAAGGCCAAGTGTAAATGATCTTTGAAAATGTCTTGTGTGTGATACATTTTCATCCTTCATAAGATTATCTTCTAAAAAATTAAATATTTTCAGTAATATTTTATTTGAGCTTTCCTGTGTGGTTAGCTGATAAATACACATATTTATTTAGTGCCTCTGAATTGATAATTCACTTACACCCATGCAGGAGGAATGCATGGAGTTCTTTCTTATTCTGAAGACTGAGTGTTAATAGATGGATGATTATTACCTGTTTCCATGTACTATCTCACATGGATCTTTTAAAGGCATAAAAAAAGATTTATGATGCCTGCACTGGATACCACTGTTATCTCTTTAACATTTATTTTTATTTATTTATTTATTTATTTATTTATTTATTTATTTTGAACATAAACTCAAGATTTTATTGTCTTCATAATAAAAGATGACACTTAGAACTGAATCACTTGGCCCTTTCTCTTCTTATCTCCTCCCAGTTCAAAATGCTTGCATCTTTTAATAGCCAGCATTCTCTTAGATCTGCAGTTGGGCTCAATGCACTCAAGCCTTAGCACAATCTTTGTAGTTTTAGCCTTTTTCCAGAAAATTGGCTTAGTTTGCCCACCATAGCCACTCTGCTTCCTGTCATAACGCCGCTTTCCCTGGGCATACAGAGAATCCTTGCCCTTCTTGTACTGTGTCACTTTATGGGGTTGGTGCTTGCCACACTTCTTACAGAAAGTCCGGCGGGTTTTAGGGACGTTAACCATGCTTGCGTGAGCGTTATCGGCACAGAAAGCCTCTTTAACATTTATTAAACTAAACAGAACAAATAGAAATATAAATAGATGTGATTTTTTTATCAGAAACTAAACAGAAACAAGATTTTATTAGTATTAGTAATTTGGTGATAGTTTTAGCCAACTTACCAAACTAGTTTATTATTGAAATGCTTTATCTTTTAAAATATGCAGTCAGTTCTTATTTGAGGTAGTTATGTTCATTTTATAAAGTAGCTATGAACATTGAATGAGCTAATGCTGAACCATTACTCCTTGGGGAAATACAGGGTTAGGTTCCTGCAAGCCTTGGTCATGACATTTTACAAACTATCAATACATAGCCTTATTTTATGTGTGTTTCTATTTAAAGACAGCTTATTTATTGTATATTATTGATTCATTAACCATGAACTCACTGCCAACAGCACTGTAATTATGCCTGAACGAAGCTTATCTAACATACGTATTTACTCTGTAAGACATATCACAGCCTTCTTGCACCCATGAACATCAGACAGCACTTCAGCCTTGGGCTTGTTGCCATTTTAAACAGCGAAATCATCAAAAAGCACAAGCGTGCCAAAAAAAATAGTACTCAATAGACCACAAAAAGGATACTTGTTTCTTACAGTATGAGAGCTGAGAATGAAGCAGAGCATCAGCTCAGTCTCACCTGAGAATGTGCACGTCGGACAACTCAGATTTTTGTTTGGGCCATCTGGATGACTGTGAAAGCACATGGAGTGTTGATTTTGGGGTTACAAATACATTTTTATTAGTATATGAATTTGCAAGTACAAAATCTGTAGATAATAAGGATGGAGTCTTTTTTAAAGCATTGAACTTCTTAATATCAAAATATTAACTTGAAAATATTTGTGGCATGTTTTCCCTCCAGGACTTAAAAAGGCAGTATACTTCTTATGTAAAGACTTAGGTAGAAATGCTGGTATGTTTATAAACTTATTTTCTTCATGCCCTAAACAGGAAGTAGACTTGATACGAAGTCAAGTACAGCAGCTTATCTCCCTCCCAATGTGGATGGGCTTACAGCTGGTAAGTCTCTAATTTCAGAGTCTTATGAATGTATGTGTTATAAGTAGAACGTGTGGTTTTAGTCTATAGCCTTAATCTGGATATACAAGTGGTAGCTAAATACCCCTTTTCTTAGAAAAGCCACTTTGCTTAACTTTTCATAGATATAGTTTTTATTTTAAAGTTTTTATATGCATTCGATGTTTAACTTAATTTTAGTAATATAAAATGAATAAGGTAGTATCTATTGAGCTTATAGAGAAAGGGGGTTAATTTAGCAAAGTATAGATGAGACTAAATGTGGACTTGAATTTTTTTTTCCTTGATTAGAGTATATATATAGCTGTAGGAGAAGATCTGGATCATACCTAATATTAATGACTTCCATTTTTCCATAAAGTCTTTATTGGGTAATATGTGCAGGTACCAAAGCCAAATTAATACATCTTAGGTAGTTTAGTTAAAACTATCAGATTTCATTGTAATGCTTTATTCAGAATTTCCCTTCCTGCACATGGGTGTTTCTGCATATACTCAGATATGCAGACTCATTTATAAGCACCAGTTGATGGGGATGAAAACATAAGGCACGTATAAATAATTAATACTAAGTTAAAAAGTGGCAAGTGCTATAAGAGAGAATATGCTGATGTGGACATTTCCTTATTTACTTGTGATCGCTGTTTTTTGTGCATTGTTTCAGACTCATATTTTTCAAACCTTAGTGATTATGCTAAGTGTTGATGCATATATTTTTCAGACTTAGCTCTTTAAGTTTTGAAATAAAAAATTAATTGATTATTGAGCTTACAATCTTGATTTGTATTTTTATTAACAAGAGCTAGAGTTGAATAATTTTTTAAAATATCGTTATTCATTTCTTAATTTTCAGGGTTTGTCATGTTATTTTCAGGTTTTATCAGATTGCTCTATTTTGTACTCATATATTAGAAAACTAGCAAATAGTTGATCTAATCCTTATCCTTGTAAACTTTGAGGCTACTGGTAATTTAATAACACATCTCTTCTTCAGGCACGATTGGAATTAGAATTAAAAAAGACACCTAAGCTAAGAAAATTCTGGAACTTGATTAAAAAGAATGATGAAAAGATGGATCCAGAAGCAAGAGAACAGTATGTTGGCAGAGCTTCATTTCATGTTGGCTTATTATGCTGGATTGTGGACCTTAGATGATGTTGACTGGTTTGTTGTTTCCCTTTATATAGTGCTGAGTGCAAATAAATTATTATAATAAGTGCTTTTACCTAGACTGTCATTAAGAATATTTTCCACAAAGATCTAAAGCAGAAGCCAGAGCATCATGCTTTTCTTCTTTTCCTTCTTTCTGTGCTGCTAAGTATATATAGTTGACCCACTGTTTTTCTCCCTGCCTATTGTCCGTCTCCCTCATGGATGGTTCTCAATTTTCTCCACTATCTTCAGGCTATTAATATAACTTCTCTTTCTTTTTCTTACTCCTTCACTCTTTTTTTATTTTTTTGAGACGGAGTTTCGCTCTTGTTGCCCAGGCTGGAGTGCAATAGTGCGACTGTGGCTCACTGCAACCTCTGCCTCCCAGATTCAAGCGATTTCTCTTGCCCCAGCCTCTGAGTAGAGGGGATTACAGGCATGCGCCACCACGCCTGGCTAATTTTGTATTTTTAATAGAGACAGGGTTTCTCCATGTTGGTCAGGCTGGTCTCAAACTCCCGACCTTAGGTGATCCGCCTGCCTCGGCCTCCTAAAGTGCTGGGGATTACAGGCGTGAGCCACTGCACCCAGCCTAACTCTAAACTTCTTACAAGGTTTTCAGAAGCTTGCAGCTGTTTCTTGTGACTCTTGCAAATCACTGGACTACTCTAGTCATTGCTTCTTTAGCATTTCTTTCCTAAGTCCCTTTCCTCTTCACTCCACTTAATTGAATATTAACCATATAAACACTCTTCCAGACCAACTACTTTAGATCATAGTGCTTTCATCTGAACTCCTAGAACACATGCTCTGTGATTTTTTTTTGAAACACCAGCTGTTTATGTAATGATTGGGATATGTATAGTAGTTGAGGATGTAGGTTCTACAATCAGACTTAGCTAGATTCCACACTCAATTGCTGTATGACTTTGGGCAAGTTACTTCACCTCTAAGCCTCATTGTGAAATCTGGACAGTAGTACCCATTTCCGAGGACTGTTATCAATATTAAATAAGATGTGAAGTGTTTAGCATAGCTCAGATCCTGGCAAAATGCGTGCTTAATTAATGTCAGGCAGTTTTATTAATCACATACTGGCATGTATTACTAATTGTGTTTATAATATATGACTTGTTATTGCAAGTAGATTTTAGCCGTTCCCCTTCTTTGTATTTCCAGCAGGACTGTTACAAGCATTTACAGCTGTACGATACTTGATACATGTCTGTTCATTAATGGATATATCTTAAAGTAGTAATGAATAGAAAATTATTTTTTAAACATTTGATCTTTAGCTATTGTAATACTCTATTATACTTAAACGTTAAAATATAATATTGTTCATCTCATTTTAACTACATTAAATGTGAGATTTTTAATGGTAAGGGCAGACTATAAATGGAATTTTGAAACTTCTTTCTCGGTCTGACTTGTAAATCACAAATGAAAATGTTTGGCTGGGAGCTGTGTCTCAGGCTGGGCGCCATGGCTCATGCCTGTAATCCCAGCACTTTGGGAGGCCGAGGCGGGTGGACCACAAGGTCAGGAGTTCAAGAACACCCTGGCCAAGATGGTGGAACCGCATCTCTACTGAAAATACAAAAATTAGCCAGGCATGGTGGCAGGCGCCTGTCATCCCAGCTACTCGAGAGGCTGAGGCAAGAGAGTTGCTTCAACCTGGGAGGCAGAGGTTGCAGTGAGCTGAAATCGCGCCACTGCACTCCAGCCTGGGCAACAGAGCGAGATTCCACCTCAAAAACAAAAAAAGCAGAAAAAAGAAAACGTTCACGGTGAGAGAAGGAGGTGCTTGCTTAGGTGGCTTATTAGGTCAGTAATGTGACTCTCCTTTTCTTCATATAGCACTGTATTTACATAGAAAGAAGAAGCTGTATATTGAAGTTATAGTCCCAGCTTCACAAAGAAATGAACAGTTGAACAATATTGGAAAGCCGTGGTCAACATTTAAAGTTTACTTTTGAAATGACTATTCTTCAAAAATAATTGGTCAATGTTCTTTCTGATTTTAGGGCATATCAAGAGAGGAGATTTCTTTCACAACTCATCCAGAAGTTTATCTCTGTGCTGAAATCAGTCCCACTTTCTGGTATCTTCTTTTTTACTCAGTGCATTTGTGAAATTATCATATAGCTGCCCCTATGGTATTTACTCATCTCTAATCTAAAAACTGTTCTTGGAATGATTTTAAATTGTATTGGCAAAGTGTATGTCCTCTCCTTTTTAAATACATTACCAGTGTGAGTATTGGGACTGCCTTTAAGGGTTATTTTATTTTATTTATTTATTTTTTGAGACAGAGTGTTGCTCTGTCACCCAGGCTAGAGTGCAGTGGCATGATCTCGGCTCACTGCAACCTCCCCCAGCAGGGTTCCAGTGATTCTCCTGCCTCAGCCTCCCGAGTAGCTGGGATTACAGGGATGCACCACCATGCCCAGTTAGTTTTGTATTTTTGGTAGAGACGGGGTTTCTCCATGTTGGCCAGGCTGGTCTCAAACTCCTGACCTCAAGTGATCCATCCACCTCAGCCTCTCAAAGTGCTGGGATTACAGGCGTGAGCCACTGCACCTGGCCTAAGGGTTATTTTAAAGGCACCAGTGTGGTTATTGAAATATTCCTTTATGTAGCAAATTTTTTATCACCTAATTACTAGATCCAGGTCCTGTCTAAGGTGCTGGGATACAGTTGTGAAGAGGAAAATTACAGACCATATTTGCATGTTATTTATAATATGGTGCTGAATAGTGTTTTTAAGTCCTATTGATACCGTTGGAGGAAAAAAGGAGAAATATTACTGAGATATGAGCTAAAAGACTAAATAGAAGGATTTTCCTCCATCATAGCTCCATTTACTGATTTAAAAAGTAAGTATATATATATACTATATTAAAATTATAAAATATAATTAAAATATAATTGTTTAATTATTATTATTTTTTTTTGAGACAGAGTGTCACTCTGTCAGCCAGGATGGAGTGCAGTGGCACAATCTTGGCTCACTGCAACCTCCGTCTCCTGGGATCAAGCAATTCTCCTGCCTCAGCCTCCTGAGTAGCTGGAGTTACAGGCGTGTGCCACCACGCCCGGCTAATTTTTGTATTTTTAGTAGAGACGAGGTTTTACCATGTTGGCCAGGCTGGTCTCGAACTCCTGACCTCAGGCAGTCTGCCTGCCTCGGCCTCCCAAAGCGCTGGGATCACAGGCGTGAGCCACCACGCTTGGCCAATTGTTTAATATTTTTAAGTGGAATATAATCTAAGAACAGCTCTATAGGTATACCATATTTATATAGGTATACCATATTTATATTTTTGCATCAGAAAGTACAGCTTTTAAAAAAACACAATGGAATGAGTTATAAATGCTGACCCTCCAAGTAATATTTTACAATTGAAAATCTTAGCTACGATTCAGTGAGGAATTGATACCAATGCAGTAAATCAGTTGTATCTGACTTAGGGCACAG
Source organism: Homo sapiens (assembly GCF_000001405.40). Lineage (NCBI taxonomy): Eukaryota > Metazoa > Chordata > Mammalia > Primates > Hominidae > Homo > Homo sapiens. The sequence goes on along the minus strand of NC_000015.10, from coordinate 34,937,359 downwards.
TACTACTACTAGCATTAGTATAAAGAAAATGTTTTGGCCGGGCGCAGTGGCTCATGCCTGTAATCCCAGCACTTTGGGAGGCTGAGGTGGGTGGATCACGAGGTCAGGAGATCGAGACCACAGTGAAACCCCGTTTCTACTAAAAAGACAAAAAATTAGCCAGGCGCAGTGGCAGGCACCTGTAGTCCCAGCTACTCAGGAGGCTGAGGCAGGAGAATGGTGTGAACCCAGGAGGTGGAGCTTGCAGTGAGCCGAGATTGTGCCACTGCACTCCAGCCTGGGTGACAGAACAAAACTCAGTCTCAAAAAAGAAAAGAAAGAAAACGTTTTATGCTTATAATCTTAAGTCTCTTAATGTTAGTATATCTAAATCTTTCCACTAAGTGCCTTCAAACCTGGAAAGAGGACTAAGATTGGGTTTTCTTGGCACAAAGAATAACATTGAGCGCTTTGAGCTACTAACGTCTATAGAACTAATGTCTGTAATAAAAATTGATATCTCTAACTATGGAATGTTTATCTAGGGTCGTCTAGGTTTCAAAAGCAAGAACATAGGGCCTGCAGTAATTTAACAGCCTATAAACCACTTGCTGTTGCCGCTATTGTTTATATACTGTCAGAAAACAACTTTTTTTTTTTTTTTAAAGATGGAGTCTCATTCTGTCTCCCAGGCTGGAGTGCAGTGGCACAATCTCAGCTCACTGCAACTTCTGCCTCCTGGGTCCAAGTGATTCTCCTGCCTCAGCCTCCCAAGTAGCTGGTACTACAGGTGCACACCACCATGCCCGGCTAATTTTTGTATTCTTAGTAGAGATGGGGTTTCACCATGTTGGCCAGGCTGGTCTTGAACTCCTGACCTCAAGTGATCCACCCTCCTCGGCCTCCCAAAGTGCTGGGATTTCAGGTGTGAGCCACTGCGCCTGGCCAGAAAACATCATTTCTTAATCTTGAGTTTTTATCAAAATTTGTCAGCTTGCTGGCAAAGGAACTAACAGGATGATGACAGTAATTTGCCAGTTCAGAATGGGTATGAAGATAGATGGTTGTGTAGTTAGGAAACAGAAGGCTAATTTTTTAAATATTTTGAGAAGGATTGTAGTTTCCTTTTTAAAATAGGGTCATTAAAAACAGAATGCCCAGATGAGTTGTTGGAAATCTGTGCAGGATAGTCTGAGATGTTAAGATTGCTGTTAGAAGGGAAAAAAAGTTACAGTATAGCTGAGACAAATGATAAGGATATATTTGTGTCTGAAATTGGGATAGCAAGGTTTCTACCTTAGGCAACATGCCCAGTAGGACCAGCTCTCATAAAAAAACATGCAACTTTAGTCACCAGAGCACCATGCATTGTTTTCTAATTTTAAATAGGCCATTTCCAGTAATTTGTCAAGACGTAAATAAAGATACAGAATTCAGAATTTGCTCACTCTTTTAGTTTGGGAAAAAATGTTTTCCTTTGACAGTTACAAGAACAAAAGATAGCAACAAAAGGTTGGTTCGAATGGATTTAATTTAAAAATTGCTCCTTTAAATTGTTATTTTAAATGACTGTATATGTATGTCTCAGAAAACCAGGGTTCCAGTTCTAACCAACCATTCTAGCTTTACACCTTTATCAGGTCATTTTCTCTGATCATGTTTTTCTACCTAGAAAATGAAGATCTAGAATAGATGCTCTCAAAGGTCTTTTCCAGCTAATAATTTCTATACTTCTGTTATTTCAGGGTTTGGATTATGGGCATATGCTAGCTGAAAAAGTTCCAGTTAACATTTCTGTATATATTAATCACAAAAGTATTCACATTTCTTGCTTTACATTAAGCTTTCCGTTTTCCTGTACACTACAAATAAATAAATGGATTTTTATGTAAGCATTTGTAGGATGCCTTCTATAGATCTGGCACTGGGTGTTAGTCACTGCTGTAAGTTTTTAAACTAAGTAGCAACAGGAAACCTAAAATTATCTTTGTTTTAATTGAAACCAACTTGACAGGATGGTTTTAGTTGGCAAAATGGTAGACCATTTCCTGGCATTAGAAAAAAAGCTTTTACTCTGAAAATATTTCATGCCCCAAGGTTGTAATTATTTAAAAACAAAAATAAATGTTTGTAAAAATAGTATACTATGCTCATAAATAGTATATAATAAGCTAGTGATTTAAAAGGTATTTTTATTGTTCTTTGTGTCATTGGCATTCTAATGTTAAAGTAATACATGTACAGTGGAAAAAAATAATAAAAATTACCTCTCTAATTTTCAGTGCACTTTAAAGGTGTGTGTGTGTACATATACGTATGTGTGTGTTTATACATACGAGAAAACTCTCAGAAGTTTAGAATGTAAAGACAATAAGGAAAGTGAAGCAAAACCTGATATAAAACTGCCTTCTAGTTTTTATATCTCTAAGTTTTTTCAAAATCTAATTTAATACAGATTTTTAAAGGTTAATACTTTTAAAATATCTTTGCAAACCTGATTTTTAAAATGTGCTTTTGACCCAAGCTAGATCTTTTATTTTCTCATATTTGTAGAGCTAAGTATCAGGGTAAGGCCTTCCTTAAAAAAATATATATGTGAGATCCTCATTCTAAATCATAGTCCAATTCTGATGAATAAAAGACAATTGACTTTATTTAAGTTATTAAATAACTGCCAGTTTTCAGAAACAGCATGCAAAATGGCCTAGTAAGGAAATTCTATCATGCGTTCTCTCTTATGTCTAGAACCTGTCACTATGGACAAAGTTCATTACTGTGAAAGATTCATTGAACTTATGATTGATCTAGAGGTAAGAAATCTACCGTGACTTTTTTGTTATATAATCATTAGGGGGTCTAAGATTAAGCATATGACCATATATGAAGTATTTTTTTCTTTCCTTTTCTTTTCAATACATATGTATATATTTATTATATATTTCAATTTCTCACATTAATGAGAGAAAGGAAAGGTATATATTTCCTTTCTCTCATTAATTAAAATATATTAAAGGTAAATATGTATATATTTATTATATACATATGTATTATATAATAATACAATACATATTGGGTGCCCATGGATTGTATAATAATATAGTATTGTATACAATATTTATTAATATAGATTATACATTAATAAAAAATTAATACAATACAATAAAATACAATAAAAATACATTAAGAAAAAAATTCTTTTTCTTTTCCCTTTTCTTTTCTTTTCTTTCCTTTTCTTCTTTTCTTTTCTTTTCTTTGAGATGGGGTCTTTCTCTGTCACCAAGGCTAGAATGCAGTGGCGCTGTCTCGGCTCACTGCAGCCTCCGCCTCCCAGGCCTCAAGTGATCCTCCTGATCCACCTCAGACCCCTGATCAGCTGAGACTACAGTTGGGCACCACCACGCCCAGCTAATTTTTGTGTTTTTTGTAGAGACGGGGTTTCACCATATTTCCCAGGCTGGTCTTGAACTCCTGGGCTCAAGCAATCCTTCCACCTTGGCCTCCCAAGTAGGAGGATTGCTTGGGATTATAGGCGTGAGCCACCGTGCCTGGTCTATATGAAGTATTTATTCATCACCTCAAACTGGTTTTACTTTGTACATGTTTCAAGGTGTCACTTAGAGAAGGAAGTCACAAGTAATTGGCCCTTCAGGTTTTCAAATGACTGACTCATCTATCATGGGCTGTTGTTTGTAGAAAAAACATTACATAGTATAGTTATTAAACATGAGTCCAGCAGTGACAATTTATTTTGTGTCATACTTTAATACCCCTCATACAGAGTTTTCTGTAGTGGGTGAAGTCATGGGTTTATAATTGTCTCTTTAAATAATCTCACTTTTCTAAATGTGCCCAATGTTTGTGAAGAAAAATATAGCTGTTGTGTTCAATTTTTTAAAATAAAGATTCTTAAAAAAAAAAAAAGATTTCATACTCTTAGGTGCAGGATTTGCTGACAAGTTCAGACACAGAATTGATGTAGTTCAGATTGAATTGATTTCCTTTCCTTTCTCTCATTAATGAGAGAAATTGAAAGAAAATCTGTTCCTTGTCTGGAGAAGTAAGGTGGTTTTTTGATATGAGTATTAGCATATTGGACTAGCAGTCATTCATGAGATCTTTCAAATTCTAGCTCTGCCAGTAACTAACTTCTAACTTCTGAGGATCTCAATAACTTCATCTATAAAATGAGGATATTTGATTAGATTAGTAATTTTCAAGCTATAGTGTAGGGGAACATGAGGAGAGGAAACAAAGACAGGAATCTCCACATAGGGATTTGTACTTCCTTTTTTCTCAGAGCAACTCCACTTTTAAACATACACACGGTATATATTGGGATTTTATGTAGGATTTTGTTGGAAAACTACTGGCCAAGATGATCTGTGAGATTCCTTAGTGCTAGATTTTCTTTCTTTCTTTTTTTTTCTGAGACAGTCTTGCTCTGTAATCCAGGCTTGAGTGCAGTGGCACGATCTTGGTTCAAGACAACCTCTGCCTCCTGGGTTCAAGCAATTCTCCCTGCCTCAGCTTCCCGAGTAGCTGGGATTACAGGCGCCCATCACCACACCTAGCTAGTTTTTGTATTCTTAGTAGAGATAGGGTTTTGCCCTGTTGCCCAGGCTAATCTTGAACTCCTGACCTCAGGTGATCCACCCGCCACGCCAAAGCACTGGGATTATAGGCATGAGCCACCGCGCCCGGCCTTTATTTTCAATTTTATCTTAAAAGTTCTTTTATCATCATTATTGTTTTTAAAACCAAAAACATTGCCACTGGGTTTATTTACAGCATGAACGGGACCTCTTGCATTGTATACAGTGTGTCTATTGGAAGGTTGGAGGGTACCTTGTATGTGATTAATACTTGAGAGTTAAATATCACTAGATTTCACTTCTAGCTGTGGAGAATAGATGCAAACTTACTGTTATGATGTTTGTTTTTCCCAGGCCCTGCTACCCACAAGGCGCTGGTTTAATACCATCCTGGATGATTCCCACCTTCTGGTTCACTGTTACCTTTCCAATCTTGTTCGTAGAGAAGAGGATGGCCATCTTTTTTCCCAGGTGAATATTGATGTATCTGAACGTATTTATTGTTTTACTTTCTAAATTGATCTTTTCTTTGCCACACAACTGGGAGTATCAGGGCATAACACAAACTCCTAGTTATTTTAAAGTCATGTCTTAATATATAAAATGAATGTATTCTTATATAGGTTGCCTCTAGTAATTATATAACTTTTTGTTAATTATGTATGATTTTTATTATTGGACTAAATTATGATTTGGGGAATACAGTCACACATGTTCACAAGTTTTGATTTTATGTGAAATATAGTAGCTGATGAGCATTAATTTTAAATGAACTGTGCCCCAATAGTATGACTCTTTCTATAAGATGATGGTGACAGATAGTTGATCATGTAGAAGTATACATGCTGCCTTGAATAAGGAAGCTGCAAATGCACTTAACTTTGTTGTCTTGGCTAGGAAGACACAGTATTTTACATTTCCTGTTATGTCATGCAGAAGAAAGCATTTCTTTTGGTTTTGTTTTGTTTTGTTTATGGAGACACAGTTCGCTCTGTCACCCGGGCTGGAGTGCAGTGGCAGTGGCATGATCTCGGCTCACTGCAACCTCCGCCTCCTGGGTTCAAGTGATTCTCCTGCCTCAGTCTCCCCAGTAGCCGGAATTACAGGCATGCACCGCCACGCCCGGGTAATGTTTTGTATTTTTAGTAGAGACAGGGTCTCACCATGTTGCCCAGGTGGCCTCACACTCCTGAACTAAGGCAATTTGGCCACCTCGGCCTCCCAAAATGCTAGGATTACAGGCGTGAACCACTGCACCCAGCAGGAGAAATCATTTTTAACAAACTTCTAATGCTATCTTTCAATGAGATCATAGTTAGAGATACAATTTTGGTATGTGTTTACATATCCCCTTTGTTCTTTTATATCTGGGAGCATTCCTCTTATTCTCTTTTTAAATTTCTGTCTAGTGATTTGCCACATATATTAAAATATATTAAAATCTTAATATCTGATCTGCCATAGATTAGATCTAAAAATAATAAAGATTTGGGGTGAGTGCAGCCAGTAGGCTCTGTTGATGCTGCTGCTACAGGGGAGACATCAGAGCCTCGTTAGCAAGAGAAACTAAGCCAAAGGACTTTGATGGCCATGGAGAAAAAAGAATAACTTAGCTTTCCCTATCTTAGTGTTTTTCCCTAAAAGAAGCAGCACAGCCGGGCGCGGTGGCTCACTCCTGTAATCCCAGCACTTTGGGAGGCCGAGGCCGGCGGATCATGAGGTCAGGAGATTGAGACCATCCTGGCTAACACGGTGAAACCCCGTCTCTACTAAAAGTGCAAAAAATTAGCCAGGCATGGTGGTGGGCGCCTGTAGTCCCAGCTACTCCGGAGGCTGAGGCAGGAGAATGGCGTGAACCTGGGAGGCGGAGCTTGCAGTGAGCCGAGATCGCACCACTGCACTCCAGCCTGGGTGACAGAGCGAGACTCCGTCTCAGACCAAAAAAAAAAAAAAAAAAAAAAAAAAAAAAAGAAGTGGCGTATAAAAAAGTATCTCCAATTATGAATTGCAAAACCTATAGCGAGAGACCTCAGGAGTTCCCTCTGGTGCTATAGCTTTGTAAGTTTTCAGTGATGTAGATAGATAAGATAGATGTTGTTTGTTTCATTAAAATGCTGGGCTTCTTTAGATTATCTCCTTAACGTGTCTTAGGTATTGGGATTGCAGTATAAGTTTTTCTTTGCAGAAGTAGACCATGTATATGAAATAGATTTAACAATTTATTCACATACTTTATTTTCATGTAACTAAAACGTTTTTAGTTGGATATGTTCTAAAATCTTTTTTGTAATGTTTACATTCCTGAGTTTTTTCAGCACCTCTGAGAAACTGTATGAACCTGTTTATTATTTTAAACAGTATTGTGCTTTCTTGCCCTTATGTTCATATGATTTATACATGTAAATGTGTTTCTTCAGCTTTTGGACATGCTTAAATTCTATACTGGTTTTGAAATTAATGACCAAACTGGAAATGCTCTGACAGAGAATGAGATGACCACAATTCACTATGATAGAATTACTTCTCTACAGGTAATTAAAATACATTATAGACTGTGTATGCTCCATAAGGTTTTATCATACTGCAATTTAGGTTTTGTATAGGTACAGATTGAAAACCATGTTAATTTAATAGTGTTTTTATATTCAACATTTTTAACGTTTCTTTTTCCAATGAATTCTTGAAAAATAAGACTTTCTTTTATAACCTGTCTACATTCTGTGAATCAATATACTGATATTTGCTACTCAGAAATGTTAGTTACTGGGCCAGTTTGGTGGATTTAAATATTAGCTCTGCTGTCAGTTTTATTTTATTAAAGAGTATTTCAACATATGGCAGGGGGTGCGTAACCATTTTGCACATTTTTAAGATGAACACATATGATGGGACTGAAATTTACCAATGTAATTCAGATACGCCCAAAAAAGTATCTTCACTTGTTTTCTTTTGCTGATCTTATCTTGTTCTTGAGCTCCAGTTTCTCTGATGGCAGAAGGAAGTTTTATTTGTCAGTTTAAGGTAATCCAGCTATTTCTGTTTAAAGTAATCCAGCTATTTCTGTTTTAAAGAGTCTTTTGTTGGGGGTAAAGATTCAGTTCAAACTCTTTTGTAATCAAGTTAGCTATCTCTTAAGAGATCTCTCTTCTCCAAAGCTGGAGGCATCATGCTACTTGACTTCAAACTATACTACAAGGCTACAGTAACCAAAACAGCTTGGTACTGGTACCAAAACAGACATATAGACCAATGGAGCAGAACAGAGACGTCAGAAATAACACCACACATCTGCAACCATCTGATCTTTGACAAACCTGACAAAAACAAGCAATGGGGAAAGGATCTCCTATTCAGTAAATGGTGCTGGGAAAACAGGCTAGCCACATGCAGAAAATGAAACTGGACCCCTTCCTTACAGCTTATACAAAAATTAACTCAAGGTGGATTAAAGACTTAAAAGTAAAACCCAAAACATAAAAACCCTAGAAGAAAACCTAGGCGATACCATTCAGGACATAGGCATGGGCAAAAGCTTTATGACAAAAAAGCCAAAAGCAATTGCAACAAAAGCAAAAATTGACAAATGGGATCTAATTAAACTAAAGAGCTTCTGCACAGCAGAAGAAACTATCATCAGAGTAAACAGGCAACCTACAGAATGGGAGAAAATTTTTTCAATCTACCCATCTAACAAAGGTCTAATATCCAGAATTTATAAGGAACTTAAACATATTTACAAGAAAAAAACAACCCCATCAAAAAGTGGGCAACGGATATGAACAGACACTTCTCAAAGGAAGACATTTATGTGGCCAACGAACATATGAAGAAAAACTCAACATCACTCATCATCAGAGAAATGCAAGTCAAAACCACAGTGAGATACCATACCATCTCTCACCAGTCAGAATGGCAATTATTAAAAACTCTGGAAACAATAGATGCTGGCAAGGCTGCAGAGAAATAGGAACGCTTTTACATTGTTGGTGGGAGTGTAAATTAGTTCAACCATTGTGGAAGACAGTATGGCAATCCCTCAAGGATCTAGAACGAGAAATACCATTTGACCCAGCAATCCCATTACTGGGTATATACCCTAAAGAATATAAATCATTCTGCTATACAGGCACATGCACATGTATGTTTATTGCAGCACTATTTATAGTATTAAAGACATGGAACCAACCCATCAACGATAGACTGGATAAAGAAAATGTGGCACATATACACCATGGAATACTATGCAGCCATCAAAAGGAATGAGATCATGTCCTTTGCGGGGACACGGATGAAGCTGGAAGTTATCATCCTCAGCAAACTAACACAGGAACAAAAAACCAAACACCGCATGTTCTCACTCATAAGCAGGAGTTGAACATTGAGAACACATGGACACAGAGAAGGAAACAACACACACCAGTACCTGTCGGGGATGGGAGTTGAGGGGAGGGAATTTAGAGGACAGGTCAATAGGTGCAGCAAACCACCATGGCACATGTATACCTATGTAACAAACCTGCACATTTCCACATGTATCCCATTTTTTTTAGAAGAAAAAATAAATAAATAATGGTGTAAAAAGTGAAAAAAAAAAATCTCTGTTTTTCTTCTTTCCTACTAGGTATGTGGAGACACCAAAATAGCCTTATTGTTTTGGAAGAAGGATTAACGCAGATGTCTTTTCCTGCTTTTTTCAGAGCATTAGTGTTTTTGTCCTGTCTCTGCCCTTGAAATAACCACAGCTGGTGTGGCATGTGGTCTATTGTATTGACACAGGCAAGGCATCATTATTGCTTCCAAGGAACTTGGCTATTTGCCCTGTTGAGGAGGCCCTAACTTTGCTTGATGCTGCTAGCATTCTCCTGAGGACTGACTTGTTTATTTCCTTGTTTACACAGTTCATTCTCATGCTTGGGTTGCAGAGTCATTTTGCCATTGTGTGTAGTAATCTCATAATCCCATGGCAAGCTCACTCATGGCAACCTTGGCAACCTTCTGTGTCATCCACCATGGAACACATGAAAACTTCCGGATCTTTTCTGTGCCATGTGGGCATCAAGGAAGACAGGGATATTATTTCAATCACTCTGTTGTTAAATCCCAAGGAAGACTAGGGATATTATCTCAGTCACTCTGTGCAATACTACTATTTCTGTTTTCTTACAGCTTACCCTATGTTGGTTGAGAGTGCTACCCTGTGAGGTCTTTTCCCAGAGTTCCAAACAAAAGCAAGGCACAAGCATAAGTTTTTTGGTCTCTCCTTCCAAGTTCTCTGCAGCCAGAGTTTCCCTTGGGACTTTCTTTTAGTCTTGTTCGACCAGTTCTTGATAATCAAGTGTGTATTTGTTTTTTGCTCCTCTTCTGTCAATAAAGCTAGCCTTTGTGGCTATTTTGTATATATTGAAAATCCTTTTAGATGTCAAAAGCTGAACGCCAACTTTATGTTTTTTACATTTCTGTTATGACAGTTGTAGTTTTTTCTCTTTTTATTATATGCTTCTGTCTGATTAAGGTAGAGGTCACATAAAAGAAGCATATAAGAGACAGAAATGCGTTAATATTTTTATAAAATATTTTCATTCTTAAATAGTAGATGTTTATATTAATATGTAGACATTAATTATTAATATTTTTTGCCATTATTTTCTAGAGAGCTGCTTTTGCACATTTTCCTGAACTCTATGATTTTGCCCTCTCAAATGTGGCAGAAGTAGATACTCGGGAGTCCTTGGTCAAGTTTTTTGGACCTCTTAGGTAAGACAACATGAAAAACTATATATTCTTTTTTTGTATCATGCTCCCTCAATTTTACTTTTCTTTATTGCTTTTAATCATTTTGCAGTACTTTAGATAATATTACTTGTTATTTCACTCTTCGTTGACGTCTACAACTAGTGCTTCTCTCCAGCAGTTTGGTGTCTTTGTCACTTACCCACGTTTGGTAAAGTTTCTGTTTTTTATGACGTATACAATTTTCTTCGATCTGAAATTTTTCTCAGAGTAGAATATAAAGCTGGTCAATCTCATCAGTCATAAACGACATATGACAAAAACCAATAAAGATTCATTATGTGTGATATTAGAGGTGTGACTTAGGGAAATTTTTGCATGTTTAAAATTTATAAAATTAGTAATATCCTCTGGCAGTTAGCTATCTGCTAATATATCCTTTTGAAAATAGTAATAATAATGGCATACATTTATTTACTATGTGATAGACGTTCTGTTAAGTGTGTAAACAACTCTGAAAACATTCATGCTAGAAGTAGGTACCATTTTACGTATAAGGTATCTGGGGCATAGAATAGTTAAGTAATTTGCCTAGGTTACACAGCAAGTAAGTGGCAGAGATACAATTTAAACCCGGATAGTGTGATTTCCAAGCCCTAACTTTTAACTACTATACTGTATCATCTCCCAGCTCTTGGGATAAATTATGTTTAGTTCCTTGACTATTTAAAATGTAATAAACTGAGGTTGGTTTGGTTGTTCATTCTCATATGAGGATTTAATATAATTAATAACACATAGATTCATTTCATTATTTTAAATAACTACATAGAGTTCCATTAAACAGGACCAGCATACTATTTTTTTATTTTTTTATTTATTTTTATTTTATTTTATTTTTTTGAGACGGAGTCTCGCTCTTTCGCCCAGGCCAGACTGCAGTGGCTCACTGCAAGTTCCGCCTCCCGGGTTCACGCCATTCTCCTGCCTCAGCCTCCTGAGTAGCTGGGACTACAGGCGCCCGCCACCACGCCCGTCTAATTTTTTGTATTTTTAGTAGAGACGGGGTTTCACCGTGTTAGCCAAGATGGTCTCGATCTCTGACCTCGTGATCTGCCCGCCTCAGCCTCTCAAAGTGCCGGGATTACAGGCATGAGCCACCGCGCCCGGCCTTATTTTTTTAAAAGTTAATCTCCTATTGGTGAGTCTTTTTTTTTGTTTTTTTTGAGACGGAGTCTTGCTCTATTGCCCAGGCTGGAGTGCAGTGGTGCGATCTCGGCTCACTGCAACCTCTGCCTCCTGGGTTCAAGTGATTCTCCTGCGTCAGCCTCCCGAATAGCTGGGACTACAGGCACACGCCACCATGCCCAGCTAATTTTTAGTAGCAAAGATGGGGTTTCACCATGTTGGCCAGGCTGGTCTCAAACTCCTGACCTCAGGTGATCCTGCCTCGGCCTCCCAAAGAGCTGGGATTAGAGGCATGAGCCACCGCTCCTGGCCTCCTTTTGGTGAATCTTTAATTTTTAAGTTTTGGCTTTTACAAACAGTTCTGCAATGAGCATCCTTTTCGTACTGATTCCTAGAAGCAGAATGGCTGATTCAAACGGGGCATGCGTTTAAAACTTGTTACATATTGCTAAATTTCCTTCAGAAAAGACTATCAATTTACACTTAAACTAACAGCGTATGAGGATTTATTTTTCTCCCTACTAATGCTGGGTAAATTGGATTTTAATTTTTTCTATTTTTATCTCATTTTACTTTGCATTTCCCTGATCTTATTTGGGAAATTAAGCATTTTTCTGTTTTTTTCTTGGCCATTTACATTTCTTCTGTAACCTTCTTATTTTCCTTTGCTATTTTGCATTTCATTGCTTGTCATCTTACTGATTTTAAAGAACTTTTAATATTTTTGGTCCTAATCCCTTTGTCTAGTTTGTGTTGCATTTATTTTCTTTCAGTTTAACTTTGTTTGTAACATCTTTTGTCATTACAGATATTTTAAATTTTTTAATGACAACTGTCATTCTTTTTAATAACTATATTAGATGCTTTATGTAGAAGTCCTTCTCACCCTAAGGTTATAAAATGTTTTCCTATATTTTAAAAATACTTTTATTGCCTTTTTTTTTTTTTTTTACATTTAGCTTAGCTGCATAGTTCATCTGGGGTATTTATTTTTGTCCATAGACATCCTTTACACTCTTAAAAATTATTGAGGATCCCAAAGAACATTTATGTGTATTATATTCATTATATTCACTATAGTAGAAATAAAAACTGGAAAGATTTTAAACATTTATTAATTCATTTAAAAATATCAATTGAGGCCGGGTGTGGTAGCTCACGCCTATAACCCCAGCACTTTGGGAGGCTGAGGTGGGCGGATCACCTGAGGTCAGGAGTTCGAGACCAGCCTGGCGAACATGGTGAAACCCCATCTTACTAAAAATACAAAAATTAGCCACGTGTGGTGGTGCACGCCTGTAATCCCAGCTACTTGGGAGGCTGGGGCAAGAGAATGGCTTGAACTTGGGAGGTGGAGGTTGCAGTGAGCCAAGATCGTGCCACTGCACTCCAGCCTGGGCAACAGAGTGAGACTCTGTCTCAAAAAAAAAAAAAAGTATATTGATTGAAATCTATTATATGTTAGCCATATGTATTGCTAATGAAAAACATATTCTCCAAAATGAAAAAAATGCACCATTAAAAGAGTGTCATTGTTTTACATTTTTGTGACTGATTTAATTGAAGACAGATTTGCAGATCTCCTTCTGGATTCAGTTTGTTGTGAGATATTGTTTTGGTTGAAGTAAATTAAGAAAATTTGGCCTTACACAGAGGGAAGTGTATTTTGATAAGCTTTATCAAATAATTGGGAATGTTCTTCTTTAATACTCTATGAAAACTTGACAAGTGGTAGTTTCTTTAAAAATTAGTTTCAGAGTAGAATCTGAAACCATGTAAGGAAGTCTGTACAATTAAAATGAATTAATCTGAAAAATTAGAAGCTAGGTCTTGCTTATGGATAAGAGGACCCAAGGTGTGAATCCTTCCCAAATTAATCTATAGATATATTTTAATTCCAATCATAATTCTAGCAGGATATTTTATAGAAATTGACAAACTTATTTTAAAAATAACATGGAAAGGCAAAGGAACTATAATAACCCAAACCATTTTGTAACAGAACAAAGTTGGAAGATTTCTACTAATTTCAAAACTTGCAGTAAAGCTATAGTAATCAAGACATTATGGTATTGATACATGGATAGATGTATAGATCAATGGAATAGATTAGAGTCCAGAAATAGACCATACCTATATGGTTAGTTGAGTTTTGACTAATGTGTCAAGGCAACTCAGTAGAGAAAGGATTTCATCAATGGTGCTGAAACAATTAGATATCTATATGCAAAGTATGAACATTGACCCATACCTTGCATCATATACATAAATTAACTCAAATCGGATTATAGACCTAAATGTCAAAATTAAAACTTCTAGGAAGTATGGGAGAAAATTTTTGTGATCGTGGGTTTGTGCAAAGATTTCTATAGACACCAAAGCACAATCCATAATGGAAAAAAAAATGATGAATTGGACTTGATCAAAACTAAGAGACTTCTGCTCTTTGAAAGACATTGATAAGAGAATTAAAAAACACGCTACAGCCTAGGAGAAAATATTGGCTAAATGGGTATTTGATGAAGGAATAGAATCCAGAAATCTCAGAACTCAATACAGCAGCCCCCTACTTTCCGCAGGGGATGTGTTCCAGAACCCCAGTGGATGCCTGAAACTGTAGATTGTACTGAACCCTATATATACTGTGTTTTTACATGTAATGTAAAAACCTATGATAAAGCTATGAAGTAGGCACAGTAAGAGATTAACAACAATAATAATAAGAGAACAGTTATAACAATATACTATAATAAAAGTTATGCGAATGTGGTCTCTCTCTCAAGATATCTTATTCTACTATACTTAACTATTTCCAGACTCTGGTCAACCATGAGTAACTGATATTAGGGAAAGTGAAACCACAGATAAGGGGGGACTCCTATAATAATAAAACAATTTACAGGTGACAAAAGATTTGAACAGACACTTGACCAAAGTAGGTAGATAGATGTCAATAAGCCCATGGAAAGATGCTTAACATGTTTAGTCATTGGGGAAATGCAAATTTAAACCATAAGAAGATACTACATACCTATTAGAATTTGTTTTTTTTTTAATGGATAAGGCCAGGCACAATGGTTCACGTCTGTGATTCCAGCACTTTGGGAGGCTGAGGTGGAAGGATGACTTGTCTACTAAAAATCAAAACAATTAGCCAGGCGTGGTGGCACATGCTTGTAATCCCAGCTACTCAGGAGGCTGAGATAGGAGGATTGCTTGAGCCCAGGAGATCGAGGCCGCAGTGAGCTATATCTTGCCACTGTACTTCAGCCTGGATGACAGAGTAAGACCCTGTCTCAACAAAACCAAAAAAACAAAAAACAACCCCAAAACGGATAATATTGACTCTTGGCAAGGATGTGGAGCAATTGGAATTCTCATAATTGCTGGTGGGAATTCAAAGTGGGATAGCCACTTTGGAAAAATTTGAGTTTCTTATAAAGGTAAACATGAACTTAACATTATGATCCAGTATTTTCCACTTACAGATATATTCAAGAAAAGTGAAAACTTATGTTCACACAAAAATATGTACAAAAATGAATATAGTTGCTTTATTCAAAATCGTCAAAAACTGGACTACACAAATATCCCACAACTGTTGAATGAATAAACATACTGTGATACAGCCGTATCATGAAATACTGCTCAGCAACGTAAAGGAACCAACTACAGATAAATATACAGTGTGGGTGAATCTCAAATGCTCAAATGCATTATGCTAAGTAAAAGCAGCCATTCAAAAGGCTACCTACCTAAGACCAGGCATGGTGGCTCACACCTGTAATCCCAGCACTTTGGGAGGCCAAGGCAGGCAGATCACTTGAGCTTAGGAGTTTGAGACCAGCCTGGGCAACATGGTGAAACCTCGTCTCTACCAAAAATACAAAAATTTAGCCGAGTGTGGTGGTGGGCACCTGTGGTTCCACCTATTCGGGAGGCTGAGGTGGGAGGATTGCTTAAGCCCGGGAGGTGGAGGTAACAGTGAGCTGAGATCATGCCACTGCACTCCAGTCTGGGCAACAGAGTGAGACTCGTCTCAAAAAACAAGCAAGAAAAAAGACTACCTAATGTGTGATTCCATTTATTTGACCTCCTGGAAAAGATAAAATTACAAATAGAAAACTGATTATGGTTGCTGGGCTGGGATGGAGAGGAGGATTTGCTATAAATTAGCATAAGGGATTTTGGGGAGGTGATGAAACCAGTTAAATAGTGGAAAGCTATGAAGCTCATGGTGGCAAATACCAGTTTTCCAAAATTCTAATTTTTCACGTTCACATGGAAGTTCAAATTTTATCATTGACAGCAAATACTGATAGTTGTTTTCCTTGAAATTATAGTCTTATTTCATTCAAAATTTGAAATTTGAAAAAAAATTGGCCATTTGTCCAAGGCTGGTATAAACAGTTTGTCATTTTTTTTTTTTTTTTTTTTGAGATGGAGTCTCGCTCTTTTGCCCAGGCTGGAGTGCAGTGGTGCAATCTCGGCTCACTGCAACCTCTGCCTCCTGGGTTTAAGCGATTCTCCTGCCTCAGCCTCCTGAGTAGCTGGGACTACAGGCGCTCACCACCACGCCTGGCTAATTTTCGTATTTTTAGTAGAGACGGGGTTTCACCATATTGTCCAGGCTGATCTCAAACTCCTGACCTTGTGATCCGCCCACCTCGGCCTCAAAGTACTGGGATTACAGGTGTGAGACACTGCACCCGGTCCAACAGTTTGTTGTTTTTTAAAGTAAAAGTTGTGTGCAAAATATGTACTTCCCATTTTGTCACAGAATTTAAAATAAAACAGGTACTCGAGTCCAAATTTAATAGTATTAATTTTTTTTTACTGCTTCATCAAGGACATTCTTAAATAAAACTGTGAAACAATGTCTTAGTATTGTTATTATTATTGTTATTATTTTTGAGACGGAGTCTCGCTTTGTCGCCCAGGCTGGAGTACAGTGGCGCGATCTCGGCTCACTGCAAGCTCCGCCTCCCGGGTTCACGCCATTTTCCTGCCTCAGCCTCCCGAGTAGCTGGGACTACAGGCGCCCGCCACCACGCCCGGCTAATTTTTTGTATTTTTAGTAGAGACGGAATTTCACCATGTTAGCCAGCATAGTCTCGATCTCCTGACCCCGGGATCTGCCTGCCTCGGCCTCCCAAAGTGCTGAGATTACAGGCCTGAGCCACCTTGCCCTGCCGGTATTAATATTTAAAAGTGTTCTTGGGGACTGCCCAGAAGGATCTTGGGTACAATGAGAGGTTTGCAGAAAATATTTTGAGAACCCTGCACTAAAGCCTTAATTTTCATTGCTGGTTTTTGATATTTGCTGCCCATGTCATAGTATTATATTTGCTTTTTTAAGCTATTTGTAAAAATACATGTTTCAAAAGTGAAGTGAAGTAAGTTACTATGAATAAAATATTGTTCTCTATTCTGCAGTTCAAACACACTCCACCAGGTGGCATCATACCTCTGCTTGTTGCCAACTCTTCCTAAAAATGAAGACACAACTTTTGATAAAGAATTTCTTCTAGAATTGCTGGTAAATATTAATGTTCTCTGAATTTTGCATGTGGTTTTCCTTGCCTTTTAAAGTCATTCTTAAAGATGTAGGTTCATATAGATTTTTTTGTGGGCCAAAGATTAGGCAGATAATTCCCATTTTGTTTTTGGAATTGTATTATCATTTGATTTTTTGTTTTCTCATCTTTCGAATTTCTTTACTCAAGTATTTTATCTCTTCGAACTACTTTCTGGATGAATCATTCTATTAGCAACTATTTATATGCAAATCACTTTCATTGTCTCTTTCAGTTCCTAAAAATTCCTGTGCTATTTTCTGACAATGTAAAACCTCTCATGAGTAAGGTTTTTGGAATTAATAATAACTCTTTGCAATAGAAAGAAATGAGGATTTTTTTCAGGAATTCTTCTTCTTTTTTTGTTTTTTTGTTTGTTTGTTTGTTTTGTTTTTTTGATACCGAGTCTCTCTCTGTCGCCCAGGCTGGAGTGCAGTGGCGTGATCTCAGCTCACTGCAACCTCTGCCTCCCAGGTTCAAGTGATTCTCGTGCCTCATCTTCCCGAGTAGCTGGTATTACAGATGTGTGCCACCACTCCCAGCTAATTTTTGTATTTTGAGTAGAAGATAGAGTTTCGCCACGTTGGCCAGGCTGGTCTTGAACTCCTGGCCTCAAGTGATTGACCCACCTCAGCCTCCCAAAGTGTTGGGTTACAGGCATGAATCACCGTGCCCAACCTGTTTTCAGGAATTCTTCTAATGGAAAATAAGTTTGAGGATAACGTTGATCCTGTGCCTATTAAGGTCTTGTGGCTAGAATTTTATTCCTAAAATTTAAATAGTTCCAACAAAAGAAAATAATTTTTAAAATGTATAGTGCTACAACATTATGTTTTGTTTCCTCCCTTCCCTAAAGGATTTCCCCAGGCTTTGGATTCTTCTACTATTCAATTTATGATCAAAAAGTTAAAACATACATATTGTTTAGATATCATGATTTTTTCTATAATTATACTATCTTCACTGAAGAGAATGTGATACATTTTAAGAATATGTCATTTTAGCATTATTAGATAAACACTTATTTTTCTTTTTCTTTCTTTTTTTTTTTTTTTTGAGATGGAGTCTCACTCTGTCCCCCAGGCTGGAGTGCAATGGTGCAATCTCGGTTCACTGCAACTTCCGCCTCCCGGGTTCAAGCAATTCTCTTGCCTCAGCCTCCTGAGTAGCTGGGATTACAGGTGTGCACCACCACGCCCAGCTAATTTTTGTATTTTTAGTAGAGATGGGGTTTCACCATGTTGGTCAGGCT
Organism: Homo sapiens; assembly: GCF_000001405.40. NCBI lineage: Eukaryota > Metazoa > Chordata > Mammalia > Primates > Hominidae > Homo > Homo sapiens. Next base: position 34,919,042 of record NC_000015.10, on the reverse strand, counting down.
AGTCTTGAACTCCTCACCTCAGGTGATCCACCTGCTTCAGCCTCCCAAAGTGCTGGGATTAAAGGCATGAGCCACTGCACCCGGTGTAACACTTATTTTCATATTTGAGATAGATTATTAATATTAAGGGTACACAGAGGTCATCATGGAAAGGAACATAGAGTGAGAAGACTAGGGTGATAGATTAATAAACTTTCCCAGATGGTATAGCTAGTTAGTATAAGAATGAAAACTATAGTCCAAAACCTAGAGCTCCTATTTTTTCCTACATTGATTAATGCTAAGTGTCATGGTTTTTAAACCCTTGGCATGTGCCAGGGACTTTGACACTATTTCATATTTCATTGGAAACTTGAGATGTGTGGCACTTTATCTGTTTTAGTGAAAAGGAAACTAAGGTTAGGAAGGTTAAAGTAACGTGCCCAGCTTTTACAGTACTCATAAGTAGAGGAGCTGGGATTTGAACTCAGGTCTGTCTGATTCCAAAGACCATTACCATTGGTTTGTTTCTCATCTTTGATCTATGGAGAAAATAGGAAAAGAAAAAAAAATCGCTTGTTGAACTGCTACAATAACTGATAGGCATGAAACTTCTTCCATAAATTATTTTGATTGAAAAAAGATGCTTCTAACCTTCTGCATGAACTTGTTTCCTTTATTTTAGGTATCTCGTCATGAACGTCGAATTTCTCAGATTCAGCAGTTGAACCAGATGCCTTTGTATCCAACTGAGAAAATTATATGGGATGAAAATATTGTCCCAACTGAGTACTATTCTGGAGAAGGTATGGTAAAGAAGTATGGATTCAGCTGTACAATGAAACAATTTCAGATTTATCATATATAATTGGCAATTATAGGCAGTGTACTTGAGTCTACTCTGTACATTAGGATAATTTCCTGGTGCCCAGAAGTTAACTTTAGAAGCTAGAAAAGATTTAGTATTTTGAATGCTTTAGCACTAAGGGTTTTTATTAAATTTAACTATACACATATCACCCTGTAAAAAATACGACCATAAAGCCCTAAGACTGTTTTGGTTTTTTTTGTTTGTTAGTGTGAGACAGGGTCTTGCTCTGTCACCCAGGCTGGAGCGCAGTGGTGCAGTCTCAGCTCACTGCAGCCTCAGTCTCTGGGCTCAAGTGATCCTCCCACTTCAGCCTCCCGAGTACCTGGGACCACAGGCGTGCACCACCACACCCAGCTTTTTTTTTTTTTTTTTAGTAGAGACAAGGTCTCGCCATGTTGCTCAGGCTGATCTCGAACTCCTGAGCTCAAGCGATCTGCCCACCTCAGCCTCCCAAAGTGCTGGGATTATAGGTGTGAACCACTGCAGCTGACCATAAGACTGTTTTCAAGGAGACCTTATAATGCATGAAGTATAGCTTTCATTTTGTCACTATGATAGGCTGTGTTTGATAGAGCTTTTGTTTTTCAAAGGCTTTTCTTAGGGGCTCTTTTGAATTCTATGTAAAGCAGGTAATGATCACCAAAAAAAAGACATTATCATTTATTGATAGTAAACCCTTAGTGTTGATCCAAAATGGTATTGCCTAGTTTGTTCACTTATTTCCCCAGATTTGGATCTAAACACTTTTCACGCATCCTCTGAGGATGAGAATTTGCCACAACTGAGTATATGCAAAAGTGCATTCAGATATACTTTGAAGGTATATTTCAAAAGAAATTTCAGGACTTTTTTGAACAATGGCATCATTAGTAGAAGAAATGTGACTGTTTTAAAGACATCACAAGTATAAGTATTGGTATATTTACTTAAAATGGTTAATCTAAGACATATCCTAGAGCCATAACTCCGATAGACCCAGTGCACTAATATTGTGCTAGATTTCAGAACATAGGCAGTCTTCATATCTTTTTATGTTCTTACAGTGGTTAATATGTTGCTTTCTCATGTCTAGGGATGCACACCTGGATGATAAAACTATAAAGAAATTCAAGATAGCGATTGCTATAAAAGTCAGAAAATAGTTACTTTCGGGTAAAGGGAAGAAGCTGTAACCAGGAAAGGGCACATAGGAGTATTCTGGGATAGCTGACAAGGTGGTTACAAGGTTTCATTAAAAAAATGTCTTTTACTTTACTGGTACCTTCTATACATCCCTTTTTTTCTTTCTTTCTTTTTTTTTTTTTTTTTTTGTTCTGCTGAAGAACTTGAGTTGTTTGATCATAGAGTTCCCGTAGTCTATAGATTTTTCTGATTGAATACTCATGGTATATTGCAGCATGTTCCTCTGTTCTTTATTTTTCTTGCAAATTAGTACCACCTTGTGCAGAGGCTTGATCAGGCTAAGGTTATCCTTGGCAAGATTCTTGGTGGTGGTGTGTTCTTTCATCAGGAGGCACATACTATCTACTTGTCTCTTTTTTTGTGCTATTAGTAGCTATAGATATTTAACACCTAGATTTGTTAATTCAGTGAGTGTTGCAAAGTGGTGACATTTTAGTTGTCATTTTTTTAAATAAAAATGTGCTATTGAAAGAAATTGAGTTAGATTACAAGTCAGAGTTTACTAATATAAATAATGTTAAATTTTTGTACATCAATGTTTGTTGTATTTAAGTTTATTTTTTTTTTTGGTAGTATGGACAACAATGATGAGACTATGACTTATCAGTAAAATGTGTTCTGGGATTTTTTAAAACCTTTTTGATATTGCAGCTCAGTGGTCACTTATTGTCTAAGAGAAATAGTGTTAAGTGAGAATAATGAAAAGGGGGAGTCTGGAATAACATACAAACAATGTCTGGTCCTTAAAGTTTAGCCAGAAGGCAAGTTCAGAGCACAATAATAATCATTGGAGATTGATTTATGCAATGTAACATAATAATTCAGTGTTCATGCTAAATTTTGTCATGGGCTAAATTTATGGTAACATTATTCACTTCAGTATTTTGCCAAATATAAATTAGGTGATAAGGGAAGAAGTTTTAAACTACTTGAGACTGTTAGTACAAGTATCTTTAAATACTTTGAAGGAGTACTGTTTACATACAGATCACTCATATGCAGATTACATGTATTAATAAAACTCATCCTTCACCCCAATTCTCTCTCTTTTTTTTTTTTTATTTGAGACGGAGTTTTGCTCTTGTTGCCCAGGCTGGAGTGCAAGGACATGATCTTGGCTTCCTGCAACCTCTGCCTCCCGGGTTCAAGTGATTCTCCTGCCTCAGCCTCCTGAGTAGCTGGGATTACAGGCGCCCGCCATGACACCCAGCTAATATTTTGTATTTTTAGTAGAGATGGGGTTTCACTATGTTGGCTAGGCTGTCTCAAACTCCTGACCTCAGGTGATCCACCGGCCTCGGCTTCCCAAAGTGCTGGGATTACAGGCGTGAGCCACCGTGCCCGGCCTCACCCCTAATTCTTAATAGCCAACATTTATTAATCTGGTTTTAACATCTGTGTGAAAACAAAAATAAGTTGTTATCAGATATGCTGCATTTCAGGCATTCATTAGATTCTTATAGTTTTGAGGTGCCAGTTTTTTAATACAGAGAACAAATATCTGATTAAAAGAATAATTCAGGCCGGGTGCGGTGGCTCACGCCTGTAATCTCAGCACTTTGGGAGGCCAAGGTGGGCAGATCACAAGGTCAGGAGTTCGAGACCAGCCTGGCCAACATAGTGAAACCCTGTCTCTACTAAAAACACAAAAAATTAGCCAGGCATGGTGGCAGGTGCCTGTAATCCCAGCTACTCAGGAGGCTGAGGCAGGAGAATGGCTTGAATCTGGGAGGCGGAGGTTGCAGTGAGACGAGATTGTGCAGGTGACAGAGTGAGACTCCGTCTCAAAAAAAAAAAAAAATTGAAATATGGATGTTTTTTTCCTTTTCAGGTTGTCTTGCTCTTCCCAAATTGAATTTGCAGTTTTTGACTCTTCATGACTACCTGCTAAGGAACTTTAACCTCTTCCGCTTAGAATCAACTTATGAAATTCGTCAGGACATTGAAGATAGTGTCAGCAGAATGAAGCCATGGTTAGTAAATTGGTTCCACCTGTAATGAAGAGATGCAAACAGTGACTGATAAACTTCTGTCAGAAACCTTATAAGTATATTTAGAAATAATATACTGAGACAAAAGTGCCCTCTAAAATAGGAGATATTTACTCTTTGAGACATTTTTAAATGTGAATTAACATACATCAAAAGTGCTAAAATATAAACCACATATCTGGGTACTTGGGAATGGGAGTGGGAGACTGGGGATAAGGGAGAAGAAGTCGTCATGCTCAAGAAGGGAAGGGGGAAATGTAGAGGGAGTAGGTCAGACCTTACTTAAAGGCCGATTGGAAGGCTAGGGGTTGGCCAAGCAGGCCCGTACTAGGTCAGAACAGTTTAAGTCCTGGAGGAAGCTTATGATAAAGGGGTGTACCATTAATCCACCTACTCTTGTCACTGTTGCCACAGTATTCTCAGGCAGCCTCTCTAGGGGAATGGACAGAGGATTAGGGCTGTTGCTGCACATTGCCCGGGGTGGTACATTAGAAAATCTCTGTCTCTCTACCCATAGATTCTGTGGAAGAAAGTAAATCACCAGGATTTACTTTTAGGGCCAGTTGAGTTGGTCTTGTTATTTGAGGAATTCTTCTGCATAAACTCCACTCCCCACCTGCTAGCTCATGTCTGAAATTCCTTTAGCTAAGAAAAGTCTTTCATTCTGGTAATTGTAGCAGCTCTGCATTACAAGAATTTGTAAGGTTAATTTGGTTTTATAGATATGGCTGACTTGAGGCAAATGCTCTTTATTCACTATTTCATTCACAATTTCATCAAGTATGAAATTGATGGATGTAAGTTATACATCACAAGTGATTATAAATGAGTAAAATACTATGAGATGGATTTTTATTACATTATATAATAGGACACCATGTATACATACACGATTATACTGCATTTTATGTGAAAAGCTGAACAGCTTTGGAATGTGAACTGATTCAGGTATCTTCCAGGCTTCTGCTTACTAATTATGGAGAGCTACCACAGACACTGTGATTATGATCTATTTTTTCACTTCCATGTTTTATTTCATAGAGAGTTCTATTTTTTAATTAATTGTTATGTGAAAAGTTATTCTGGGTGAGACTATAAAATACAACACAAAGCATTTTTGACTTAATAATCAGTTGAGTCAGTAGGCAGGCAAACACTGTGAAATTTGTATACCCACTGGCTGATCATTCCTGCCCACAGCTTTGCTGAAATTGTTGCCCATTGTTTGCACCCTAGGGGAGTGCTTGATCAGAAAACTTCTTTACAATTTATGGTTACCTTGAGTTTATATGCTCAGATTCTGGGCCTAATTTTGGCCATTTTGCAGACTAGCGATTTATTAACTGGCAGTTCAACAAATAGAATTCATTTATATTTTACTTAAATGCCAAGTGCAACAAAAATACTTTGAGTTCTTTTGGTCTGTTAATAAAAAAAATTTTTTTTAATTATACCATTTTCTGGCTGGGGAAGAAAATGTCACTTCTTGGAGTTAATTCATTCACACTGGTAATAATAGATTTTTCTAAATTTACATTTTTAATGCCCATCATTGAAAATTATTAAAAATGTCGAAACCTAAAAGGGGGCCAGGCTTCTTTCTGTTTCATGTATCTTGAAGATGAAAACCAGCAGAGGCATTTTTACTCATTACATGGTTCCAATGATTATGTTTTCAGGGTGCTGAAGCCCACTAACCAGCAGTAAGAGAGGATGTGCTTAAGGGCCAGAAATCTATACTTTTTAATGCTTCAAGTAGATTTTATAAGAAGAGAAAGGGGTAAGAGGAGTAGATTAGCGGTTGCTTGGGTTTGGTAACAGGGATTGACTGCAACTGGACAAGAGGGATCTTTTTAAAGATGATGGAAATGTTCCACAACTGGATTTTGTGGTGATGGATGCACAACTCTGTAAATTTACTGAGAACTATGGACTTGTATATTTATAGTGGATAAATGTTATGGTATGTAAACTATACTGCATTAAAGCTGTAAAAAATGGAGGAGGTGATAGGAAGTTGTTTCACAAGGGTTTAGCCACTAAGTAATTCCTTTTAGACATTGTCCCAATACTAACCAAGCCATTGATTGCAGAATTTTGTTTTTAATTAGTTTCTCTTTTTAATGTTATGAAGTGCTACAATTTTTTGTTGTGACATAAAGTCTTTACATAGGAGGCAGTTTATCTTTGTAGGTATGTTGTATTCTGCAGTACTTCATAACTTTGGAGTGTTGCTTCAGTTTTTATGTTACGTATTTCCCAAATACAACTTTTTAATATAAAAACTAAAGACTCGTTAGACTGACATAAGAAGAAAGAATGGGCATTGGGATGTTAGTGGTTCTGTTTATTACAACTAGCTTGTTTTTTTTTTTCCTTCCAATCCATAGCAACATCTTTTAAATGATTTAAATATGCTCTAAAGGAGGTTTTTACATAGATATTCTTTGTTTGCTTGTTTTTAATTTTTTTTGAAATTATAGCTTGTCCTAAAATGTATTTGAAACAGCTTATAGAAATACTTAAAATATAGAAAATAAAATATTAACAATTGAAATGGTCTTTATGAAGAGGATAAAAGGATAACAATATAAAATAAAACTAAGTAAAGAGGTCCTTCAGAAATGAAAGAGAAATAAAGACAGAAAAACAGAAGAGAACAAAAACTGAGAGAGTTTATGACCACTAGACTGCCTTACAATAAATGCTAAGGGAAGTTCTCCAAGCTGAAATAAAAAGCTGCCAATTTGTAACATGAAGAGACCCTGAATAGCTAAAGCAATCTTGATCAAGAAGAACAAAGCTGGAGACATCATACTTCCTGATTTCAAATTATATTACAAAGCTACAGTGGTCAAAACAGTATGTTACTGGCATAAAAACACATAGACCAACAAAAGAGAACAGAAAGCCCAGAAGTAAACCCACACTTGTACAATCATTTAATCTTCGATGCATGTGCCAAGAGTATACAATGGGGAAATGAAAATGGTCTTGGGAAAGCTAGATATCTACTTGTAAAAAAATGAAATAGGATCCCTATATTACATGATACACAAAAGTTAACTGAAGATAGATTGAAGATTTTAACGTAAGACCTGAACCCATGAAACTCCGAGAAGAAAACATAGGGGAAAAGCTCCATAACATTTGTCTTGGCAATGATTTTTGGGTGATACCAAAAGCATGGAGAACAAAAGCAAAAATAAGTAAATGGGGACCACATCAAACTGAAAAGTTTCTATACAGCAAAGGAAACAGTCAACAAAATGAAAAGGCAGCCTTACAGAATGGAAGAAAATATTTGCAAACCATGTGTCTGATTAGAAGTTAATATCCAAAATATGTAAGGAACTCATAATACTCAATAGCAGAAGACCAAATAACCCAATAAAAAATGGGTGAAGGACTTCAATACTATTTTTTGTAGGAAGACATACAAATGACAGATAGATGAAAAGGTGTTCCACATCACAAATCATCAAGGGAATGCATACCAAAACCACAATGAGATATTCAAACCTCACACCTGTTAGAATGGCTGTTATCAAAAGTCAAAAGATAACAAGTGTTTGCAAGGATGTGGAGAAAAGGGAACTCTTATACACTATTGGTGGGAATGTCAATTAGTGCAGCCATTATGGAAAGCAGTATGGAGGTTCCTCAAAAAATTAAAAAACAGAGCTATCATATGATCCAGCAAACCCACTTCTGAATGTTTATCCAAAGGAAATAAAATCACTGTCCCAAAGAGATGTCTGCACTCTTGTGTTCATTGCAGCATTATTCACAATAACCAAGATGTGGAAACAACTTAAGGGCTGAATGGATAAAGAAAATGTGAAAATGTGGTGTGTGTGTACATATATAAAAACACACAATGGGATATGATTCACCTTTTAAAAAGAAGGAAATCCTTTTTTTGACAACATGGATAAACCAGGAGTACATTATGCTAAATGTATTAAGCCAGATACAGATAGACAAAAACTGATTATCTCACTTTACATATGGAATCTAAAAAAGGCAAATTCATAGAAGCAGTAGAAGGGCAGTTATCAGGTTGTAGGTGGGGAAAATGGGGTCATGTTGGTCAAAGGGTCTAAACTTTCAGTTACAAGATACATAAGTTTGGAGATCTAATGTAAAGTATAGTGACTATAATTAATGTTTTATGTACTTGAAACTTGACAGGATAGATCTTAAGTATTCTTACCACACACACAAAAAATGCTAACTGTGTTGGTAATGATATCACAGTGTATACATAGTTTAAAACATCACATTGTATTCCTTAACTATATACAATTTTTATTTGTCAAGTATACGTCAATAAAGCTGAAATAAAACTAAGTGTGCTGGATTATTTATTTCTTTGATAAAATGGCTCAGCCCCAGAATGCTCTTATGTACATAGGGTTAGCTTTTTTCTTAGGTTGGAGAGGAGATATTCCTCTACTTCTCTTTCTTTTCTGGACCATGTTTGCCTGTTTCATGCTATCATATCCCTGTTTCATGCTATCTTATATACTTTGCATACTTTGAGAGTTAAAGGTTTTCTTTTTTTTAAGTTAAGAAATAAGAGTTACTAATATTAGGACTTAAATACTAGCTGAACAGTATTCCTACTTACTAGTTTTAACTTGTCTAAAAGTTGGGGATAAATTATTTTTTGTTTGAGTAATCATCCATTTCTTTGGTTTCAGGCAATCTGAATATGGCGGTGTAGTGTTTGGTGGTTGGGCGCGAATGGCCCAGCCCATTGTGGCTTTCACTGTCGTTGAAGTGGCCAAACCCAACATAGGTGAAAACTGGCCAACCCGAGTTCGTGCAGATGTTACCATAAATCTCAATGTCAGAGATCACATCAAAGATGAATGGGAAGGTAAGTTTGTATTTCAAAAAGTGACATTACCTTTTGCCTTGTTATGAACTTTCACTTAGAGCATTAACAAAGTACTTTTACTAAATGTTATCCTTTAAAGCTTTTATTAAGCGTTATCCTTGAAATTTGATTTAAAGAATAGCAACTTTTTTTCTAATTATTAGTTTTAAAAATACCAGGGATCATACAAGAATATTTAGGTATCTTAATACTTTAATAAAAAGTATAAAATTGCATACATATCAACGTTTTGAAAACTGAAGTTTGCAAAGCCTAGAGGAGAGCATTTTAAGTCTTAAATTTAGCAAAATAATATTTATGGATTTCTGGCATCAATATAAAAGAATAAAAATATTAGTGTTCACCAAAGAGCAGGGAGAAAGCCCACATATAACATACAAACATGCAGAGCAGTAAGGAAAATTGGTATTTTTCAAAAGATAAAAGTAGCCAAGGTGAAAAAAATAGAAATACATACACTTTGTGGAAAATAAAAATTAGGCAAGCTTAAAAAGAATATGTGGGGGTGGGCAGGGCTATAGTGAAACAATTCAGAAATAAATAATAGTTTATTTGCGCCTAAGGCAGAAAGGATAAAGAGTCAGTGAAGTCAAATGTAGTCAAGGATATATAATAATTGCAAAGAAATTAAAGGAGTTATTCCTCCTATTTTTGCTAGGCAAGATTTTAAGGATTAGAGTTCCATGTCAAAATTAATTTGTTTTGGAGGCAGATATGTTCAAAATTACTAAGTCCAATAGAGTTAAAACATCAATAAGACCTCTGCCAGAAGTGACATATGAACTGATTTCTAATAGGCAGTTTTATATTTTTCTCCCAGCTGTCCTGTGAGAGGTCTTACTTAAAGCCCTGTTTTGAGAAACAGTAGTCAGTAGGTTTTACCTCCTTTTACCTTCTTGGCATGCCAGAAGGAAAGGATGTCCCTTAATGGATCTGTTTTCAGAAATTATTACTACCAGTGTAGCTGTTTATAATCATGGGAACTATATCAAAGAATTCTGAAGGAATCCAGCAACAAAGCTAGCCAAATGTTTAACAAATGCCTACTGTAGCGGGTATAGTTTATGACAGATTGTTTTATAACCCTTGTATCCTTCAAAAGAGTTCCATCCTGGTATATTACTCATCTAGACTAATGTGCACCTTTATTATTGCTGAGCCTCGAGAAAGCCATTAAGTTGCTGGAGAAGGTCTCATATTTATTATTCCTTGAAGCTTAAGGAGATATTAAACACTGTGGGTAATAAACTGAGATAACTTACTGGGTACCCCCAGAAGTAGTAGATAGTTGGAATTTTGTTTATTTTAAAGGACTCTATAGGAATTTATAGATGAGAGGTCTGCATTTTGGTGTTAAGGAAAACAAAAGGATGTTTAAAAACAGGCCACTTCCCCCATTACTGACTGCTTTCAGAAGGACATGAGACAGTCTTTTTTTCTTTTAAACATCAGCCTCTGGTAGAATGAGAACTGGACAGGGTACATTTTGATGGGCAAGATAGGGCACAATAGGGTATTGTGGGATGAGTGATAATCTGGGGTATGATGGAGAGAAAAGTGTTTTATGGGAGGCCTGGGCCAAAAACCAGCCCCTATATTGATCACAGATAGGGTAGCCAAATAGAAAATGGAGTAAAAAGGAGAGATTCTGTAAACAATAATACATTTTTTTTTTTTTTAGACGGAGTCTCACTCTGTCGCCCAGTCTGGAGGGCAGTGGCACAATCTCGGCTCACTGCAACCTCCACCTCCTGGGTTCAAACAATTCTCTGCCTCAGCCTCCCGAGTAGCTGGGATTACAGGCACCCGCCACCACGCCCAGCTAATTTTTTGTATTTTTAGTAGAGACGGGGTTTCACCATCTTGGCCAGGCTGGTCTTGTGATCCACCTGCCTCAGCTTCCTAAAGTGCTGGGATTACAGGCGTGAGCCACCGTGCCCAGCTGAATATTGTTTTATAAAAGTAAATTTTAAAGATTATTAAACTAAATACCATAAAACATTCCTTTTGTCCCTTTGAAAAGGTGTGAACCTCAAGCCCTTATCTTCTTCAATATTCTCATTTAAAGTTAAGGAAACAGAATTCATGAAATGGAAATGCCAGATTTGCTCCAGAAAGCACAGCTAGGATAGGGTGGATACAAATGGTTGCAAGGAGAGAGACATATAGGATTTTAAAAAATGTGGATCTAAGATGTCCCAGAGTAAAGTGGTTTGTTTTAGGAAGGAACAAGAGGTCATCCCTCAGTGATGCCAAAAAGTAACTCCTATCTTGGGAGAGGATAAATGACTTCTCAGGACCACTTCTTTGGCTGTAAGACTTAGAAGTTTTAATGAGCTGTGCAGATCAGACATCACACAGGTAGTACAACTCAGAGAGTAGGATGATTCCCATTCATTCTCATTACTTCTCTTGCTGCTTTGCATAGAATTTATTGGGAAATAATTAAGTCAGTATTATGAATAGAGTTATTATTTCTACCTTTACCCATACTCTAACCAGTCCCCCAATTAAAACAAACCAAAATATTTTCAGTACTATTAGCCATATGCCCACATTGTTGATTTGATTTCATTGTGTTTGTTGTTAACAAGGTTGTGAGCAAGCAGACTGTTTACATTTACATTTATGTCATGTAATGGCTAACAAAAACATCAGAAATGGAATGAAGATTAAGTGGTGTAGCATTACATGCTGTGAGGTCTAATTTTATAATCCTTGTCTTCCAGTTTCTCTACTTTTAATAGAGCTGGGAAGCCATTTGAGTTCTTTATTGGGTCTAGTGACCAAGAAGCTGTGGACTCTGGCACAAGTCTCCTTTTTCTTGACATTCACTTATAAAAATGTTCACGATTTGCCAACTGAAACTGTATATATTCAGCCATCTTTCTCAAGATCATACCTGTAAACAATACTTTTTTGCCTTGATTAATTATTCTTGAGTTGACCTGTTTTAGTGAAATACAATTAGGCTGTCTTTGGAATGACACTGATAGATAGTTTAAACTGATATTAAAAACCTGCTAAATATGCTATAGATGGATTATATGCCAGCCATATTTTTGGTTACTTATTAAGATTGTTAAAAATAAGAATGATGACGAACATCCAATTTTGGAGCTGTAGCATGACTTGGAGGGCTTATTCAGTAATATATTCATGGCATGAATGTTTCTAATTTTAATATAAAGAAGTTTTCATTTCAATTAATGCTATGAAATATTGAGTATTAAAGATTATAGAAAAGCCCATAATTGTGTTACAATGCGATAATAATCATTGGTCACTCAACGGTATCTCTCTACCAAAGATAAGAGGTAGAGAGGCAAATAAGAATTTGCCTACAAAAGACTGAAAACAATGAAATTCTAATAAATGAAAATGTCTTTATATCTTACCAGGTCTTCGTAAGCATGATGTATGCTTTTTAATTACCGTACGTCCCACAAAACCTTATGGCACTAAGTTTGACCGGAGGAGACCTTTTATTGAGCAGGTTGGCCTGGTTTATGTCAGAGGCTGTGAAATTCAGGGCATGCTGGATGATAAAGGACGTGTCATTGAAGATGGTATGGTGACCTATATTTTTGAAAGAGTATGTGTATAGAATGATAAATTTCTTTGCCTTTTTCCCTTTTTGCTTCTTAGGTAATATTTTTTAGTTCTTTTACCTACTAAATTGACACAAAGGATTTTGTATCAAATATGTGTAGGGTACCTACCGTGCAGTTTTAGATATAGGTAACATGGTTTCTCACTGTGTCACACAGGCTGGAGTTCAGTGGCACAATCTCGGCTCACTGCAACCTCTGCCTCCTGGGTTCATGCGATTCTCCAGCCTCAGCCCTGCTAGTAGCTGGGACCATAGGCACGTGCGACCATGCCCGGTTAATTTTTGTAGAGATGGGGTTTCCCCATGTTGCCCAGGCTGGTCTCAAACTCCTGAGATCAAGCACTCCACTTGCCTCGGCCTCCCAAAGTGCTGGGATTACAGACATGAGCCGCCACCACACCCAGACAGTTTCAGAACTTCTATGTTAGATATTGGAAAGGACAGGATCTTTTTCTTTTTTTCCCCCCAAGACGGAGTTTTGCTCTGTCAACCAGGCTGGAGTGCAGTGGCGCGATCTTGGCCCACTGCAACCTCTGCCTCCCAAGTTCAAGCAATTCTGCCTCAGCCACCCCAGTAGCTGGGATTACAGGTGCCTGCCACCGCGCCTGGCTAATTTTTGTATTTTTAGTAGAGACAGAGTTTCACCATGTTGGCCAGGCTGGTCTCGAACTCTGGGACAGGATCTTTTGAAATCATCTTTATTCAAAGCTTTTTAAAATATGTAATACTTTACCATATTTTTTTTAAGAAACACTCTAAATATCTCTTACAGTTGTCCAAGCTTTTTTGTGTTCAATGATATATTTTTTCTTCTTAAATTTGACTATTTTAATTCATTGTAGTGGTGGTTCTTAATTGGGAACAATACTGTCCTGCGTTTGAAAATGCATAGTGATATTTAGGTTTTCAAATGACCGGGATAGAGGTGAGGAATGGCAGGCTCTTGGCATTAGGTAACTGTGAGCCAAGGATGCTAAACATCTGAACAGAAATAAAAGAAGGAATTATCCTGCATAAGATGCCAACTTTACCGCATTTAAAAACACTGCTTTACAAAATTAGTCAGTTATTTGATTTCTTATGTGTATCACTTATTATCCCTTTGAAATTCTTTCTTCTGTTGTCCTGACTTCCTTTATAATACTTATTATTAAATTACAACTGCATACATGTCTAGTGCTTATTTTACAATTTGGTTGTTGTACTTCTTTTGAAACTTTAGTCAGTTTATGCTATCTGTGGTTTAGAGATTATATCATTGCTAAACTGCTGATGATTAAGTTATTTATCTCTAGAATGAGAGGAAATAGGAGAAGGGAATGGAAAATGGATGGAATAAGCATAAGGCCACATAATGGAACCAAAGTTCGAGGTCTAAGACCCCCCCTTCCCCCCACCCCCCCCAAAAAAGAGGAGATATGTCAGAGAGGAAAGAAAAGGCTCTGGGCTTTCAACCATTAGTATCCTACATTTCTGTGTATGTGAAATTTCTTTTCATGCTGGTTATACTAGGTATGGAATGTGGAAGGATGAGAAAAGTGATGAACCTCTGTCAAATTAAGGAATTAATGAATAGAAAACTATGCCTTAAATTCTAAAATACATATATTTAATTAGAAAATATTTATTGAATACTTACTATATGTAAGGCAGTAGTGGGAGCTATGAGTGACAAAAGTAAAGATAAGTTCTTTGACTTCTAAGTACTCCTATTTTAGTTGAGTGTGTGTACAAATTATTGCAAGTCATGGTGTTGCATCGTAAACATTACATGACTGCTATGGAAGGAAATAGTAAGAATTTAGAGAAAGAAGAAAATACTTTCAGCATCTTAGAATTTGAAGTGGGTGAGTGGAGGGCATTCTACTTTGGGAAGAATGGTTGGAGTTAAGCCTGAACCATTTACTCACCATTTCTAGAAAAGAAATACTGTTAACTTATTTTGATATTTGAAAAATACATATTTTATTTAACAAACTTTTTCAAATTGTCCAGGACCTGAACCCAGACCCAATCTTAGAGGAGAATCAAGGACATTTAGAGTGTTTTTGGATCCAAACCAGTATCAACAAGATATGACCAATACTATACAAAATGGAGCAGAGGATGTGTATGAAACTTTTAATATAATAATGAGGAGAAAACCAAAGGAAAATAACTTTAAGGTAATTTGGGGGTATGTAACTAAAAGTACTATGTCATAATTTAAGTAACTTTTATGACATAAATACAGAGATATTTGGTTAGAGGAAGATTTGTTAAGAAAAAAATAATGACTGCTTTTATTTTTACTATAAGCAATCCTCTTAAACTTTTAACAAAATGATGAAATATAAAAATTTAAAGAAATTGATTTCTTAAATCTATTTTGTCTTTTGAGGAGTTTAAAAACTTAAAATATAGATGAATCCAAGTGTTATTCTAAAGGTCCACCTCCTTTTTTGCTTTTTGTATATTAGGTATTCAGTTAATGCCCTATTATGAAGTGAAGAAAACTTGCTTACTTGTTTACTGGGGCTTCTTTTTTGAATCAAAAGTAGGTATACTTCCAGGTCACTTTAAGAATACAGATATGGAATCTCAAGGCTCTGAATTACTATACGTTATAATATATTTTTACTCATTAGTAGGAAAGGGAGGTTTGGTGGCTCAAAGTTCTACTTTTAGAATAACTTTGTGGGGAGAAGAGTTTTAGTAAAGGATAGTTTTAAAAACCATTATTTGAAACTATATTATAAAACTTAAACATTGAACAGTTCTAGCATTTGATACATGTAGCTTTTGCAGAAAGAGTGCCTTTCTTTTCTCTTTCTCCCAAAGTGCAGTACTTCTTAGACATTCCTATCATTTTATTACTTTTATGTAACCCTGTTGTTGTGATTTTTTAAGAAAATCTTTTGAACAGCAGAACTTGTTCTTCATCTCTCCCTGTTGTTGAACACAAATGGAGATATCCTTAATTTCTCTTTATCTCATACTCTACCTCTAATCTATCAGTAAGTCTGATTAGCTCATCACCTCTGCTGATGCCATGTCCAGGACACCTTTATCTCTCATATCCCTGCCTCCTTTCTTGTCTATTCCTCCCCTTACACATGTCCACATAATGGCTGAATAATCCTTTTAAAATGTGAAGTATACCTTGATTTGATACCCCCACTTAACATTCTTTAATGGTTTCCCATCACATTAGAAAGTTCCTACCATAATCCAAAAGGCCCTCTCATTATCTGTCTTCTGGTGTCCTCTCCAACATCATTTTCTAACACTTTTTCCTATTCACTCCATGTCAGTCACACTGTCCTTTTTGCTGTTTTTTAAAATAATCCAAGACTTTTCACATGGTGTTCCTTTTACTTAGGTAATTATCCCCAGGTATTTACATAGTTCTTTTCCTCACCTGACATGGGCAACTGTTTTTCAATGTCACCTCCTAAGAGAAGCCTTCCCTGGCAACCTTACCTAAAGTAGCATCTTCCCTTCTCATCATTTTCTACCCTATTACCTTTATTTTTCCTCAGAGCCTGTATCATAACTGATGATTATACATTTGTTATGTATCTGAATTCTTCATTAGAAAGCAATGAAGCAAGCAAGTCTATGAGGGCAGGGTCTTTGTTTTGTCTGCCAGTGTATCCTTAGCACCTAGAACTGTGCCTGTTATATAGTATGTTCTTAATAAACATTTATTGAGTGATCGAAGGATGGAGAAATCTAAGAGTTTCCAAGTTTTATAGTACCTTTGACTGTCACAGTTGGTCAGTTTTCAGTAAATAAATCTCAGTTACTTCACTGAAAACTAAAACATTGTTTTCTTATATTCATTTGTTTGACTATTTAGTGCCTACTGTAAGTCAGATATTGTGCTAAGATGAAGCTTATGAAGATGAATCAGACACAACTTACACCTTTAGAGAAGCTAGAAATATAGACAGATGCCTACCATGAACAGTTAGAAGGTACCAAAAGCCATAAAAAGCCTGTGGATAAAAGTGTCCTGAAAGTTCAAAGGAGGCATTTAGTTTCTGATCCAAGAAAGAGGGGGAATGATTAACTTGCCTATGTTTAGGAAAAAAAGAATGCTCTTTTGGTTTCTTTGGTGTTTCATTATGTATCTGTGTAGCATCTCTCATTTATTGCCTTTTCTCTTTTCCAGTTTGTACAACCTGTCCTAATCTGGATACTTTATTTTTTGCCTAGACAGTTATAGTAGCCTCCTCTTTGTCTACCCTTGAGTCTCCTCATAGCCAGTCACCTGTTTTTCATGTTTCCTCCTACTGTGTGACACTGATCATTTTACTCTCCCTCTCAGAACATTTCTTTGACTTTCTATTCATGATGAAATAAATCAAAGCTCCTTCACAAATCTTTTACTTGAGTTCAATAAAAATGCCACTTTCCTCCATGAAACCTTTCCTAATGTTAAGTGTCCCCTGCATCCATCTCTCTGATTTACTGTGAACTTTGTTCCCACTGTATTTTGTAACATTCTTTACTATTTACCATTCTGCTGCTTTGTGTTACAGTTAAGGACATATTTTATCTTGCTACTAAAACTGTAATTTCCTTAGAGGGCAGAGCCCTGATCTTATTCATCATTGTTAGGTGAATATACTCATTTGGGTATTCATTCATTCACCCATTCCATATTTAAACTGTTCTAGATCCCTACTCTTGTGGGAATTATATTTTAGTAGGGATTAAACAAATGATAGTAGGGATAGTAGGGATAAAACAAATAACCAAGTACCTGAACAAGAGAATGTCAGGTACTGGTAAGTGTAAGAACATAAAGCAAGGCAACATGATTAAGGGTGTGATTAACATATACTATCTTATCGTTTTCAAAAGTTGTATAACAGTTATGATTTAAAAATGGTCGGTTTGGTTATTTTATTCTTTGAAATTAATAGCCTAGCCTCCAAATTTCTATATGTGAGATAGCTCACTTTGTTGAAATGATTTTTGGAAAGTCTAAGAATTTCCCTTGGCTTTTTGTAATTATTTTTGACAGCATATATGCTAACTACTATAATGACCTTTTGTTGTAGTCCTGATTCTTTCCTTCTGAAATTTTATTTGATATTTCCTTTATTTTTATCATTTTGTTCGCTTTTTTATTTCTTCTCACAGTCTTAATTTTAATATTTCTAAGTTGTGACGTTTCATCACAATTGAAGCATACATTAATGTGCTTCTGGTTGTGGGTGACTTTAGCATTAAAGAACTATGGAATATAAAGAGGGAAAAATTCCAGGAGTTACTGAGAGGAAGTATTTTCTTTAAGGGTTTGTTCTATATTGTTTTTTTTACTGCTGTGTCCACCTGAGTCTGGTTTTCATCCTACTCAATAGGAGTCAAATGGTAAATTTATTTATGTCATTCTGTCTAAGCGAACTCTTAACGGATAAACTGTTCTTGCTAAGTTTGGTCTTTTGTTTAACTCAGTGTGTGGTATCAGCTGAAAATATAGCTGTTGATTCAGTCTAGCCAAGCACCTGTCAGCCAGCGGAAAATAGCTTCTTGCTCTGAAACACTCGGGAATTCTGGATTAGTGCAGCCAGCTCTGCATTCCAGTAAGTGCAAATGTTGGAGATGTCATACTGACACAATCTTTTTCTGTCCTTTTACTGACAGGCTGTGCTGGAGACTATTCGGAACCTGATGAATACTGATTGTGTGGTACCTGACTGGCTGCACGATATCATTTTAGGTTATGGGGACCCAAGTAGTGCACATTATTCGAAAATGCCCAATCAGATTGCCACCCTTGATTTCAATGATACATTTCTCTCCATTGAGCATTTAAAAGCCAGCTTCCCTGGTCATAATGTTAAAGTAACTGTAGAAGACCCTGCTCTACAAATACCCCCTTTCAGGTAAAGTCAGAACTGGGTACGCTCCTCTCCAGCATTCTGTAGTCAATGTACGTTATGCCATCAGGATTGTTAGCTAAAGTGAGTTTTGAGTACTATATTTGGATTTTGTTTTAGCAGTCCCTACCTTCACCATACAATCACTGGGATAACTTTATTATATTTGAATCTATTTCTTACTGCAGAAGTTGTTTTAAGACCACAGTAAAAGTAGTCTAATACCTAATAAGGGATCAATAAATACTTATTGTCTGAAGAGAACTATATAAATATATTTATAGCATTTGACTAAAATATGTCTTGGCAGTTATGCATAGTCTGGTATGTTTCTCAACTAATGCAGCTGTGTGATGTTGAACTTTGTTTTTAGGAAAAAAATCTTTTTTTCTTTTAACTTTGCGTGCTTTCACAAATTTGAAATGTTCATAATATAGCTGGGTATGATGGCTCATGCATATAATCCCAGTGACTTCAGAGGCTAAGGCGGGAGGACTGCTTGAGGCCACGAATTCAAAACCAGCCTGGGCAACATAGCGAGACCCCATCTCTAAAAAAATTCAAAAAAGTAGCTGGGCATGGTGGCGCACACCTGTAATTTCAGGAACTCAGGAGGCTGAGGCAGGAGGATTGTGTGAACCCAGGCGTTTAAGTCTGTAGTAAGCTATGGTTGTGCCACTGTACTCCAGCCTGGGTGACAGAGGAAGACCTCATCTCTAAATAAATAAAATAAATACAATAGTCATATTTAATCTTAAATTAGGTCTGGTCTTAAAATTTAAGTGAAAACAGAACAAAGTACCTGAAATAATTGGTTGTTATTCCCTGAATTCCTTCATATGGATTAGTGGTAAGGCACTGAGTATACCTATGGGTGGTAGCCCACAGATTACTTTCTTGCCTAGAAATTAGAAAACACACAGCTTTCAACTGTATATATATATATATATAATAATAGGCCAGGTGTGGTGGCTCATACCTGTAATCCCAACACTTTGGGAGGTGAAGTTGGGAGGATTGCTTGAGGCCAGGAATTCCAGACCACCCTGGGCAACTGAGACCTCATCTCTATTAAAAAAAAAAAAATTAGCAAGATTGGTGTGTGCCTACAGTCCCAGCTATTCGGGAAGCTGAGGTGGGAGGATCACGTGAACCCAGGAGTGTGAGGCTGCAGTGAGCTATGATCACACCACTGCACTCTAGCCTGGGTGAGACAGAGCGAGACTCTATCCCAAAATAATAATTAATTCTACATTTTAAATATACGTATCCTTTATACACCCAAACCTAGTCTCCCTCCATACTTTCCTAATCCTATTTATGGCAAAGACATTTTTCTACTCCTGCATCTTGAAATCTCAGCATTATTTTTGAATCTTTTTACTCCCATAAAACTCCTGCTATATCTCAGAGATTCTGCCTTGAGGATAGTTTTTTGGATTTTTTTTTTGTTTTTGAGATGGAGTCTTGCTCTGTCGCCCAGGCTGGAGTGCAGTGGCGCGCCGTCTCTGCTCACTGCAAGCTCCGACTCCCGGGTTCACGTCAGTCTCCTGCCTCAGCCTCCGGAGTAGCTGGGACTGCAGGCGCCCGCCACCACGCCTGGCAATTTTTTTTTTGTATTTTTGGTAGAGACAGGGTTTCACCGTGTTAGCCAGGATGGTCTCGATCTGCTGACCTCGTGATCCACCCACCTTGGCCTCCCAAAGTGCTGGGATTACAGGCGTGAGCCACCGCGCCCGGCCAAGGATAGTTTTTTCGCTCTGTCACCCGGGCTGGAGTGCAGTGGCTCCATCTTGGCTCACTGCAAGCTCTGCCTCCCGGGTTCACGCCATTCTCCTGCCTCAGCCTCCTGAGTAGCTGGGACTACAGGCGCCCGCCACCACGCCCGGCTAATTTTTTGTATTTTTAGTAGAGATGGGGTTTCGCCGTGTTAGCCAGGATGGTCTCGATCTCCTGACCTCGTGATTCACCCGCCTCGGCCTCCCAAAGTGCTGGATCACAGGTGTGAGCCAACGCGCCTGGCCGAGGATAGTTTTTTCATGTGCCATTTGTACTGCTCCCTCTTTAGGCCCTCAGCAGTCTTTATGATAGCAAAATCTTTCCTCCCTGTCTCACCTCACTAGAATCCATTACATGGTTTACTGCTAGAGCTATTCACTGCCTAGCTAAAAAGCTGATATGCTCCTATTTCTTACCAAAATAAGTGCTGACCACTTAGCCTCATTGGCTCTTAGCATTCTTTGGTGTTATCTATTTTTTTAGAATGTGAAAGACAACTGGAAAAAGTACACATAGAGAATGAATTTTTTAGTTCAATTTTAGGGAGTTCATTGACTTCCCTGAGGTATCTGTGGGGAGTTACCTCCTAACCCCAGGTTATGACCCTCTGCCTTAAAAGCTTCATATTCTAGACATGTCATTATAAGGTTCCTGTCATAACAAGGCTTCTGTCTCTTCAGCCTTATTTTTCTCTACCCTATGCCCAGGCGAAATACGCTGCTTGTACTTGGCCTCTGCTGTTGCTTCTTTCTTCCAGGAATGTCTTCTCTTCCCGTCTTTGAATGTCTAAATTCTTTGAGACTCATCTTAGATGCCATCTGTCCCATGAAATTTTTTTCTGATTAAATGAAGGACAGACAATGAATAAAACACTTTACAATGCACATGAGATAATATTTAATGTTTCTTTAAATTCTCCCGTAATTCTCCGTTAACTGGGTGACTTTTTTAAATTTGAAAACTCCCAACACACGTTAGGGCTTGTAACTCGACCATTTTCAGAGTTTACATACAGATATCGTTCCTTTAAGCCAGAAATGTTTCTTACTCCTCTGATTATCGTGCATACAATGTCATGCACCAGATAGGTACTCAGTAAATCCTTGTTAATTGCAAAAATGAACAGAAGTTTTGGTCTTGTAGGATAACTTTTCCAGTAAGAAGTGGAAAAGGGAAGAAAAGGAAAGATGCGGATGTGGAAGATGAAGACACCGAGGAAGCAAAAACCTTAATTGTTGAGCCCCATGTTATTCCTAATAGGGGTCCTTATCCTTATAATCAACCCAAACGGTAATTTTACTACCTATTATAATTGTAATGATGAACAATAGTTTGCCATTTCAACTGGATTAGGAATGTTTTTAAATTTTCTGTTTCTTTTAAAACTCCACAAAACTCCTGTTTCTGAACCCTCTTTCTTTCTATTCTGTCAGTCAGCTGAATAACTGACATTTTAGGCCATTCTGTAGTCATAATATTTCAAAAAGAAACATTTTCAGGTACTATGAGAAATAAATGTTAGAGGTCTACCTTAATTTGAGCAAAGGGTTCTTACTTCATGAGCCTGTGTTACATATAGCAGTAGCCCTAATGCATGTGTGCCATAACTAGTAAATTGGCATTATATTTAGTATTAGAATGGAAACTAGAACTTTGGCACTCCAAATGAGGTCTGGGATGGGCTAAGTCCCGAAAAATAACTATAATTCCATTTTAATTGTCTGTGTTGAGGGGTAGAGGTGAAGGGAGTCATTCAGAAGAGATTGAGAGAACTGGGGTAAATACAGAGCAGATATTTAGACCACTGGTCATTGTTGTCTAAATTTGTATTATACAAAGCATCATTTATCTGTACCAACTTTTTATTTACTCTTATTTGCAGTAATACGATTCAGTTCACTCATACACAGATAGAAGCCATCCGTGCTGGAATGCAGCCTGGGCTGACTATGGTAAGAGAATTGTTACACCTGTTTGTTTGTTTGTTTGTTTGTTTTCTGAGATGGAGTTTCACTTTTGTTGCCCATGCCGGAGTGCAGTGGCGCGATCTCAGCTCACTGCAGCCTCTGCCTCCCAGGTTCAAGTGATTCTTCTGCCTAAGCCTCCCAAGTAGCTGAGATTACAGGTACCCGCCACCATGCCTGGCTAATTTTTTGTATTTTTAGTAGAGGCAGGGTTTTGCCATGTTGGCCAGTCTGGTCTCGAACTCTTGACCTCAGGTGATCCACCTGCCTCGGCCTCCCAATGTGTTGGGATTACAGGCGTGAGCCACCGCACTCAGCCACACCTTTTTTTTTTTTTTTTTAACATAGATTAAGACTAGAAGTAAGTAACAGATTTTAGAATGCGTTCTATTTCAAGTACAGCAACCCCGCTGAATTTAAGCGTTTACAAGTAAGTGTAGGTTCTTATGCATTTAGAGATCTTGCTGCTCGCTTCAGTGTTCATAAAGTTTTATTAGAACATGACTGCCCATTTTTTAAAAGTTTTGTTTTATTTTTAATTGACATGATTGTACTTATTTATGGGGTATGATGTGATGTTTTGATGACTGTATACATTGTGTAATGATCAAATCAGGGTAATTAGCAAATATATCATCCACTTGTTTTCTGCATTGCTTATGGC
Source organism: Homo sapiens (assembly GCF_000001405.40). Lineage (NCBI taxonomy): Eukaryota > Metazoa > Chordata > Mammalia > Primates > Hominidae > Homo > Homo sapiens. The sequence continues at coordinate 34,896,220 of NC_000015.10, read as the reverse complement.
CACTTTTGTGCTGCAATGGCAGAGATCAGTACTTGCAACAGAGATTGCTTAGCCTGCAAAGCCGAAAATGCTTCCTCTCTGGCTCTTTACAGAAAGAGTCTGCTGACAACTGATTTAGAAGTGTGTTTAATTTTTAAGTATTTGGAGGTTTCCCTGTAATCTTCCAGTTATTGATTTCTGGTCAAAGTCTATTTTGGTCAGAGAATGTATTGTATGATTTTAATTTTTTGGTTTTTGCTTTTTAAATTTGTTAAAATTTGTTTTATGGCCCAGCATATGATCTCTCTTGGTGACTATTTCATGTGTACTTGAAAAGAATGTGTATTCTGTTGTTCTGGAGTAGGTTGTGCTATAAATGTTGATTAGATCCATTTTGTTGATGTTATTATTTAATTTTTCTCTATTATTGCTGATTTTCTGTCTGTTGTTTTGTTGATTACTGAAAGCAGACTATTGAAGTCTCTCACTGTAATTATGAATTTGTCTATTTCTCCTTTAGTTCTGTCAATTTTTGCTTAATGTATTTTGAAGCTTCATGGATAAGTGCTTCACACCTTTAGGGTTGTTATGTTGTCTTGGTGAATTGGCCCCATTTATTATTATGTAATGTCTGTCTTCATTGATGGAAGTTTTCTTTGCTCTGAAGTCTACTTTGTCTGATATTAATATCGTTACTGCAGCTTTCTTTTAAGTGGTGTTTGCACGATATTTCTTTTTCTGTCATTTTACTTCTACTTGTCGTTATATTTGAGGTGAGTTTCTTATAAACAGCATATACTTTAGGTATGTTGCTTTATCCATTCTGAGACTCTCTGTCTTTCAACTTGCGTGTTTAGACTATTCACATTTAATGCAAATTAAAGGACACATTTGGATTTAGGCCTATCATTTTTATTTATTTTCTATTTGTTCCCTTTATTTTGTATTCTTCTGTTTCCCTTTTCATGCCTTCCGTTGTGTTATTTGAATAGTTTTGAGTATTATGTTTTTATTTGTTTCATATATATATATATATATATATATATATATATATTTTTTTTTTTTTTTTTTTTTTTTTTTTTGAGACAGTCTTACTTTTTAGCCCAGGCTGAAGTGTAGTGGCACCATCTTAGCTCACTGCAACCTCTGCTTTCCAAGTGATTCTTGTGCCTCAGCCACCTGAGTAGCTGGGATTACAGGTGTGCACCACCACGGCCAGCTGATATTTTTGTATTTTTAGTAGAGAATTGGGTTTCACTGTGTTGGCCAGGCTGGTCTTGAACTCCTGGCCTCAAGTGATCTGCCTGCCTCAGCCTCCCAAAGTGCTGAGATTACAGGTGTGAGCCACTGTGCCTGGCCTATCATATTCTTTCATTATATTTTTGGGTGTAGTGTTTTCTTAGTGGCTGCTTTAGGGATTTGCAATATATTTAACTTTTCATAGCCTACTTACAATCAGTATTATGTCACTTCAGGTTGATTGGCAAATACTTACTCCCATAAAGTTTCCTTTACCTTCCTTCCCCTTTTGTATTGTAGTTGTTTTATGTGCTACATCTAAATACTTTAAGATACCATCAGATAGTAGTAGAATTTTTGCTTTCAACTGTACACATATTTTAAAGAACTCTAGAGGAAAAAAATAGCCTCTTATTATATTTGCCATTTATTCTACATTCCAGATATTCCAAGTTTCCTCTGGTAGCATTTTCTGTCTGAAGAACTTTTTAAAAAAACAAAAACAAAAACCACTTTTTATAACATGTCTACTAGATATGAGTTAGTTTTGTTTTTCTTCATGCAAGAATGTCTCTAATTCATCTTCTTAAAAGATATTTTACCTGGAGATAGAATTGTGGGTTGATAGTTCTTCCTTTTAGCACTTTAAATGTTATTACACTTCCTTCTGACTTCCATGTTTTCTGATGACAAATCCAAAGTCATTTTAAACATCTTTTTGTAATATGTAATGCATCATTTTTCTGTGGTTGCTATCAGGACTTTTTTTTTTCTTTGCTTTTTGTTTTTAACCATTTAATTGTGGTATATCTGGGCTTGGATTTCTTTGGGGTTATTCTGTTGGGGTTCACTGAGCTGCTTGAATCTGTAGATTTATGTCTTTTGCCATATTTAGGAAATTTTCAGCCATGATTTTTCTAAAATTTTGTCTATGCCATACTCTTTTTCCTTTCTGTCTTAGAATTTGTTGACATGAGTGTTAGACTTGTTAATGTTCTATAGATTCATGAGTCTCTATTTTTTTAATCTTTTTTTCTGTTATTCAGGTTGTGTAGCTTACTGATCTATCTCAAAGTTCACCAACTCTTCTTCTATCCTGTTCATTCTGTTATTGGGCCCATCTACTGAATTTGTTAATTTTATCTTTCAGGTCTGTACTTCACGTTTTCTAACAATGTGTGATAACTGTGATGACTTAGTAGTTTGCTATGTGTTCATCTTCTTTTTAGGTTGTGGGCCCACCTGGTACAGGCAAAACAGATGTGGCAGTTCAGATCATATCCAACATCTACCACAACTTCCCAGAACAGAGGACTCTAATTGTTACTCATTCCAATCAGGTAAATGACTGTGTGTGTGTGTGTGTGTGTGTGTGTGTGTGTGTGTGTGTGTGTGCACGCATGCGCATGCACATGGGTATGCAGGTTAGGGGTTGAGGGGGAGGTAAGTGTGGGACACAATAAGTTCCTCTTCAAGAAATCTAGTTTCATTATTCTTTGTTCTCCATTTTTCTGAGCCTGGCCTACCTGTTCCCTAATATATTCTGGCATGCCTAAGTCTCAGCTGGTTTGTGGCTCACATTCCTTCCCTTATTTGGGAATGCATTAGCTCCTGGTTTCCCGTGAGGACCCCCTCCTCTCCCTTGCTTCCCCATCACGCAGTGACCATATTTAGAAAAGCTTAAGTTTTAGCCAATCGGGGTAGTTTATATTGTGCGGTCTTACTCCAGCCAATGGGGAAAGGACACAGATACAGGGGCTGCATTAGGGATAGAAACCCTTCTCTCCTTTGTTCGGTGTGCTCTTGGCAAACGTGACTGACGCAGGTAGCACCCACCTGCAGAAGTAAATTGCCTTGCTGAGAAAACTTTTTGTCTGAGTGCTGGTTCTTCCTTGCAGCATTGAGCACTTGTTCCTAACATAAGGAAGGAGCAGAGGATTCATGAAATGAATGTATTAATAGATGATTTATCCTTGTATGAAAATCTGATCATAGGTACCACAAAATACCAGGAAAGGCTAATTAGTATAGATGGTCCCTGACTTTTGGTTTGACTTTTATTCTGACCTGTAATATTTTGACTTTATGATGGTGTGAAAGCAATATGAATTCAGCAGAAATTGTACTTCAAGTACCCATACAACCATTCTGTTTATCACTCTTATTTCGCTATTCAATAAATTATATGAGATAGTCAACATTTCAGTATAAAATAGGCACATTGTGTTAGATGATTTTTCCCAGGTATAAGCTAATATATGTGTTCTGAGCATGTTTTACATAGGCTAGGCTAAGCTATGGTGTTCAGTAGGTTAGGTGTGTTAAATGTGTTTTCAACTTAGGATATTTTCAACTTATGATAGATTTATTGGAATGTAACCCCATTGTAAGTTGAGGAGTATCTGCTATTGAGCTACTCTTGGATTATCACTGCTTATAATGAGATGACATTGAGAGATATATAAAAGCAATCTTTTATTTCTACTGGAGAGGGTCAATGTGAAAAAGCTAAGACTATTTGGATATATGGTTAGATATTTGGATTAAATTAAATTGCTATTTTTTCCTTCTACACTAAACTAGAACTTTTACTTGGAGATTATAAGCATTAACCCTTACTGGGAGCATTTTTCTTCATTTAGTAGAATGAATATTCCTGAAAGACTAAGGTCTAAAGTGCATTGATACTGGATTAAATTTCAAATCCATGTGAAATGTACACCTGTATTACATGAAGGGACTGTATTCTACTTTAGTCATTCTGAAGCTGTCAGAAATGAGGGAAGAACAAGTAACATTTATTAGATCTGGTATAAAATGAGACAGGCAACTCTGAGAACATCCTGAAGCATATTATGAAATTTGCATGGTAGTCAAAACCTCTGAAAGTTTTTTCTCGGAGTTTATGTTAACAGTGGTGACTTCAGTTGACCAGTCTTTGAGTTGGTATATACAGAAGCACTGTGTTTTTGGAATGCCAAATATCAGTTACTCTGGTGATCATTAACTTTTAATTTGTAAAGTTTTAAAAATAATACTCTTCAGTTCATTTGCCTGACATATTTTTATATATTTTGAAGTTTATAAATAGTAAACTTATCCAATATACTGAATATATGTTATACATAATTATATAATAACATATTACATAACATATTGGACATAATGCATCTAATATACTGAATTTGTGGGAGTTGAAGGGGGATCAATTTGGACTTTGTCTTGATAAAAGAAACAAATTATGAAAAGAAGTTTTTTTCTTCTGTTTATAAAATTTGTTCTGTAAAAACCTATTGTAAATTCTTAAAATGAACAGAATAATTCATGTGTTGTTTTAACATATTTTTTACTGTTTTGTCATACCTTGATATGGCTTTCTACAGTTATCCTCTACTTTATGATTGATTTGTATAGCACAATCATTGAAAAGATTAATTTGCAAAAATAGACACATAATTCACTGCTTGCTAAACACCTGCCTTGGTTTTTTGAAATTCAAATCATTTCCCTTGATGCCCATCGAATTGATTGTTTTCCTTCAGTTAACTGTTTTGTTTGCCAGATCTTCATTTGCATGTATAATTCAAGTAGTTCTTCAAAATCACTGTAATTCACAATGAAATCATGTAGTTTTTTCTGGGATTATAGTGTGCAAGTTTGTGGGGGTTTTGTTTTTTGTTTTTACTTTTATTCAATCTATGTGGTTCTTGAGTTTGAATAGTGAAGGTTTGGATAGTGAGTAACACCATGTAATCTGCTCTGTTGGGTACTGAGTTTTGGATGATGAGTATCAAGAGTTTGGATAGTGGGGGATTTTTCTGAAAATTTATGTTAAATCTCTTCAGTTTCAGAGCTCAGATTGCTAGAATTTTGATGGTAAAGGATATCTGTATCTACATTATATAACCTAGGTGTTTATAAGACTGGATGCTGACTTCACAGGCAGGGTTGGACTAGTGAAAGTGAGATGTTTGAATGGCGGCTTATTTTTAAATAGTACCTTAATTAGTGAGTCTTTCCATACTATGAAACTTTTGCCTTTCTGTAAAACCTTGTAACTGCGGAAGTTCAGATAATGAATACTAGGATTCGAGGGAACCCTAATTATGAACATTTCACAGATAGAAAGTAGTGACTTTTAAATGACTTTCATCAGAATAGTTTGCAATAAATGAGTGCTCTGCTCTTTATTATATTGAGAACATTAGACTTTCAGACTAAGATTTGAAAGATGCAATTTATGTTTCCACCTTCTGGTCCTCTTAATGTATTCTACCAACACACTCACTGCCTTCTTATTGTCTTTCTCCAACTGCAAAAACTTTTTCAGTTCTCTGTAACCCAAGGAAATGCTGTTGAATGAAATGAAACTCAGTGTGGTTGTTTATTTTAGGAGTTGTTACAACTCGGAAGAAATAGCATCTGAGCCAATGCCTTTCTCGTTTCATAAATTAAAAGCAGATGTTTAATAGGTGGGTGGTTTTATGGTTTCTAGTTATCCATACAGCCAAATAGACATAGATGGCAATATCAGAAATCAATATAAATACTATTTGATTAAATTATAAATGGCCTAATATAAGGCTGATTTCCTTCTGTGTTTCAACTTTGATTCTTTCTAAATGTTAGTTTTTGCTACGTTTAAAGGTGCCGTCACCCTTCTTGCTTTATTGTCTAGGCCCTAAACCAGTTGTTTGAGAAAATCATGGCATTAGACATTGATGAGCGCCACCTACTGCGTCTTGGTCATGGAGAAGAAGAGCTGGAGACAGAGAAAGATTTCAGCAGGTGAGCAAATGGGAGTGAGTAACAGTGTAAAAAAGGATTTTTTATTTTCTTTTCATTTCTTTTATTAAAGAAGAAGAAAGCAATGAATACTGAAACTTAATTCTGAAAGGTTCTAACTTAACTTACTAAGACTATATGTTGAGCTAGAAATATGGTCATGATGTCCCTCAGTTCCAGTTGTGTATGGTTATGCCATTTTGTCTTCAAATATACAATTATGTTAATGAAGAGAATGATCTTGTTAATCTTTTTAACAGATTGCCTTTTGCTTTCTATTTATTGAGGTAATTTTTCATGCTGCCAGTTCAAAACTGTACAACTTTAAATGATTCCTTTTTCACATCTTATTCAGGAATTTAATTTGCATATATTTTAGGTGCCAATTAGGAGGTTGATTTATTTATTGAAATAGAAATTACGGGAGGCTGACGCAGGAGAATCGCTGTAACCCGGGAGGCAGAGGTTGCAGTGAGCCAAGATTGCGCCATTGCATTCCAGCCTGGCGACAGAGCAAGACTCTGTCTCAAAAAAAAAAGAATGCAAATTAGTGATTAATGATAATATAAGCTTTGGGGTTATAAGTATAACTTCAGATGCTTCTTGCCAGTTTGGCTGGACTTTGTTTGATATCACATACTGTAAATTGACTAAAACTTTACAAGTCGGATTTCTTCTGCCATTAGTATTTTAATTTTTTTCATTCAAAGTTGCTTTATAATGTCTCATTTTATTTATATTTAAATCCATTTTTAAAGCCCAATTTTAGATAATAAGCACAATTAACAGCTGGACATATTTAATGTAGCCTTTGGCTATTAAACATGATATTTGATGAATTGATCATAGACATTAAAAGAGTTTTAAATTATTATGTGCATCTATTTTGAGTTCTTGTATTATAGAGCTTACCAAACACTTAGCTTCTAAAAAGTCACTATGTTGCAGAGGGGCAAAGAACAACATGCCATAAGTTATTTAGGGCTCTATATTCTTAATTTCAGATTAGCCAGTAATACTTTTGAATTCATCCCATAGGTATTTCCTCATTTTAAAGCCAACTTACAAAGGTAGGTTAGACTCTAAAATCTAATAATTCAGAATTCAGTGAACATGAAGGTGCTAATAGAATATTTGACTATAATTACAATTATATTGAAGTCGAATTTATGGTTTTTAAAGAATATTAGAATAGGGGTAGAATTTTTACAATGATTTCAGGTACCACCAAATTTGTTAGAAAAAATGTACTTTTAAATTCTGACACATAACCTAGATATTGTTAGTTTGCATATTTGATTGGACATATTCTTTTTCTCTTACAATTAAAAAGAAAAATTATGACTATTGTTTCACAATAAAAGTAGCATCACTTTCTCTGAAGAAAAAAATTGTAAAATCTGGTGAAGTTGTAGAGAAGGAGTGGTTATCCATAATTACACTATCCTAAAACAACTTTTTGCTAGTCTTTTTCTGTAATGCTGTTATTTGTAATTTTTATGTTGCTTTTTTTGTTTTTTTGAGACAGAGTTTCACTTTGTTGCCCAGGCTGGAGTGCAGTGGCACCGTCTCAGCTCACTGCAACCTCCGCTTCCTGGGTTCAAGCAATTCTCCTGCCTCAGTCTCGTGAGTAGCTGGGATTACAGGTACCCACCACCAAGCCTGGCTGATTTTTTTTGTATTTTAGTAGAGACGGGGTTTCACCATGTTGCCCAGGCTGGTCTTGAACTCCTGAGCTCAGGCAATCCATCTTGGCCTCCCAAAGTGCTAGGATTACAGGCGTGTGCCACCGCGCCCAGCCTTATGTTGCTTTTTAAAAATAATTCTTTATCTTTTAAGTGTAATAATGTACTAATTGAGCAGATAGTAGAGTTTAATTGTACTGTATATTGCTTTTATTTATTTATTTATTTATTTATTGGGACAGAGTCTCACTCTGTCACCCAGGCTGGAGTGTAGTGGTATGATCTCGGTTCACTGTAAACTCTGTCTCCTGGGTTCAAGGGATTCTCATGCCTCAGCCTCCTGAGTAGCTGGGATTACAGGCGCCCACCACCACACCTGGCTAATGTTTGTATTTTTAGTAGAGACGGGGTTTTGCCATGTTGGCCAGGCTAGTCTTGAACTCCTGACCTCAAGTGATCTGCCTGCCTCGGCCTCCCAAAGTGCTGGGATTACAGGCGTGAGCCACCGTGCCCGGCCTGTTGCTTTTTAAGTTTAACATTACTTCACAAAAATTTTGGCATTTTATTAACAGAGTCTGTAAGCATTCCTGATTTTTTTCTCATTAACGAAGTGTTCATTGTAGATAAAAGTTTATAGATAAGCAAGCAGAAAAAAGTTATCTGCCATATGTTTATATCCTTCCAAGTTGAAAAATTCTTCAAGCATAGATCATGTTTTAGATCTCTTTTTTGTTCTTAATCATCCCTTGCTACCTCAAATGTGAATCTCTGAACTACAGACAGCTAGGAACATGACTTCTTCTTTTGTTGAGTCTTTAAACATGGGAACAACAGTGATTGATTAAATTATTTTAGTCTTATTTTAAGCATTAAAGGGTTATGGGAGACCCTTTGTTGTTGTGGTGTTGTGAAAAGAATGTGCATAGAATTTGGGATCTAATTCTGGTTCCACTACTTTCTTCCCTAACTGTGTGTTTTCGGACAAGGTACTCTCCAAACTTCAGTTTTCTTACTGATTCAGCAAACATTAAGAACCTGCTAGGTTTGGGTGCCAAGTTATGTATTGGGATATGTAGATGACAGAGATAATCAAAAACATTTAAAAATTACTTTTCAAAGCCTTTAGATCTAATCTACTTTTATGTAGTGTAAAACAGTGCTGTTTGAAGCAGCCAGTTTGTGAACTTACATGTTCTTGGTCTGTGATGAAATGAACTAGCACCAGAATGCACTGTCCTGCTTTCTTCTTTGTGAAAGTGTCTTGCTGTGAAAAGAAAGATTGAGAGCTGAACTAAATGGTGTATTTGGTGATGTAGTTGACTTTCCCTCCTCCTAGACCAGTAACACCCTTGCAGATCAATACTGTTCCATGGAGTATACTCTAAGTAGCTTTTTCTTTTTTTTTTTTGAGACGGAGTCTTGCTTTGTCGCCCAGGCTGGAGTGCAGTGGCGCCATCTCTGCTCACTGCAAGCTCCGCCTCCCAGGTTCACGCCATTCTCTTGCCTCGGCCTCCCAAGTAGCTGGGACTACAGGTGCCCGCCACCATGCCCGGCTAATTTTTTTGTATTTTTAGTAGAGACAGGGTTTCACCATGTTAGCCATGATGGTCTCGATCTCCTAACCTCATGATCTGTCCGCCTCAGCCTCCCCGAAGTGTTGGGATTACAGGCGTGAACCACCGTGACCCACCTACTTTAAGTAGCTTTTGTGTAAAGTAACCCAAGAACTACCACCAATAGTTAAATAGAAGCCATATCTTCTAGTTTTTTTTCCTCTTCTTTGCTATTATGATTTTCTTGAATTTTGCTGATTGTTTCCTTCAAAGTCTCTTTATTACAGTTTTGTCATTTTGCCTAATTGAAATGTCTAGGTATGGAAGAGTTAATTATGTTCTGGCTCGAAGAATAGAACTTTTAGAAGAAGTCAAACGATTGCAAAAGAGTCTAGGGGTTCCAGGAGATGCCTCATATACCTGTGAAACTGCAGGCTATTTCTTCTTATACCAGGTAAGATATTAAGGGTTTTTGAATCATACTTCATCATAATATGAACCCCAGTTGGAAGCTGGAATGAGTTCTTGTGATCCTTCATGAAAGCTTATTTTTTTGAGTAGATTAGAATGTATGGTATTGCAAGTGCTATATTTATGAATGTTAAGTGTATTTTGTATTATCTTCAGTTTTCTTTTCTAAATAACTTTGCTTGATGACTCATTCTGTGAAAGACCAATGTTGCTACTTTTTACATTTTTTTCTTTCTATTGGCAAAGTTCTAGTCACTCTTTTTTCTTTTTTTACTGTAGAAATACAACTAAATAAATATTCTAGCTAGCCAGTGGCAACAAAGTACAGTTAACTTTTATTGTATACATTAATCAACTAATGAAGGAAAACATTCTTCCTTCAAATTTCCAGAAATAAATTATGTCTTACAACTAATTGCACAGTGGGTCTTGAAGTTAAAGGCTTCTGACTTCAACATAAAGATGTACTTTTACTTTTGTTAGGGTAAATTTTGGAAGTGTGAAAACCAATGAGAAATAGCCAAATAAAGTGAATAAAACTAAACTTTAATAGTCAGTTGGATTATTAATAATTTTAAATGGACTAGGACATAATTGGCTAATGAAGATTTTTGTATAACTTCATTTGTTCTCTTTGTTCTAATGCCAATTGTATATTTTAGATATAAATTATAATATTGTAAGCTCATTGTAAGTGGATATCACAAACCAATTAAGTCCATTCAAAATGAGCAGCTTTCATGGTTTCTTGTGAAGCAGGGAAAATACATAATATAGTCTACATTAGATTCAAGACTGTTTAGGACTTGCATAAAGGAGTAAAGATCAGCTTAAATGCTTTTTTGACACAAAATTACTTGGCTTTCAGTGAAAATAATGTTTAAAAGTGGGAAAAATAACCTATAAATTAAGAAGGTTTATGTAATAAATTTGGGAAGAATGAACTTGAGGCTTCACAGTGTAAATTGGCAGTTTTCAACATTTAAGAATCATATCAGGAAAGTTGTTTACGAGTTAAATTCCCTAGCCCTTGTTCCTATAGCTTCTCATTCAATAGAGGTGGAATCCAGGAATCCACATTTTTATTTAGCTCCTCAGATATTTTGCATAAGGACTACACTTTTGAGAAACACTGAGATAGTAACAGAAAAAGACCTGGGAGAGTTACAGAAATTGAGGTTACATAGTAACTGGCTGGTAGACGCATAGCTAACATTATACAAAGTAATTGAACTATAATCACAAAAGTCATAAGATAAGCTTTCAAATACACACTCAGCTTAACCAGACGTTCTTTATAAATGTTCTAAAAAACTGACAGAGGGTTGACAAGTGCCAAATTGATTAAAAAGCTGCTAAAGCTGAACTTACCATATATGGAGAGAAACAGAGATGAAAAAAATGAGCAATTTCTTTGTCCAGAGAGCTTTCTTTCCTTTACATTTCTTTTAAGCGTTAATAATAAACTCTCTTGAGTTACGTGGAGAATCTGAACTGTCGGAGTTAGAGTTCTATGAGATGATGTTAAGGCTCTTTCCAGTTTGTAGAAATTTGTTATTAAAGAGCCTTTTTTTCTCCAAAGACAAGGTTACTTTTATAACAGAAGAGCAATCTGTCAGTTACAGGAATGAAGAATAGTTATATTGGATCAAAGATTGAATTTCTTTTTTTTTCTTTTTCACCTAGCAGATCTTGTTTTTATAAGATTTATTCATTTTATGCTTTAAAACATCATAATTAGCTGGCAGTTAACTTCAAGTCCTTTTTTCTACAGGTAATGTCTCGCTGGGAAGAGTATATCAGCAAAGTGAAAAATAAAGGTAGTACATTGCCAGATGTTACGGAAGTCTCCACTTTCTTCCCTTTCCATGAATACTTTGCAAATGCTCCTCAACCCATTTTTAAAGGAAGATCTTATGAAGAAGACATGGAAATTGCTGAAGGATGTTTCAGGCATATTAAGAAAATCTTTACGCAGCTTGAGGTAAGGATTCTCAAGTTCTTTGAACTTCCCTTTAGTGGTTTTTAATTTAGTTTAGTTTTTTTTTGAAGTAAATGTGAAATATTCAAATCTTTTGTTTTTTTGTTTTTTTGTTTTTTTTTGAGACGGAGTCTTGCCCTGTTGCCCAGGCTGGAGTGCAGTGGCATGATCTTGGCTCACTGCAACCTCCACCTCCCAGGTTCAGGCGATTCTCCTGCCTCAGCTTCCGAGCAGCTGGGATTACAGGTGCACACCACCATGCCCAGCTAATTTTTGTATTTTTAGTAGAGACAGGGTTTCACCATGTTGGCCAGGCTGGTCTCGAACTCCTGACCTCAAGTTATCTGCTCGCCTCTGCCTCCCAAAGTGCTGAGATTACAGGTGTGAGCCACCACACCCGGCCCAAAATATTCAAATCTTAGAAATTAGATTAATTTTAAGTAAGATATAAATTGGATCCTTATTCTGGCTTTCCTGATGTAAAGGTCTTAGTATTTTTGAGAAAGGAATGCTTCCGTCAAGAAATTCAATAATGGTTCTTTGAACTGGAATTTGAGACTGCCATGTGGCCATTCTAAGTCCTGTATGCCTCTTGATCAGTAAAATAGTGGGGTTGCTGTAGTAGCCAGGATGATTGATTCTGATTATTAAAGTGAAATGAGTCATAGCTACACAATGGGAACAGAGAATATGTCTGGAACCCAGTGCCCCCTGGATATGTCTCCTAGTTTTTGCCACATCATTGCAGAATCATCATTGCAAAAATAGATAGCAAACATCATTGAAAAATTACAGCGGTCCTATAAAGGGATCATATTCAGGCTCAGACTCCTCAGTAAGAAAATTTAGGATTACACTTTCAGGTAGAAAGGTCAGGGACATTGTTTCTTGTCTTTGTATCTTTTAGATGTGATTACATACCTACTTCCTAGAACAGTATCAGATATGTAGTATATGTTCAGTAAATATTGAAATGTATATGGTTGAGTGGATGGATGGTAGGTACAGAATAATAAATGTATTATGTTTATGGTTACATAAACACAAAGTAAAAGGATAAAAACATACTCAATTCATAATAATAGCTGCCTTGGGAGGGAGTAGGCAGAAGGTTATACAGGGTACCTCACCTATATGTGTAATATTTTAATTATTTAAAAAACAAATGTTTTTTGTTTTTCCATACTCTTTTCTGCTCTGTTGGGGATCCTCTGCCATGGTTGATGTTCTGGCTTATCCTTGCAGGTTTAATTTCCCAGCTTCCTATGTCAGCTGACTTCTTGCTTAGTATAGCCGATGAGAGAGTGCCAAGGTATTTCTTCATCAGTTCCCTCTGCCTTGGGTTTCATCTCTTTCATGATTCCAGTTTCTGCTGGAAAAACTTGTGGTTCCAGCTTTTTTGTGTGACTACAGTCCCTGGGCTCTGATAATACCACTTCCTACCTTTATTCTTTCTAGTCTAGGGATGATAGTGACTGCTGCTGTCTCTAATTTCTATGTTACATTACCTTTATAGTTCCTCTATCACTTATATAACCAGTTTCTTGCTAAAATTTCCTTTGATATGAATACCTGAAATCATTTCTATTTTCCTGGAGGGACGTTGAGTAATACAGGTACAATGATCACTGAATTTTATTCAGTATTCTTGTTTATATAGTACATATTTTACGTTACATACAAAAAAGTTTGAATTATAACTTTTATATCAGCTATTATTTAAACTCAATTAGTACCGAAATCATAATGAACAGAATTATAATTCATTAGGCTTAGTTTATAATATATTTATGTTAATTTCTCAGGAATTAAGTCTGACTGGATTGTATGGTTATGTGCAAAACTCCGTTTTCCTAAAATTATCTTTCATTGCTCCTCGTTTCCATAGGAATTCAGAGCCTCTGAATTGCTTCGAAGTGGACTGGACAGATCTAAATACCTTTTAGTGAAAGAAGCCAAAATTATTGCTATGACCTGTACTCATGCTGCCTTAAAACGACATGACTTGGTCAAGCTAGGTTTCAAGGTAAAGACTTATGGTAGTTTTTTTTTTTTTTTTTTTAAGATTATCAGAGATTGGCTCACTTCTTATGAAGTTCGTATTTATAATTACCTTAAAATGTTTCTTTTATAAGTGGATGATAATATCCCTTGTTTACATGATTAGTGAACTCTGAATCTAATTTTTCTAAATCTAGTTGTTAGTAATATGTCCATTAGGTAATGTTATAACCATATGGTTGTCTGACCAAATTCTCATACTTGTTAAAGTTTTATTTTTACTGAGTATCACTTATTTAAAAATCTCCAAATAAAGCTTATGAAAAAAGCCTAAAATTCACCTAATTAAAAAAATAGTAATAATAAAAATATCTCCAAACAGAAGTAAAAGCTATAAAAAGAACATTTCAAAATGGTTTTCAGCCAGGTGTGGTGGCTCATGCCTGTAATCCCAGCACTTTAGGAGGCCAAGGTGGGCAGATCACTTGAGGTCAGGAGTTTGAGACCAGCCTGGCCAGCATGGTGAAACCCCGTCTCTATTAAAAATACAAAAACTAGCTGAGCATGGTGGTATACGCCTGTAATCCCAGCTCCTTGGGAGGCTGAGGCAGGAGAATCACTTGAACTCAGGAGGCAGAGGTTGCAGTGAGCCGAGATTGTGCCCCTGCCCTCCAGCCTGGGCAACAGAGTGAGACTCTATCTCAAAACAAAATCAAACAAAAAAAAACAAAGTGGTTTTCATCTATTAGACATCTGTATGCTTAGATTATTCACATATTAAACATACAACCATTCCAGTTATTTGTGTACTTAGCAAATGAAAAGCCTTTCATATGAGGATATGGAATACTCTTAGACTGCAAAATGAGATATTAAAATGGTTTCATCATATGATAAAAACAGGAGTACAAAATAACCTGTTAATCTGTGACTCACTTGAAGTGGAAAGTAATGATTGAGCAGTAAATTTGAATTTGCAAATTTTTTGTGACTTTGCTAGTGATACTGATCTGAACTTAGATTTTAATACAGTCATTTAACTTTCCTGCAACTGGTTTGTCTGTTGTTTAAAACAGAGTTCTGTATATGGGTTTGAATTAAAAATTAGTAATTCACTTGTTGATTAAAGTAACTGACAATTTTAAAATGTTGTGAGCTCACTGAAAGATAGGCGCTAAATAAATTCAAGGTGATGAAATTGTTATCTTGGATGCAAGGTTCCTCAGCTGCAAGGTAGGACAAATACGACAATTTATTAAAAGGTAGTGTGAATGTACCCCAGTGGTGTGAACTTACCCTTTTGCAAATTATTAGTGAGAATTTTTCACCTAAATGTTTTGTTCTTGGGGCTGACATATAAAATATACTTTGATATTAAATCATAGCTTAATAACAAGGGAAAATAATGCAACCATAATTAACATTTTTTGCTTTCATGGAGCTTTTGCCTGTGTTCTAAAGAATACTACTTATCAAACTTTCAGTAGTCATTTTCTACATTTAAATCATGCTACACGTCAACGGGTAGTTAGCATGAGTGCTAATAGGTTTTCTATATTTTTGATTTTGAAGTTTTATTTTTATCACACTTAAGAGTTTTAAAAACCTTGTAGGTCCACTTAACAAAAAAAGGCAGTCCCCCACTCTGCTCATCCGTCCCATTTATCCAGTCCTTCGACTCTTTTAGATTTTGTCCTTTTCATCTATATCAGTCAAGAATGGTAAATTTCCATTTTAGGCATTGTCTTTTGATTCTGTGCTCACCCAAAGGACAAATAGACACACATTCATGCATGTGTGCGTGCACCTTTCCTTCCTTAATGCTCCCAATATAGTTATGTCGTAACTTTGGTTTGCTCACTTTGGGGTGTTTACATCATTATTAACACATGAACACTTTCACATCCAAGCAGGGGGAATATACCATGATTAGTTGTCCTTTCATGCACAATTTTTTTTTCTTTCTGGAATTAATGATTTTCGCCTTTTTTGTTTGTTTAGTTTTCTGTTTTTACCACCAATTCAACCCAAAACTGTGTTTAGTTTTTAAATATTTTCTTAGTACATTTAGACACATCCCATACATGTTTTTGGAGATCTCTCTCCTAGATACTCCTGACCTATTTCAGTTCACATTGCATCCATTGTAAAGGCCTTTGCCTTTCTCATATGTCAGATTCTGTGTTTTGGGCATTCTGTGTCTTTCTCTTCTGTATTTTAGTAGAATACATCCTCCCGTATCTTTCATGTGAAAGGATGCATAGGAGGTAATATTTTTAAGACTTTCCATGTCCAAAAACTGTTTTTAATCTACTCTCACATTTAGTTATTATGGCTAGGTATAGATTTCTAGATTGGAAATAATTTTTCTTCAGAATTTTGAAGAATTGTTCCGTTTTCTCTGTCTTCCAGTGTAGCTGTTCAGAAGCCCAAAGCCGTGATTTTAAATGTATTTTGTTTTACATTTTTGTTCTGTCAGGAAGCCCTATAATCTTTTCTTTGTCCCTAGAGTTCTGAAATTTCAGTGATAAGTCTTAGGGATACGAAGGGATAAAGAGGACTCTTACTTTCCTGGGTCCCTGGGTTGTGGGAGATGGATGGAGAAAGAGAGCCAGACTTCTCCACATTCAGTTTTGTACACAGACTTTTGACATAATTCCCACTTTCTGTGTGGTGCTCATTTCTGATCCCACCCTCTTAACTCTGCCTGCTTTCTCCAAGTTCCAAGATCCTCTCCAGACACTAAACCTGTTGTCTATTGGGGGTGAGAGAGAAGGGACATTTCGTTTGGTTCCTTGAAGTGGGGAAGTCTAATTGCCTCTTTAAACCATTCCTATTGTTACCAAGCAAAAGGGGCTCGCTGCTCAGTGCACTAGAAGCCAATACTCTAACACCAGGTTTTTGAGGGAAAAAAAAGCTCCTATTACAAGTTGACTCATGAGAAGAACATAGTCAAGCTCAAATCTATGTCCCCATGCTGGCTTTAAGGCAGTAATTTTATTAGAAAATATACAGGGGGTGGATTCTGGGATTAGTAAGCGATTGGTGGAAGGAAAGGGGTCTGGAAAATCTTCAAGCATGCGCAGTTCTCTCTTCATGCTACCTCTTGGATGGCATGTGTAGATTCTAGAGGAGATAACATGAAACATGGTAGAAATTTGGGTTGTGACGTAAGCAAGCTCATTCTGCGCTCACTCTAGTTGGCTATATTGGTTCCAGCCAGTTTCAGCCAGTTTTATTATCTTAGAAGCAAAGGAAGTTTCAGCTTTGCAGCAAGTTGTTTCTTTTCTTATCTATCATCCTGTAAACTCAAGGATTTCTGTTAGTTGCTGGTTTCTTTAACTCTTTGGGATACAATTTCACTATATAATGTCAAGTGTTATTTTAGGGGGTTTCCAGAGATAGTGGTGATCATTATGTGTTCAGTTCATCACCTTTTAACAGAAGTCTACCACTTGTTTCAATTTGTATTTTGTTGAAGCCTATTTTTTTTTTTTTTGAGACAGAGCCTTGCTCTGTTGCCCAGGCTAGAGTGCAGTGGCGCAATCTCAGCTCACTTCAACCTCCACCTCCTGGGTTCAAGTGATTCTCCTGCCTCAGCCTCCCAAGTAGCTGGGATTACAGGCACCCGCCACCAGGCCCAGCTAATTTTTGTATTTTTAGTAGAGACAGTGTTTTACCATGTTGGCCAGGTTGGTCTTAAACTCCTGACCTCAAGTGATCCAGCCTCGGGCTCCCAAAGTGCTGGGATTACAGGCATGAGCAACTGCACCCAGCCCCAATTTTTTACAAACACGAAGTTAAATATTAATTCTAATTTGCTTGTCTGTTTTCAGGGATTATTAATTCAATGTTGATCATCTTAAACCCATTTTGAGTTGTAGAAATTGTAAAAGGAAATATGAATTCAATGTTGATCATCTTAAACCCATTTTGAGTTGTAGAAATTGTAGAAGGAAATGTATCAGAATGATAACAAAAATGAACAATGATAATAATCATCATTTGTTGAGCGTCAGCTATGTACCAAGTTCTGTGTTTACAATGTACAAAATTCTATGTTTACAATGATTTATTTCTCTTCTTCACAACTAGATCTTTTTATGAGCTATCTCCTTTTTTTTTTTTTTTTTTTTTTTTTGAGACAGAGTCTCATTCTTTTTCCCAGGCTGGAGTGCAATGGCGTGATCTCGGCTCACTGCAACCTCTGCCTCTTGGGTTCAAACACTTCTAGTGCCTCAGCCTCCCGAGTAGCTGGGATTACAGGCACGTGCCACCACACCCAACCAACTTACTGTATTTTTAGTAAAGACGGGGTTTCACCATGTTGACCAGGCTGGTCTTGAACTCCTGAGCTCAAGGGATCCACCTGCCTTGGCCTCCCAGAGTTCTGGGATTACAGCTGTGAGCCACTGCACCACAAGATACCTCCATTTTATAGTTGAGAAAGGGTGACTCAAGAGAGATATTACCTTAGAGTCGCAGGTAATCAGTTACAGAGCTAGTATTAAAACATGGTTTTCTAAGAATTTAAAGTCTGTTGTGCCCTTACTCCTACACCACCCTGACCCTATCCTAGCAGCTATAATCCATTAAAGAACCGTGGAACTGGTAACGGTGGCTGTAGAATTTAGGAATCCTTTGAAAGTTCACAAAGACTAGCTCCTAGCCTGGTCCCTGGCCTGCAGCATCAAGTGCCAACCCAACATGTAATATGTTGGTAGAGATTAGTAAGGGTTGAATGAATGATCTGACTAATAAATACATGGAGCAAGTAGCTAAAGTAGTGATAATTTTGCTTTGGAATTAAAATCTGTATTTTAAAAAACAAAATCTGTAAATATGTTTTTATAAGTAAAATTGCATTATATTTTCAGAATTGATTTTCAGAAAGCGGTCTTTTTAAGCTATCTCCTTTTGAGTTGCCCCCACTCTGTTTTGCATATTATACCTGTTATCTTGAGAGTCTACACAGGGACTTCTTAGAAAATGTGAGAGTTTGAATTCCTCCTTCTGTTCAGCTCCCACAAAAATGACCTAATCATTATAATAGGGAAATGCCTACACCTTCAAGTAGTTTCAATAACAGTCCAGGATTGAACCATAACTTTAAAAGAGGAGAGTTAATCAAACATTCAGAGTAAATATGCTCTCCCCATCTCCCACCTCCCTGGAAAATAAAATAATGGGAGAAATCTTTAAAAACAGAAAGCAACAGAACTCTAATGTGTACTTAGATTCAAGAAGAAGGTATTGTACCAAAACAAGATGTCATACTAAGTAGCGATCAGAATTAGATGTGAATAGGAAAGATAAAACATATTGATAATAGATCTAAATGAGAATTGGACAGATAGAACAGTAGTAATTATCGAAGAAGGAATGAAATTTTCTCATGTTTTAGAAAGACTTGATTTTTCATTCTTTTACAAATGTGTAATACCTAACATTACTGGGAACTGGGCTACGGAAAAGATACATTAAACAAGTAAATATACAGATATAATTACAAATTGTGTAGGTCTGGAAGACAAAAGAACAGTACTTCAGTACTTTGAGATCAGTTTTAGATTGGGAAGTCACAGAAGGCCTAGATAAAGTGGCTTTTAAGCTGATATTTTAAGGATGAGAAAGAACCAACTAGACTAAAAGTGAAGAGAATAGCATGTGCAAAGGGCCTGAGGCAGGGAAGGTTTTGCCATTTCCAACAAACTGAAATGGGTCATTGTGGTTGAAGCTTAGTGAGTAAGGAGAAAGATAAAGTACAAGAGGAAGTCAGGGACTAGATTGAATATAGGTTCTTGGTAAATACATCCTTGCTGGCAATATTGAGGGATTTTTTTCACTTAAACAGTGGTGTGAAGGATTTGAAATAAGGAGTTGTATAAGTGCCTTAGAGGAGTCAAGACAGGAAGAGGAGGAACTAGTAAGGAGTTTGCTATCCGTAGTCATAGTGGTGGCTTGGATTTTTAGAGTGGTAGTGCTGGTAGAAATAAAGAAAAATGAATAGACTCAAGAGTTTTGAAGGTAAAATTGACATGCTCTGGTGATGGATTGAATGCCCAGGGGTGAGACTGAAGTGAATTGTTGTGATGGGTAGGATTCATATAGGAAAAAAAATTATCCCAAAATGCTACCAGAGTAAGAGTACCAAAGGGAAAGACTTCATATATAATTATAAATTGATGCTTTCTGATGTAGAAATAAAGAACTAAATTGAAAAGAACCAAACTGGCATTGCAATTCAAGAAATGATATACAAGATCTTTTCAATGTAAAGTTGTATATTTAGGCGGCTTTCCTGAAGTCAAATACTTGAATTGGAAATGCAGAGGCATAATGATAAGTAAGACCATGAAGTTTCTGTTTGAATAATGTGTATGTTGTTATTTTTATCTGTCTGAATAATTTGTATGTCGTTTTTATCAGAAATTATTTGGGGTTTTTTTGATGATTATGTTTATGATGGTAGTTGTTTGACTTTTAAGCTGTCTTTATGACAAGATTTCCTCTTTCTTAGTATGACAACATTTTGATGGAAGAGGCTGCTCAGATTCTGGAGATAGAAACTTTTATCCCTCTTCTTCTACAGGTAAGAAATATAAGATCTGAGGCAAAGAAAATAGAGTTCTAAGAATGCTGAGGACAGCATCAGAAAGTTGTACAGTTTGGGTGTGCTGATTGCCATAGTTATGTATTTTCCTTAACTTCATTATGTTTGGTATTCTATTTTAAGCCTGTAAACTTTCTTGAATCTATTCACTGGCTATTTAGTAGTTGTTTTGCTTCGAGAAGTACTATTTAAAATTTCATAGTCTATTTCTGTAGTTTTGAAAAGATTTAGTAATTTTAATCAAGAAAATTACATTGTTGTGCAGTTTGGTGGGAAGATGAGCTGTTTCTTCATTTCTTTTGTTATAATTGTTTGTAGAATTATTTTTTTCATTTTCACTGAGTGCATTGCTTTTCTTTATGCCTAAGTTTTTGAGCTAAATTGTGCTATTTAAGAATTTTTTTACTGTAAAATATTCTTTACTATTGAAGCATTAAAAACAAAATGTGGAATTCCCAACTTAAGGATAGAGACCACTCTAATATGCAGATAAATTGAGTTCCAGAAGTTGTTTTTATAAGTGAAGCTACTTGGAACTTGGAATGTATTCTATCAGGATATGTTTCAAGGAACTAGGAGACATATAGAGTAGGAAATTGAAGTAGTAGTGTAGATAATTAAAGAAGGTAGTTTTTACTGCTTTGGTGGGTTCAGAATTGGTCCTCAGCTAATTGTGAAACATGTTTATTTCGCATCTTTCCATTTCTCTTCTTGGGCTTCTGTTTCTTTCTGTGTGCTCGTTACCTAATGCCTGACCTAATCCTTCCAGCCTTCTTTGGATTACCCTGCCTATTAAAGTAGGGTAATTCCATGCTTGCCTTCTAAATACCTCCATTCTCCCTCACCCACTGTCACCCAGGAGCAATAACGTCCATAATTGGTTCACAAATTGTTCTGTAAATTTGCTAGACTCCTGTTTGTGGAGCTGGTAAAGTTTGGTAATTTGTAAGATAAGGAAGCTGTTTGATGAAGACTGAGTCTCTCGGGTAATAAATTGGAGACAAGAGGATAATAGAGTATTTTGCCATTTCCTTACTTTTCATTTCTAGAATCCTCAGGATGGATTTAGCCGACTAAAACGATGGATTATGATTGGCGATCATCACCAGTTACCTCCAGTTATTAAGAACATGGCCTTTCAAAAGTACTCAAACATGGAGCAGTCTCTCTTCACTCGCTTTGTTCGCGTTGGAGTTCCGACTGTTGACCTTGATGCTCAAGGGAGAGCCAGAGCAAGGTAAAAGAGACAGGAAAAAAAATCATTCCCATTTAAGGACATTTGTTCCATGATCCAAGTATTTGTGAATAGCTTTTGTGTAGACTATTAGCATTCTTGGCTATCCAGGAACTTGGCTATCCATAAATCCAAAAGCACTTTTGTCGACTTCTGCAAGAGATGTGAATGGACCAAATAATTTATTTCCTTCATTTCATTCATTAATATTAATTTAAGTAACTTATAATCTAAAGGCTTCTTTTCATTGTCCCTTCTCCTTTCTTCATGTCCCCAAAAGATATACAGTTAATATAATTTTAAAATCTAAAAATAAAGTGAACAAGAGGAGAACACACCAATTCTTACTTCATAAAGGATGCAGGCCCCATCTCATAGTTACCCCCAAATGTCCTCAATTTTTAGTCTTCCTTGATTTTTTAATTTAAGGGATAAAGATAGCATTGACCTCAGAGAGCGTAATAGAACTCTCATTTTTGTAGTACCTTCAGTCTTCTGACCCTTGGTTACTTGAAGTAGGGAAGCTAAGGTTGAAAGAGCATTATTGCTTAAAAGATGAGCCAAAATGGCTAACATGAAAATTTAAAAGAAGCACAGAAACAGAAACCTCCTTATGTATATTAAAAGAGATTTTACACTGCTAATATTTTCTGTTTGTGGGGGAATTTGTCTTTGGAAAGCTTGTGCAACCTCTACAACTGGCGATACAAGAATCTAGGAAACTTACCCCATGTGCAGCTCTTGCCAGAGTTTAGTACAGCAAATGCTGGCTTACTGTATGACTTCCAGCTCATTAATGTTGAAGATTTTCAAGGAGTGGGAGAATCTGAACCTAATCCTTACTTCTATCAGGTAAGAAAAAATAGGAAGCTTATAAGTTTATTTTGCATTTGCTGGCTGACATATGCCTAAATCAGTGATACTTAACCATTTGGCCGTTGAGAAAAGGAAAGTTGGAACCCCACCTTACACATAGCATATGAAAAATCGATTTCAGATTGATTAAAAATACATGCACTAAAGAAACTAAACAAACTAGAAACTACTAGAAGAAAATATTAATGAATATACAGTGTTGGAGTGAGAAAGGTCTTCCTAAGCTTGTTACAAAAGCAGAAATCATAAAGAAAAATAGCGATTGGAGAAAAGATTTATTTTCAGTATTTAAAATTTATTTCAATATTTAACAAACAAGTTGAATTCTGAATATATTTATAGAACTCATAAATTGTTTTAAAAAATCAAGACTAACAGGAAAATATGAATATGCAATTCATATTTTATAACAAGTATAAATCACTGAATTACATTTTCACTTCTATAACAATGCTCAGTGTTGGGATAGGTTTGGGGAAACTTTATTCTCATACAATGCTAGTAGGAAAATAATTTGGTGGACAAATTGTCAGCATGTATGAAAAGCAATGTTCTCACATCTAGGAATTTATCCTAAAAAAATAATTGGGCAAGTTTGGAAAGACTTGTATGCTTCATGTTCATCACTGCAAATTATTCTGGAAATGAGAAACAACCCAAATATCTGTCAGTAGGGATTAATTGCATTATTACATATTCCATATAAAAGAAATACTAGATAGCCACTAAGAATGATAACATTGTATTTACTAACAGGAAGAATGTTTATGCTATATTAAGTGGAAAAAAGTTGCAAAGTATATCTACAGTATCTCATTTTAAAAAGGAGCTGCAATACATACATATAGAAATACATACAGATAATCTATACAAAATGACCTGGCAGCATATACATCAAAATATAGTCTTTGGTTGGTAGCATTTGGGGTTATTTTAATTTTTTTCTTTTTTTCTCTCTCTCTTTACAGCAAAATATCCAATATAGGTTGTTATACAAATTAGAGATCTTGAGTTATTCATGAAAAAGCATCATTTATCATCAGCTTAAATGTGTATGCATAGATGTAACTCATGCAGATCTTATTGTCCCTCCAAATATTTGGTTATATTAAATCAAGTTACTCTATTTGTGTACTTAATGCCTGAGAACAGATGTGACCTTTAAATGATAACTTTAAAAATATTAGAACCTAGTTCAAATCAGTGATGTTTCCTAATAGCCACCTTAGAAATTAATTATTCTATCAGTAATCAACTGATGTTTTCATTACATATTGGTTTTTTGGAATTTCTTCTTTGAGTCAGTTTCATTGCCTGAGTCATACTGTAGTATTGATTGAAACATTTTTATCCAGATTGGTTACCTGTTTTTCTTATTCATTAAGCCTAACTCTAGATGAGTTTTTAGCGATTCAAGAAATAAATATATTTTCAGATGATGATTTGCCACTATTAAATATATTTCTGGAGAGTTGAAAACACTGTCCCCCAAAATAAGAATACTATGCATTTAAGTGATAACATTTGAAGAATTAGTGTCGAGAGGGAAAGACTAGGTGGATAAATGAATAAAAGTCACTAATTTGAAGGGGACTTGACTCATTTGGAGCGAGTTCTAAAATGTTTGGTCACAATACAGTTCATGTTGTTTTATTGTTAATGCTTCATGTCTAACCTTTGGGCAAAGTACCAAATTGGGCAGTGTTAAAGAACTAGAAAACTTAAATGAACTTGTAACTCAAGCTGTGCGTCACAAAGAACCAGAATATAAATGATATTTTTAGAAGTCTTCCAGTAATCTTTCGGTTGCCTTTGCATGAAATCCAGCTTCCTTTTTTTTTTTTTTTAAATATTGTGTTTATATTCTTATTTTACTTTCTTCTTTCATCTAGTACTTTGGATTTAGTCTCTACTGAACTGGACCAAAGAGCTTTGTGTGTGGTTCCTCACCTTTAAGTTGAATAAGCCTTAGTTTTAAGCTCCTTTCTAGTCTGTAATTTAACAGTAAACCAGACTGACCAATTTGCGGTCACATCCTCATCCCACCTAAAGTGATCTAGTAGAAGTGACAACCATTACGCAGAGAACAGAAACAAAGCATACAAAAAACATTAAGAAACATGAGGAAGGAGGAAAAGCACTGTGCAAAAATTGAGTCAATTATAATACTGCTAGGTGTATTTGCTATTAAACTGGGTATTGTATTGGCTTCTTAGTTACTTTGTTCCTTTATAGTTTTGTGTCTGTGTAACTACAGTTGTGGCACATTGTATAGAATTTTTTTTTTTTTTTTTTTTGGAGATGAGATCTCACTTTGTCACCAGGCTGGAGTGCAGAGGCACGATTGAAGCTCGCCACAACCTCTGCCTCCCAAGCTTAAGCGATCCCCCCACCTCAGTCTCCAGAGTAGCTGAGACTATAGGCATGCACCACCATGCCCAGCTAATTTTTGTATTTTTAGTAGAGACAGGGTTTCACCATGTTGTCCAGGCTGGTCTCAAACTCCTGGACTCAAGTGATCTGTCTGCCTTGGCCTCCCCAAGTGCTGGGATTACAGATGTGAGCTACCATGCCTGGCCAGAATAGTATTAATCTATATTGTGATTGTTATGGTCTTAGGAATATTAAGCCTTTAAGTTGGTAAGTTTTATTTTAGGATTGTTCCATGTATTGCAAATTAAAAGTTTGTATTTATCACTGTTAATGTAGCATAAAATTATCCCTCAGTTTTATGAAAGGTACTCACTTATCCAAGTTACTAAGTCTTCACTTCTTGCAGTGTGCAAAGTGAACAAGTTTTGCTTATCTAGATGAGATATTTTCTCTATAAAATTGAAACAAAAGCAAATGAATGCACAGTCTGATTATGTTTGCATTACAGAATCTTGGAGAGGCAGAATATGTAGTAGCACTTTTTATGTACATGTGTTTACTTGGTTACCCTGCTGACAAAATCAGTATTCTAACAACATATAATGGCCAAAAGCATCTTATTCGCGACATCATCAATAGACGATGTGGAAACAATCCATTGATTGGAAGACCAAACAAGGTACTTTTATAATTATAATATGTTCTCTTATTCATCATTTTGGCAAGATGGAAAGGTTTATATTGTTCTGCTTTGCCTCTTTGCTATCTCTTTTTAAGATATTTGAGAAAATGAAATAATGGGAACTATAAATAACTCTCTGACAGTCTTGCTGGTTTGATGTGACTTTCTATCTCAGCTACCACATAAAAGATATTTATTGATGGTAAAAGAAATGTTTCTGAAACTTTTTGTTCATAAAATGATATATAACAAAATTACATTATAATATGTGTACTGTTACAAGGAGTATGTTTTGCTTTGCAGGGGTATAATTTAGACTGCTTTTTATTGTGTATAGGGGGAGGTTGTCTTGGGAATAAGGGAAGATTGTAAAATGTATTCAGACCTTGGGATTTTAAAAATATATATATTTTTTATGTAATCAAAAATGCATAATATCAAATAAAATGATGATTCTTTCATTAATGAAGGGTAGAATACATTAGAAAAAACATAAAGATAATACTAATGATAAAATTAGGACTTTGGCTATGAACATGGCTATGTAAAAGCTCACCTTTTTTGGAAATTATGCAAATGTAACAGGAAAATGAGAAAAAGAGGGGACAAACTATTTTTATAGACTATCTGTGCAGTAGCAGAAGAAAAGAGGGCCTTTTGTTATGAAAACCGTCCAGCCTTCAGAAAACAGCCTTGCTCACCCCATCTTCATGTCTCCCACATAGCTAATCTAAGAAACTTACTTATTCAGTGATGAATAGTATAAAGGGAACTAGCACAAGCTCAATTTATAGGAAAAAATGAAGAACAGCAAAACATAGATAGGATACATGCTCCAGAAACCATGTTGGCCTGGAAAAGATGAAATTTTCAAATATACATTTTGCTGTAAATTGGGAAATACTTAATGAAGTAACCATATCTTTGAGGAAAAGCTACAAAGCAGAGAAATGTAAGAACTCAGAAAGAGATGAAATGTAAGCTGGAAGAAAATAAAATCAGAGGAATGAAAACAAAATCAAAAGGAATACAGGGAAGAATAGACACTGCACAGAATACTTCATAAGGAATAGAGTGAAACTGAGAAACTAATAATTTTGCAAGTTTAGAAATAGAAGGACCTCAATATTTGAGTCCTTTTACAGAAAATCTTACTCAAATAATAAGGAAAGTTACTTTCTCTCATAACAAGATGGAAATAGGGTGGTTCCAAGGTTGGGTTACAGGGTAGCTCAACGATGTTATTCTGCCCTGCTAATGTCAGCATGTGAGCCCAGTTCTCCACATGGTCAGAGTGGCAACAGAATTCCCAGGTATAATATCCACACATAACAACAAAGGACGTATATCCAGAATATATGAACTCCTATAAAAGTTATTACTAAATAAGGCAGACCAATACAAAATGGGCAAATGACTTGAACAGACACTTCACATAAGGAAGACCTACAGGTAGCCAATACGTCATGAAAAAGTGCTTACCATCATTAGTTGTCAAGGAAATAGAAATTAAAGCTACAATGATATACCACTACCTACCCAAAAGAATGGGTAAAATGATGAAGATTGACATTATGACAAATGTTGGCAAGGATGTACAACAACTGAAACTCTAGAACTGGGGTTCTAGAGTTTACACATTGCTGGGGAATGTGTAAAGTGGGATAACAATTTTGGAAAAGTTTGACAGTTTCTTATAAAGTATGCACTTACTGTACAGCTCAGCAATTTCACTCCTGCATATTTATTCAAGAGCAATGAAAACATGTCCACAAAAATATTTGTACATGAATATTTATTGCAGCTTTATGCAAGATAGCTTCAAACTAGAAACAGGCCAACTTTTCATGAAAAGGTGAGTGGACAAAACTGTGGTATATTTGTTCAGTGAAAGAATACTCAAAAAGGTATGAATTTCTCATGTACACATACATGAATATATCTCAGAAACATGCTGATTGAAAGAAACAGGACACAAAAG
Organism: Homo sapiens; assembly: GCF_000001405.40. Classification (NCBI taxonomy): domain Eukaryota; kingdom Metazoa; phylum Chordata; class Mammalia; order Primates; family Hominidae; genus Homo; species Homo sapiens. The sequence goes on along the minus strand of NC_000015.10, from coordinate 34,868,767 downwards.
AATATATCCTTTTGATGCTATTTTTATGTAATTCTAGAACTGGCAAAAAATAATCTGTAGTGACAGAAAGTAAATCAGTGGTTGCCTGGGGCTGGGGGATGCAGATTTGACCAAAATGGGGCCTGAGATGATGGACATTTTTATTGTGGTGGTGGTCACATGGGAAAATGTATTGTCAAAATTCATCAAATTGTACACTTGAACACATTTTATTGTGTATAAACTATACCTCCATGTAGTTGACTTAAAAAGTGTTTTGTAAACTTCCTAAAGATAGAGAGACTATAAATTACAGTATCTGCAGGGTAAGCAATAAACTTTTTGTCAAATTGATGAAAAGATAAATGTCTGAGTTGCCAGTATTAGTGACTGAAACCTTTCTGAACTTCCCTATTTGTACATACACTTTTTTTCTTTCTTTCTTCTTCTTTTTTTTTTAAACAGGGCCTTACTCTGTTACCCAGGCCGGAGTGTAGTGTCATGATCTCAACTCACTGCAACCTCCACCTCCTGGGCTCAAGCAATCCTCCCAACATAGCCTTCTGAGTAGCTGGAACTACAGGCACGCGCCACCATGCCCAGCTAATTTTTGTATAATTTGTAGAGATGGGATTTCACCGCATTGCCCAGGCTGGTCTTTAACTCCTGGGCTCAAGCGATCTGCCCATGTTGGCCTCCCATGTACATATATTTTCAAACTGAACAGAAAGTGCAATGAAGATTATTTGTTTTTTTCTTTGATGGAGGAATGCTGTAGACATTTACTAGTGATACGTTAAGTAATAAATAAGCATACTAAGTTATATTGCTGAGCATCAAACTGGGATACCAGTTAATAAGCTAGACATAGTCTCTGCTTTCATGAAGTTTTGCAATCTAATGGGGGAAGACTGTTAATTCCAAAAATAGTTATTTAGTTATCAGCAAAGGTAAAGACAAGTGCTGTAAGTGTTAATAACATAAGGATGTAGTTTGATCTGATTAGTATGGTTTCTTTAATAATGTTCATTAACTTGTTCTTGGAATTCCAAGCCTATGATTATGTTTCTTTTGGGATTGATTAAGGATAAGATGTTTGTTCCTAGCACATTATTTAAATGATCTCTAGTGTCTTTTGGCTTTTGCAAATGCACCATATTTTCCATTTTTTATTTCTAGGTGACAACTGTTGATAGATTTCAAGGTCAACAGAATGACTATATTCTTCTTTCTCTGGTACGAACCAGGGCAGTGGGCCATCTGAGGTACGTAGGAAAAAACTTTCATAATATTTATTGAACTTTACTATCTACTTCAATTTTGAAATTCTGTGGCTAAGTGTTCTAAATATTTTTTAAGTTTAAACTATAATTACTAGGCAACTTTTGCTGCTTTTTGTTGGAATGTAACATCAAATTCCTTGTAACTATTCTCATTGCTGCTGGATTTTTTTACTCTTAAATGTTTTAGTAATTTTAAGTTTTACCCTTTAGTAACCCTCAGAGATAGCGTTTTATCATAAAATCTTAATCTCTCCTGTATCTGTTAGAAACTTAATATCAGAAATTAAAGGAGATTAACTAAAAAGTCTTCAGAATAAATTTTCATTGTATAATATGTTTTCTCATTTTTTCTCATACACAATCTTTCAGCCTCAGTGTTAGAGGATAAAGGAGCCATTTGTTCTCCCTGGATTAAGAATTGTCAAAACAAACAATCTACTTTTATCGTTTATTATGATGTATTTATGTGCTAGAGATTTACGGAAATAATATCTTCTTATTATAAAGCATCCATTTAGTTTTATATAAACCTTCATCTCATATGACATACTAACAAAACTAAGGAGAGTTTATTTTATTACTTTATTGATTAGAAATAAAAAGAAAATTCTCCAAGCTCTCATAATGTTGTCATTAAGATCTGTTTGGAGCTTAACCCAGTGATCAGGTTTCATGAGATTAATAACTTTTATGTAAAGGTAAGTAAAGATGTAATGTTTTAAAAAATTGTTTTGCATACTAGAAGTTTGTTTTTGCATATTAAGTGTCAAGCCAATATTTACAGACTTAACTTTTTACAAAAGCAATTCCTTCTTCTCATTGAGATTTATAACTGCCATCTGAATGGACTGTCACTATGGTTTATATAATTAACATCTCAAAAACTTACAGTATGAATATATGAATACTCCTTCCGCCCCCCTCCTCTCCCTACCTTTTTTCTTAACTCTGTGGTACTTGGTCTTCAAATTCCAGTGACTTTAGTTCTGTGCTGCCCTTTGCCTAATTTTTCTGTAAACTTAGAAAACAAGAAAGATTTTGATGATACAATGCTTATAAATGAAGGGTTAAAAGAAAACCTGATTTCAGTATTGTCTTGAACATCAAAATTTTTTAGCAAAAATACCTTTATCCCAATAACTTAAATTTATTTGTATTTGCCAAAATTTTCCTTTGAAACTCCAACTTCTTCATGGGGGATAGTGTTGGTGGTGGTTGTGCATAGAAGGGATATGTCAGTTCATTATTTATGATTCCAGTTACCCAGGTAGCTTAGCCTAGGTATCTTAGCTAGAATTTTATCAAACTTTTAATAAGAATTTCTGATTTTTAGAAAGCTAATCTTTCATATCCTTCCTTTTATATATAGGCAAGGAACTATTTCTGTTTCAGGATACCAAGGAAACCTACTTCCTGCCATATTTCATTTTTTTGATAACATTATTGAGTTGTAATTTGCGTATACAATTTATCTATTTAAAGTGTACAATTCAATGATTTTTTTGTATATTAACAGCTATGCAGTTATCTCCACAATCAATTTTAGAACATTTTCATCACTGTAGCAGGAAACCCTGTACTTAGCAATCACTTCCCTCCCCACTCCCCCAAACCCTTGGCAACCACTAATTTACTTTTTATCTCTGTAGATTTGCCTATTTTGGACACTTAATATAAATGGAATCATATAATATGTGGTCTTTTGTTACTGGCTTCTCTCACTTAACATATGTTCAAGGTTCATTGTTGTCGAATGTATCAGTACTTCATTCCTTTTCATTGCTGAATAGTATTCCATTGTGTGGCTATGTCACATTTTATTTATCCATTCATCAATTGGACATTGGGTTGTTTCCACTTTGTGGCTATTAGAATGAATAATGCTGCTATGAATATGCATATACAATTTTTATGTGAACACTTGTTTTTCTTTCACTTGGATGTAGACCTAAGAGTAGAATTTCTGGGTCATATGGTAACTCTGTATTTAGCATTTTAGGGAACTGTTAGACTGTTTTCCAAGTGCCTGCCTTATTTCTTTTGCTCACACCTTTTTTTCAGCCAGGGTGGACTAATTGGGTGATTGGGTTGGAGCCAGCTTCAGTTCCAGAGGCCTGTTTTAGGACAATGTGGAGCTGTTTAGTAGCCAGAGTAGTGGGACAGTTCTGGTCCCTTTTCCAGCATTCATTGTTCTTGTACCGAACTGATTTGGACAGCCTAGCTACCAATAGAAATGCACGTAACCTGTTCTGAGCCAAGTAATGAGGCTGCAGCTTTCCTCTGTTGTTTCCTCATAGGGGTTCTATCAGAGTGTTGGCGTTGTTGTTTAACAGTGCTTTTCCTCTCCAGCCATCTTCTGGGGACTAAGAAAGAATGTTGTAGCCCATATTGCCCTGCTTTCAAGACATAACTCCAAGGAACTCTGCCTACTCATGTTACCATCCTTTGTTTTTTTTGCCTGGTAGTTTGTTATGTTCGTAGTATTTGGTCATTCATTTAACAAACATTTTCAGATCCATCCATTGTTTGTCAGTGTGCTAGATTCTTAATATTTAGTAATAGATCTAACATTCATGATCTCTGCCCTTGTGGACTTTAGGGTCTAGTGGCAGATTCATTAATATATCCTTGGAAGATACCTACATTTGAATCTGCAGAAAATTTGTAGTTCAAATCTCCTCATGTACAACGGAGATCATACTGACAAAAGCCACTTTACTGCACTATAGCACTGAAGGCTGGGGAGAAGTTTTCTCCGAGACCATACAGTGGTCATTGCAATAATGCTGTATCTGTGCTGCTCTGTCTAGAGATAGGGCCTTCTGGATGTAAGAGATCACCATGAAAACAACAGTTTATCACCTGCTTCCACCACTAACCCTTTTTCCTCCTAACAACATTAAATTCCACTATAATTTTATTTATAATATTTGTGTGAGGACTTACGCTAGGTATTTCTAGCAGTGTACCTTCAGTTACCAGTGTTGGAACCACCCAACTGTAGCATAACCCCTTGGGGTTTTAAGGAAATGTGGCGAAAATAATAATTTGGCTGACAGTAACTTAGAAAATAATATTTCCTTCATGAATCCAGTATGTCACAAATGTAGAGATTCCTCAAGGTTTCTGTAAAGGAGTATGTCCTTTCCTTCTACCTAAATGAGCATGTCTTAATTTTGTTTGTTGCTGGGGAAAGGGTACCTATCCCTGCTCTGTCCCTTCACACACATACACGTAGCACAAGAATATAAGTGATAGCATATGCTGGTGTCACACTGTACCTCCTTAAGGAAACTAGATGATTTTAAGACCATAGACTAGACCATAAAAAAAACCATAAAAAATGAGGCCGAATTAGAGATACTCCCCAAATACCTTGCATTACACAAAGAAAAGCTATTAGATAAATATTCCAATTCCTGGTTCTCTCTGTCTCTCTGAATGTTACAGAGAACAATCTCTGTAACATTAGATCTCTGTAACACTCTTCACACTTTCTTTCAGAGATTGGAGGTGATTCTCCCAGGCTTTATTATTCTTCATGAAAGTCTTCTCTTTTGCAGAGTACTCAAAAATTTAAATAGCCATCTAAAAACATCTCAGGTAAAAAATCTGTCCTCTGCATTTGAAACCAAAATTATTTTTTCTCACTAAAACACATTTTATTTAATAGTGAGGTGAAATTACATTAGCCCTCTTCACATTTATTTGATTCAAACCTTTTTTAAAAAACTTAGATTCTTTTAAAAAAATAAATTAAAGAAAAATGACATCATTCATCAGATAGCCAGCTACATGTGTAGTTTGATCATTCAGTTTAACCGTTTTATCACTGTTGATATGAACATTGAGTACCTATTATAGGCCAGGCATTGAATCTAAATACTAGAATAAATACATGGATAAAACATGTTATAGGCTGACTGTCCCTTATCTGAAGTTTCAGATTTTGAACTTTCACATTAGGGATGCTCAACTTGTGTTGTTTTATAACATCATACTGTATTTCCATATGTACTTATTATTGTAAATAAGTATAAAACAGTGTGGTAAGAGTTATCTAGGAAGTAAAATTTTACCTTAATGGAGCCTGGGATTTTGGTAGGTGAAGTGGAAGAAGAGCTAGTTCGAATTGACTCAATGACAGTGATACAGTAAGTTAGTAACTGACAATTGAACTCTACTGTAATACTAATATATTACTTAGACCTTTTTAATAAGTGCATTGGTTATTTTGTGATCCTCCCCTTCAAAAAACCAACAAGAGGTTAGTAATAAAGCCTTAACTTTTACTTGGTTTATTAGTCACGTAACATTGATTAACTTCTATTAAGTTTTTAAGAAGCTTAACTTTTTATTGCCAGGGCTTAACAGGACTATCTAATGAAATCTGTGAAAAAAAAAAAAGCTGCTTAAATGTTAATAATCTTGAAGTGTGCTAATTATTTTGTTTATTTCCCAAAGGGATGTCCGTCGCTTGGTAGTGGCCATGTCTAGAGCCAGACTTGGACTTTATATCTTCGCCAGAGTATCCCTCTTCCAAAACTGTTTTGAACTGACTCCAGCTTTCAGTCAGCTCACAGCTCGCCCCCTTCATTTGCATATAATTCCAACAGAACCTTTCCCAACTACTAGAAAGGTAGGACTTCTTTCTTCATTTTATAAAACAGCATTCCTCAGAGTGGAAATTGGGATTTTCTTATAGGTGACCACATTAGCTTGGAACATTATTATAGATAATTTAGTCCCTGTTTTAGAGTGTGCTGCACTGAGGAACTGAGGTAGATTTTCTATATAAAAATGATATCGGTAGGGCGCAGTGGCTTATGCCTGTAATCCCAGCACTTTGGGAGGCTGAGGTAGGAGGATTGCTTGAGCCCAGGAGTTTGAGACCAGCCTGGGCAACATAGTGAGACCTTGTCTCTATAAAAAATAAATAAATAAAAATTAAAAATAATAATGTCAGCCAACATTTAGTGGCTACCATGTATTAGGCAGGCAGTTCTTTACATACATTATCTCATTTTCATCTCAGTAAAAACAGCCTATTAGGTTATTAGATTATTTTATTAACCCCGTTTTACAAATGGAGAAACTTAGGGTCAGAGAAGCTAAGTAGTTTGGCCATGCATCTAGCAGATAGAGGATCCAAGATCTGAAAAGCCAGGAGGTCTTTTCGAATAACATCCCAGAGTTCATGTTATTTATCATTATACTGTACTGTTTGTCTTCAGCTTTGTAAGGAGAACTTAACTACTTACTTGGAAATAGAGCAATAAATAGTTGAGTTCTTAAGAAGCTTACATTCTGGGGAAATGAGGGAGGAGAGAGCACATATATTTAAAGAAAAGATAGAGAAATACTACTCCCTCTTATCTCCCCTTCTTTCTCCCCTTTTCCTAGCACCTTCCCTCCATAGGTAACCAGTTTCTTTAGTTTCACGTTTATCCTTATATTCCTTTTGTATAAAGGAGAAGAGATATGTTACTTTTATATTATTTTCCTTCAGGTTATTATACTATAGACTTTTGGGCTTTGCTTTTTCATTTAATGAATTGTCCTAGGGGGGTCCATTGGATTTTAAATAACATTATTTTAGATGTTCACAGTATACGTCTTCCCTCCACCCCTACTAAAAAAAAACTTAAATCTTGTGTGTTTAATAATAATAAGTACTTTATAAAAAGTGCCTTTTTATTTACTTATTTTTGAAGAAATGCTGCTGTGGAGAAATAGGAAAATGGTGGAGAGAGATCATGGGGTGGTAGGGTCACATAAAGCCTCAAGTGTCAGGCTCAAGTCTAGACACAATCCTATTATATCCGAGTTTCTTGATCTTTTGTGGGCTAGTAAACAGGCACATTCCTGACAAGAGGTCTGGGACAGAGCCTAGGTGTCATCATGTGTAACAAGCTCCCCACGTGCTTTCTATGTAAGGGCTACATGTCACACCTGAAGAAATCTGGAGTGCAGGTCAGACAATATCACTGAACAGAAGGCTTGGAAACCCATGCTTTAGATAACACTCATGAGTTCAAGGCCCTGGGGAGGTTAGGGCTGAGAACATCTCCCCATCTTCTCCTCAAGAGATAGTGAGGGGCGGAGAGTGCTGTGTCTCAAGGAAAGGCAGCTCTTGGCAAGACTCCAGAAAATAAGCTAACAAGCAAAAACTCTTCCATGTTCCTAGTCATAATAGCATGGCCGTATTTGTACATACGAGTTCTGACCATTGCAGAAAATGACCATTAATCAAAAGAATACCTGCTTAGATGGAATGCTGCCATCCTGCTTACTTCTGAGAAATGTTGTTTAATTTACTAAATTATTTCTAACTTCATGCTCTTTAAATAACTTTTCACTTTGAGATTGAATCCTCCTTTTTTGGGGTATGTTTTTTACCTTAATGATTTTCTAAATTGTTCCTATCATAAGAAAGGATAAGACTTTATAAGCATTTTATTAATAACTATAAATAGGAAAGTTGTTAATCTCTATTTTAGGGTGGTTTAAAAAGAAGTGCAAATTCTGTATTTTCTTGATTTGCTTTACTACCTTACCTACACTTATAGAGCAGTGTTTCTTAGATTGTTGTCAGAAGCTACAGAAGAATCAGCTCATTCCACCCAGACCTTCTGAATCTGAATCTATAGGGCTGGAGCCTAGGTACCTGCAATTTAACAGTCTACCCCAGATGATTCTGATAGACACCAAAATCTTAAAAAGAGCATTTGAATATTCACCCTCTTGACTCATAGTATATGTGTTAAATAAAAGTAAATGTTAGCCTCTTACTTTTTAGAAAAATATAAGTAGGACAAAGAGTGTTAATATTTTCTTTCTGAATTATCTTAAGAACTGTCTTTGGAGCATACACAGTCTTAGAAACTGCTGTTTCAGACTGTGTTGACTTTTCTCTCTAGTCAAATAATTACTTATCTTGTACTAATTCTTTTATATTAGATAGTAAACTAAAACCCATACTTAACTTACCAGCCCAAAATTATATTAAAAGCTGGCAACTCTTAGCTCTTCTAGTCTCTAACCTTTCTAAATTTCAATGGAATCACTATTCTTCATGAAGTCTTTTTTTTTTTTTAATGGGAGTCACGTGGCCAGCAGGCAGAGCGTGCTGACCTGGGCCCCCTTTTTATTAATTCTATTTAAGTCTTTTTTTAACATTCATGAAGTCTTCATTGGACTCTTCACACTTGCATTTTATGTCCTCTTACTGTTAGGTCTTCCAGACCCTAATTGTGCTTATTCATAAGATTAAGAAATGGGTTTATGTTGAAGTGTTACCTTCTAGGGTTGTTTTACTAGATACTTAACGTTCTTTTTTCCTTCTTCTAGAATGGAGAGAGACCATCTCATGAAGTACAAATAATAAAAAATATGCCCCAGATGGCAAACTTTGTATACAACATGTACATGCATTTGATACAGACTACACATCATTATCATCAGGTGAGTTTCTCAAAATCGACTTTTATTTTTCTTGCTGTAGAAATAATTTTCTTTTTTTCAGAATAAATCTTTAAAGTACCTAATTCCTTGTGGGAAATCAGCTAAACTAAAGCAGGCTATTATTATTTATGTAACATTCGTATTTTTAAAACTTCTTTATATAGTTAGAATTCCACATACAATAAAGTCCACAAACTTAAAGTGTAAAATTTTATATGTTCTGGCATAGGTATTTACCTGTGAAGCCATCAGCACAGTCAAGATAAAGAGCATATCCATTATCCCAAGAGTTTTCCCTTGTGCCCATTTGTAATCCCTCCTTGCCCTTCACCAGTCCCCTTTTTACCTTCCCAGGCAGCCAAGGATCTGCTTTCTGTCATGATAGGTTTGCTTCTATTTTCTAGATTTTTATATAAATGGAAGCATACAGTATGTATTCTTATTTTTTCTGGCTACTATTGCTTATACAAGTCTTTGTACTTTATCTTGGGTAGATACCTAAGAGTGGAATGGCTGAATTTATGTTAAGGATGTGTTTAACTTTTTAAGAAGCTACCAACCTGTTTTTCAAAGTGGTTGAACCACTTTACACTCTCAGCAGCAGTGTGAGAGTTCTAGTTGCTACACATCCTCACCCTCACTTGATATGGTACGTCTTTTTAAAATTTTGGCAGTTCTAATAGATATACAGTGGTCTCAGTATGGTTTTGGTTTTCATTTCCCTAAGGACTGATGATGAGCATCTTTTCATGTGGTCATTTGCCATCTGTATATCTTTGGGGATGTGTCTGCTCAGGTTTCCTGCTCATTTTTTTATTAGGCTGTATATTTTATTAAGTTTTGAGAGGTTTTTATTTATTCTGGCTACAAGTCCTTTATCTGATATGTATTTTACAAATATTTTCTCCCATTCTGGCTTGTTTATTTATTTTGTAAGTGTCTTTCAAAGAGCAAAAGTTTTAAATTTTGATGAAGTTCAATGTATCAAAGTGTTCTTTTATGATTCATGCTTTTTATGTCCTAAAAATACATAGCCTAACTCAGAGGTATAAAGGTTTTTTCTAGAAGTTGCAGAGTTTTAGGTTGGATACTTAGGTATGATGCATTTTGAGTTAATTTTTATATGATACAGGTAGGACTGAGTTTTATTCATTTGTCTGTGGATATGCAGTTGTTTGAGCACCACTTCCCTAATAGGCGATTTTTTTCTTTGTTGACTTGCTTGTCATCTTAGTCAAAATATCAATTGACTATATATGTGAGAGTCTGGGCTTTCTATTCTGTTCCATTATTCTGTATATCCGTCCCTTTGCCATGACTGTACTACCTTGATTATAGTAGCTTTACAGTCAGTCTGGAAATTAGATAACATAAGTCCTTTAGCTTTGTTCTTCATTTTAGAAATTGTCTTAGCTATCCCAGTTCCTTTGCTTTTCTGTATACATTTTACAATCAGCAGGTCAGTTTCTACCCCCAAAAGCATGCTGCAGTTTTTAAAAGGATATTTTGAAGAGGAGGATTGTTTAGGATCTATTTGGGGAGATTAACATCTTCACATATTAAGTCTTCCTATCCATGAATAAGATCTCTCGTTTATTTAGATCTTCTTTAAATTCTCATCAGGATTTTGTAGTTTTCAACATACAAACCTTACACATATTTTGTTAACATTTTGCTAAGTATTTTTCTTTTTCGTTTTCTTTTTTTTTTTTTTTTTTTTTGCTGCTGTCGTGCACGGTACTTTTTAAAAATCTTAAAGGCCAGGCGCGGTGGCTTATGCCTGTAATCCTAGCACTTTGGGAGGCTGAGGTAGGTGGATCACCTGCGGTCAGGAGTTCGAGACCAGCCTGGCCAACATGGTGAAACCCCGTCTCTACTAAAAATACAAAAATTAGCCAGGCATGGTGGTACATGTCTGTAATCCCAGCTACTTGGGAGGCTGAGGCAGGAGAATCGCTTGAACCTGGGAGACGGAGGTTGCAGTGAGCCAAGATGGCACCACTGCACTCCAGCTTGGGCGACAGAGTGGGACTCTGTCTCAGTCAATCAATCAATCGATCAATCAATTCATTCATTCAATTTCCAGCATTGTAAGCAGAGTCCCTGATGAGAAAGTCACTAGACTGCCATGGGGCAAAGGGCAAGCTAAGCATATAGAGTTGCTCCAGTTTTCTGGTTGAACGGAACAGAAACCTTGTTCCTTGCTGCTCCCTTCTCCCATGGCTTTGCCTTAAGGCCAGGCTCCTCTCTGCCTCTCACAGGGCTCTTTTTCTTTTCTTTTTCTTTTTCTTGAGACAGAATCTCTCTCTGTCACCCAGGCTGGAGTGCAGTGACACAATCTCAACTCACTGCAACCTCCAACTCACAGGGTCAAGTGATTCTCCTGCCTCAGCATCCTGAGTAGATGGGATTACAGGCTCCTGCCACCACGCTCAGCTAATTTTTGTGTTTTTTAGTAGAGATGGGGTTTCACCATGTTGGCCAGGCTAGTCTCGAACTCCTGGCCTCAAGTGATCCGCCTGCCTTGGCCTCCCAAAGTGCCGGGAATGCCACCATGAGCCACCGCACCCAGCTCACAGGGCTCTTTGATTAAAGTTGACCCTTTCTTGAGTTAGTTTTATAATCAGTCCTGATCAGTCACTGTTTTTTGCAGAAATGTTGACAGCAAAGTATGTTGCTTAAAAATCTAATAGCTTTTCATGGTTGTTTTCCTCTCTGAAGATTTTATATGTATTTTGATTATCAGTATATGACATCTGTGTAGGCATATTCCTTGGTGTTAGCAGAACCTAGACCATTGTCATCAGAGGTGTTACATCTGGAGTATAAAATGGTCAGCACTGTTTTGGAGAACTCTAGAATGGTAATGTGAGAGCTTAGCTTTATAAGCTGTTTTTCATATTGGTATTGTCTTTGTTTTTTTTTTTTTAATTAGACTTTATTACAACTACCACCTGCTATGGTAGAAGAGGGTGAGGAAGTTCAAAATCAAGAAACAGAATTGGAAACAGAAGAAGAGGCCATGACTGTTCAAGCTGACATCATACCCAGTCCAACAGACACCAGCTGCCGTCAAGAAACTCCAGCCTTTCAAACTGACACCACCCCCAGTGAGACAGGAGCCACTTCCACTCCAGAAGCCATCCCTGCTTTATCTGAGACCACCCCTACTGTGGTAGGAGCTGTATCTGCACCGGCAGAAGCTAACACACCTCAGGATGCCACATCTGCCCCGGAAGAGACCAAGTAGCCAAACTGTAGTCCTTCTAAAGGAGGACATGGCAGTCAAAAAGTCTGAGTAAAGCTGTTTTTTGTATTTTATATTTGCTTCTGCCATTTTACTGTCACTAATTAATGTTTAGTTCTTATATTTGTTAACTGATTTCGGTGTCTTGAATATATTTTTTTAAATTATGTGTATGAACAATTCTAGTTTCATTTGTTCAATCAGAAGAGCAAATAACCATTCCTTTCATGTTTTGATCACTGAGTGTGTCTGTAATCATACCTACATTAAAATCATTTTCTATGAATATATAATATATACTTCACATTTTTAGTGAACTTCTCTAAAGAAGAGGACAGAATATACTGGACTTAACCACGAATACCCTTGAGTGTCCAAATTGGGAAGGAACTTGTTTCTTCTGTTATACTATCAAATGCTTAAATTCTGTTTCCTTTTTTCTTACCTTTGTTTGCTGTCTTTATGTAAAGATATTATTAGCAGTAAGATACAGGTTTCTTCAATCTATCAAAGTGGTTACATGCATTTCCTTCTCTCAAATCTTAGAATGCCTTAGAATCACCTAAGATGTCTGTTTATTCTTGAGGCACACCTCAGACTGAATGAGTCAGAATCTCAGGATTAGAGCCTAGGAATCTATATTTTAGGAGGTTCTCCACACCACTAATGTTTGGGTTGCTGGCAGAGTGGCATCAGCCAAGGCTGGTTAGGCTGAGCCAGGATTTGTCATCAGCTAAATAGGAGGACTCTGCCAAATCAATCTGGGCAAGAAGCAGGATCCTGAGTCTGGGCAATGAGAGTCAGAGAACTTAACTCCTGTGTGCAGGGTAGAATTTTCCCATGGCAGAAATTCTGAGTTTTCTGCCTTATTTTTCTTGGGATAACCAGCCACAAGGAGACCTTCAGGTAAAATGTGGTTCAAATATGGGAAGGCAGAGGTACCTGGGACCTTGCTACTCAAGTATGATTTGTGAACCAACAGCATCAACATCGTATTGAAGTTTGTTATTTATAGAAATGCAGAAGTTTGGGCTCTGCTCCAAACCTATTAAATCTAAATCTACATTGCAACAAAGTCCCCAGGTGATTCACAGGCACTTTGTAGTTTGAGAAGCACTGTACTAAGATTACTGTGTTGTCTTCACATGAATGAGGCTATAATGTAGAATTACCAGTGAATGTGACTAATGTTTTCTGACAAGGGACCTCTGCTTACAAGGTCCCTGGGCATGGTGCCCAGAACTGGAAAAAAAAAAAAAAAAAAGGAAATGTTTATATGTATGTGTAGAGGGGAAAATTGCCCACTAGTTCTCTATTTCCCATTTTGATCATCTGCTAGAGTATCTAAAGGGGAGGGGAGCATTTACCCCAGAATGTCTCCTCTAGTGCATCCACCTATGGGCCTGGCCATGTCCAAGGAATCTTTGAAGAAACAAGCAAGAACTGCACACTACCATTGAAATCCTTCTGGTCCTGACATTTTGAAGGAATGATTGCTTCATAGGGAAATTAAACCCAGAAAGTCAAGTCAGTTATATTTTTGAGTGACTAGTGTTTGCTCAGCTCTACCAGGCTGTGTTGAATATGGTACAGACTCTCATTTTATGATGTATCCTACTGCATCAGGACATTTGTGTCAATGTCAGGTGATGAGGGGAAATGAAAGTGATGAGACGATGAGAGGAGTGAAATACCAAGGACGCGATACTAGGAAACCCAGGTCTATTTGTTATCAGAGTAAGGATCAAGCCAGATAGCCTGTTATGTAATTTCTCCGATAAAAGATTTTGAAAGCAGGTGCTGTGGGCATCTGTATGGGGAATCGCACTCATAGAATTATTTTCATTTGTAAATATTTGGTATCAGGCCAAGCAAGGGAAAGAAGCTTTACTGTATTACCATCTTTCCTGGAAAAGATTGATTTTTCTCTCTCCCTTAGGGGATATGAGGTATGATACCTGCAACCAAAATAAGCTGGCTGTTAAGTGCTCTCTCCTTAACTATTGTCCAAGCAATGTACATCACTCTTGCCTAGATGAGTGACCATACTTTTTTCTTTGCTGCTTGGTTTTTCTATCACTAAAAAGCAAATTTAGGTGGAAGATGGATGGGTAAGTCCTTTGTCCTTGTCAAAAGAATTTAGAAAGGGTAAAGGTGGTGGGATTTGAATTCTTTTAAACGGTTTATTCATTGGAAAGGCAAGTGAGTGGCAGTTGACTGTAGAATCTTGGGAATTTTTGAAGGAATTTAAGAGCTGTACTTATTTTAAATAATGAGGAAACAATCAGAGAGACTTAACCAGGGTGGCAACTATGGAAGAGTGGGGGTAGAATCCAAGTCTACAGTTCTACGGCACTGCTTTGTTTATTTTTTCAATCAAGCACACATGAGGGATTGCTTAATAAATTCAAGAGTTTTCTATATAGTTTGGGATTACTACAGACACAGGTACTCTAGCCATGTGACTATTTCAGATTAGTGTTCCCATTGCTCTCCATCCTATTTTTCATATCTAAATGTGTCATGATTTTAGAATCTCTTTGTAAAGAAAACCAAAAAGAGCCATGCCCAAAAGAATGAGCATGAAATGAAGCAATTCAAGTATTTAGAATTTCTTCTTCTTTTTTTTTTTTTTTTTTCAAAATTCTGAGTTAAGAAAGTTCATTGCCAACAGTTGAGGATAAATAGCTCTATTGATTTAGGCAAATGAATGAGAAGATTTAAACATCATCAAGACTCCCAAAGTTGGTGTAATAAAAGTTGAGATGTTTTGCTAGATGCTGAGAGAAAAGGCATAAATAGGCCATTTGTGCTCCTGTAAACAAATGAAATTTTGTAATGATCAAGAGACAGCAAGATATTATAAAACACACTTTGGACTCATCGAGACCTGGCTCAGAGTTGTACCTAATTTGCTTATCAGCATTTGGTTAGACCTTAGACAAATTTTATAACCTCTCTAAGCCCATTTTCTTTATCTGTAAATAAAGGAAAAAGATCTGTTTGGATTTGGGACAGGAGAGTTGTCTGTTTTATAGGGTAATGTTTATGAAAATAATTTATCACCTAGGTACTTAGTAAATACCAGTTTCTGTCTCTGTTTTTCTTCAAAGCTTTGTTGACAATGTAGGATATTGCCAACTAATCCTTTGACTTGAGTGCTTAGCCATGCCCCAATCCAGGCAGCATGAAGAATGATCAAGAAGGGGACACCTAGTGGCAGTTGACCTTTGAGGATCTATCTAGGATCAGGTTACTGATTTGGGACCTCTGAATCAGTACATCATAACATCGAGAGTGATCTCTGCCAAAATTAAAATTCTGTCAGAACAGTATAAGCAGAAGGAAGACATTAGGTCTTTCTGAAATATGGAGCTGATAACTTCTATCAGTTCTGAATTCTGTACTGTCCCACCCCCAAATCATCTATATTGTTGCATGTGCTTAGCTTTGTGCCTTGAATTGCTATTTCCTTTTTATCTTGCACTCAGATGGTATTTTTAGAGATGTTTCTTCAATCAAAACAAGATAAAGTTAAAAAAAAAAAAAAAACAGTGACCCTTTTGCATAAGCCAGAAGAGCAGTGCCTTGCTTCCTGTGAAAAATGCTTGGCAGTTAGCCTGTGTAATTATTTAGCAATCATGTTAATAGATGTTTAAGAATAATGGAACTGGAGCTGTACTGAGCCAAGGATGGAAATGAAGACATGTGAGACTATTTTTTCTTCATCCACCGATACTCTTCAGTTACAAGGATTTAATTTAAAAGGGTTTTAATTAAATGGAATCCAGAAGCTTTGGACGCTCCAGTTTTTCTTCTTAGAGACAAACCCTAGCTCAGTTTCCTGGAGCTTGACTCAGAATGCAGCATGGTACTCCGGACTGACAGTGTGCCAGCTTTATTCACTTATCTCTCTACCTTTTGGCTTGCGTTTATTTCAGGGCTGCCTGACATTTTGACCTTATGTACAAAGATGGCCGATACGATTATTTTTCATCATATATTACAGAAAATACTACTCTTGAAAAATACTCTGAGAAATATGTTCTATGGTCAGATAAGTTTGGGAAACAGTGAATTATTGTTCCTCCTTTGCAGAATCACAATGCACTGTTAGCTAATTAAAGACTCTCAGATGTCCCACTGGAAAGAATCATGTTTAGCTTTGTTTAACCTAGCATTTCCCAAACTTATTAGAGCATAAAACTTTGTTTTTGTTTTTTTTTAATAAGATAGGTAGCTATTTCCTTAGAACACAGTTTGGGAAACTTTTTGTTCATTTGTTTTAATAAGATACCTTAGGTAGCTATTTCCTTAGAACACGAGCCGGGTGCAGTGGCTCACGCCTGTAATCCCAGCACTTTGGGAGGCCCAGGCGGGCGGATCACCTGAGGTCAGGAGATCGAGATCATCCGGCCCAACATGGTGAAACCCCGTCTCTACTAAAAAGACAAAAATTAGCCAGCCATGGTGGCAGGCACCTGTAGTCCTAGCTACTGTGGAGGCTGAGGCAGGAGAATCACTTGAACCCGGGATGGGGAGGTTGCAGTGAGCTGAGATGGCGCCACTGTACTCCAGCCTGGGCGACGAGCAAAAACTCCTTCAAAAAAAAAAAAAAAACATAACTTAGGTAGCTATTTCCTTGGGAACCAATATCTTTACATTGGCTAGAACTGTGAATCGCCCTTTAAAGATAAAGCCCCAAAATACATTTTTTTTCCCTACAGGTAACCAGAGGGTGAAGTAACAGCCGAAGAGGAAACCAGAAGTGAAGTGATTTGTACAAAATGTCGTAGTGTAATTTATTGAGTGTCATGTGGTATTAATCGCAACATCCTGAAAATGCAAATGAATAAAAGTTTGGTCAATGTACCATGACATTCCTTCATGTGAGCCTCCTAAGAAAAGGTCACTGAGCATTCTCTGTTTACATTTTAATTTTAGACTCCAGAATTTCACACTAAGTTTTTCTTCTCATTTCTTATGCAGTAAAAGAAGAGTTTGTATTTCCAATGTGTCTGGCTTTCTGTTCTTTAGTTTTTGTTTCCTTAAAAAGTTTAAACTCCAAAAAGAGAAAAGGATTACTTAGCATAACCAATAGAGGTGGTCTGGAAATAATAAAAGAAAATGAAGGCAAATATAAAACATGAAGACAGTTTCCTCGCATAAGAATATTTAACACACAAGGACCCCAGCAGTTACTTTGCATTAAGCATACTGAATTCTTTCTTGATCTCCAGAATAACTGTCCCCACAATCCTCTTCCCCTCTACCTTTGATTTAACATTGTGCACTCTCTCTATTATACTTATCTTTGTGTTGCAACCTAAGTTCAAGAACCTCAAAGGTAGCTGCTTCTCTTTGAAAGATGCCTGGTTTAATATAAAAAGCTCTTTTAAGAGCTGAATTTATTGACATTTTTCGAAAAACAGTTCTGGATGGGAAGTGATCCTTTTCTACTTTAGTTCACTGGTTCATTTGGGCCATTTTTGATTGGTTGGTTGGTTGGTTGCTTAGTTTTTTCCATCTGGTTTCTAGTTCAGTTGTCCACAAAGTGAACTAAAAGTGCTTACTGTGTTACTGTATTTTCATTACCTTTTTGCTTCCAGTGCTAGTTTCTTCTCATCTCAGACTGCCACGAAAATAGCGTGCAATAGGAGTAGACCTTGTTAATTTGCATGCCATTTAGTTGGTTGACTACTTTTCACAGAAGTGAATTGAATTCAATATAATAAAACTTTTGAAGATGTTTATGAAACTAATATTTGTATATCAACAGACTATTGAATGCCAACTCTGTGCCAGGCAGCAATGCCAAAAACAACTCTAGTACTTTATAGATGAGAACACCAAGGCATTGGGTGATTTGCCTGGGACACCACAATTAATTGAACAGGGACTAGAACCATCATGTAACTTTTAGGCAAATTTCTTACCATGCTGCCCTTTAAATTTCTTTGCTTGAGACACATTAAAGAACAGAACAACACCAACTGTGCATGAGTAAGACAAGCCTACTAAATAATTTCTCTTATGGTCAATATACCAAAAAGACTAGGTTGCCAAAATCAGGGTAGAAAATAAAAGGTCTCTAAAAAGAATGTCCCAATGTTTACAATATTTATTCTTACAGGAGAAAGACAAATTAGTATTTGTTTTGGTTTGAAAAAGGAATGAGAAACACATAATAGAAAGGGACTCTGGTAAGTAATACTGTATGCCTAAAAATGCTAATTATCCTAAAGTCATTTTATATTTAAGCAGAAGCAGAACATGTTAAGTAATAATAGTTTTAAAAGTGTGATTTCTGAGTGTGTTACCTTGACTCAGCTTCTCAGGAGAAGTGACCGGGACCTGGTGTCTGCTCCTGTTGCCTTTGTCTCTTAATCCCTAGCCACTATGCGTGAGCACATCTCCATCCACGTTGGCCGGGCTGATGGCCAGATTGATAATCCCTGCTCAGAGCTCTGCGGCCTGGAACACGGCATGCAGCCCGATGGCCAGGTGCCAAGTGACAAGACCACTCGGGGAGATGACTCCTTTAACATCTTCGGTGAGACAGGTGCTGGCAAGCATAAGCCCAGGGCAGTGTTTGTAGACCTGGAGCCCACATTCATTGACAAAATTCACGTTGCCATCTACCACTAGCTCTTCCACCCTGAGCAGCTCATCACAGGCAAGGAAGATGCTGCCAATAACTATGCCCAAGGGCACTATACTATTGGCGAGGAGATCACTGGCCTCATGTTGGACCAAATTCTCAAGCTGGCCAACCAGTGCACAAGTCTTCAGGGCTTCTTGGTTTTCCATAGCTTTGGTTGGGGAACTGGTTCTGGGTTCACCTCCCTGCTGATAGAATGTCTGTCTCTTCATTATGGCAAGAAGTCAAAGTTGGAGTTCATTTACTCAGTGTCCCAGGTTTCCAAAGCTGTAGTTGAGCCCTATAGCTCCATTCTCACCACCCACACTACCCTGGAGCGCTCTGAGTGTTCCTTTGTGGTAGACATCTGTCATAGAAATCTCAATATTGATTGCTCAACCTATCAATAGCTAGTGAAGTCTCTTTAACTTTAACTGCCTTATTCATCAGTTTATGCCCTCTATGCTTCCCTTAGAGTTGATGGCTTCCTGAATGCTGATCCCTGTTATCTCTGCTGAGAAAGCCTATCATGAAGAGCTTTAGAGCAGAGATCATCAATGCTTGATTTGAGCCAGCCAACCAGATGATGAAATGTGACCTTCGCCATGGCAAATGATGGCTTCCTGCCTGTTGCACTGTGGTGACACCATAAAGATGTCAATGCTGCTTTACCACCATAAAGACCAAGCACAATATCCAGTGTGTGGATTGGTGTCCCACTGGTTTCAAGGTTGGCATTAGTTACGAGCTTCCCATGGTGGTACCTGGTGGAGACCTGGCCAAGATACAGAGAGCTGTGTGCATGCTGAGCAATACCACAGCCTTTGCTGAGACCTGGGCTCACCTGGACCACAAGTTTTGACCTGGTGTATGCCAACCATGCCTTTGTTCACTGGTACATTCGTGAGGGGGGCATAGAAGAAGGGTTTTCTGAGGCCCAATGAGGACATGGCTGCCCTTGAGAAGGTTTATGAGGAGGTTGGTATAGATTCTGTTAAAGGAGAGGGAGAGAAAGAGGAGAGAAATATTAATTATCCATTCCTTCCATCCCTGCAACATGTCTTACTCCCAGAATTTAAGCTTCAACATTAATTGACAGGCATCAAAGCTTTCTGGTTAGATTGTTTACACTCAGTGGAGATCAATGTTCCATCTGTACCTGTAAGATTATTGGCCTTTTGAAGGCCTCCAGTACAATGCTGAAAAGAGGTAGTCAGAACAAGTATCTTTGTTTCTTCCCAGTTTTAGGAGCAAACTTTCAATATTTCACCACTAAGTATAGTGTTTGCTATAGGTTTTTGCATACACTCTGTATCAGGTTTTAAGAACTTCTTTCTATTCCTAGCTTGCTAGGTGTTTCTTTTTTAATCATTAACGTATGCTGAATTCTAACAAATGCTTTTTCTATATCTATCAAAATGATCGTATGCTTTCCTTTATTTATTTATTTTTATTTTACTTTAAGTTCTGGGATACCTGTGCTGAACGTGCAGGTTTGTACATGTGCCATAGTGGTTTGCTGCACCCATCAACCCGTCATCTAGGTTTTAAGCTCCCCATGCATTAGGTATTTGTCCCAATTCTCTCTCTCCCCAATCATATGCTTTTCTTTATTTTGTTAATGTGGTGGATTACATTGATTTATTTTTTCTATCGATTGAATTTTTTCTAATTAGGGCCATAAGTTGCTACTCTTCACATGCCTGGTAATTTTTCACTGGATGCTGGACATTACAAGTGCTGTGTTGTTGGATGTTTGGATTTTGTTGTCTTCCTTTAAAGAGTGTTGAGGTTTGTTTTGGCAGGCAGTTACATGTGGATTAGATCTACCTTTTTGATGTTTGTTTTTAAGCTTTGTTACACAGGTGTAGAGTACCTTTACTCTAGGGCTAACTTAGCTCTATTACCAAGCTATGACCCTTCTCTGGCCCCTTTTGGATGCCCCAGGTTTTCAATGAAGTATTTCTACTTGGGTTGATATAAATTAAAACCTTTTCTATTGTATGAGCTCTAGGAATTGTTTAGTAGAGCTCCCAGGCAGTTGTCCTTTGACCTCATGAAGTTTCACCCCATGCATGTACAGATTAGTATTCAGCCAAGACTCAAGGGGACCCCTCTTTAGATTTCTGGAGACCTTTCTTTGTGTAACTTCCTCCTTTTAGTTACTATCCCTTACAAATTCTAGCCAGCACAGTCTTCCCAAGTTTCTGTCTCTTAAATTCAGTGAGACTGCTGGGCTTCTACTTAGGTTCCCCCTAGGTAAAGGCAAACTGTGCTGCTCTTCAAAAATTGCCTGTAGGCAAAAGCCAGGGCAATCACAGGGCTAACCTTTTTCCTTTTCTTCCTCTCCAGGATGACGAAACTATGCTGCCTGTTGGTCAATGTCTGAAAATAGTTGCTTCATATATTTTGTCCACTTTTACTTGATTATAGTGGGATGTACTGGGATGAGCAGAAGTAGAAGTTGACTTTTTTTTTTTCAATTAATATAAAATTAACCTTACAATCCTAATCTTTTTTTATAAGTGCTATATTACATTTGCTAGTATTTTATTTGGCATTCTTGCATTTATGTTTATGAGAAAGATTGGTCTATCAGAATAATAATTATTATTATTGTACCATACTTGTCAGGTTAAATATCAAGATTAGAGTGACTTCATAAACTGAATTGAGAAATTGAGAAGTCCTTTTTTTTTTTTTTTTTTTTTTTTTGAGACGAGGTCTCATTCTGTGGCCCAGGCTGGAGAGCAATGGTGCAATTTTGGCTCACTGCAACCTCCACCTCCTGGGCTCAAGTGATCCTCCCACATCAGCCTCCCAAGTAGCTGGGACTACAGGTGCACACCACCATGCCTGGCTAATTTTTGTATTTTTTGTAGAGACAGAGTTTCACCATGTTGCCCAGGCTGGTCTCAAACTCCTGGACTCAAGAAATCTGCCTACCTTGGCCTCCCAAAGTGCTGGGATTACAGGCAGCAGGGGGTTTGTTGTTGTTGTTGTTGTTGTTTTTTGAGTACTCTATTTTTATTCACTGGAAGTGTTTTTTGTAACATTGATATTATTTCTTCTTTAAACACTTGGAAGAATTCAACAGTGAAACAATCTAAGGCTAGATTTCTTTGTGGGAAGATTTTAAATTTCAGATTCAATGTATTTATCAATGTAAGACTACACTATTTCTTCTTGTGTTGGATTTGATAAGTTGTGTTATCTTAGGAATTTGTCCATTATAAAGCTGAATTTTCCGATTTATATTGGGAAAAGTAATATATAATATGTTCATAGCACAGCTTTAGCTATATCCCACATGCTGTATCACATTTTCATTAACATTCTGCTCAAAATGTTTTCTAATTTCCATTGTGATTTCATTTTTAACCCATGTTTTTTCATTTTCACTGAAAATGTTTTAGAACTTTAATGGAGATGATGGTTGCACAACATCGGGAATGCACTAAATGCCACTAAATTGTTCACTTAAAATTAAAAATTTTAAATTTCATGTTATTATTCACTTTAAATTGGTTAGTTTTATGTGAGTTTCACCTCAACAAAAAATACTTTTTAAGAAGTGGGCTGGGTGCAGTGGCTCATGCCTGTAATCCCAGCACTTTGGGAGGCCGAGGTGGGTGGATCACCTGAGGTCAGGAGTTCGAGACCACCCCGGACAACATGGTGAAACCCTGTCTCTACTAAAAATACAAAAATTTGTTGGGCGTGGTGGCACATGCCTGTAATCCCAGCTAGTTGGGGGGCCGAGGCAGGAGAATCGCTTGAACCCGGGAGGCGGAGGTTGCAGTGAGCCGAGATCGCACCATTGCACTCCAGCCTAGGTGACAGAGCAAGGCTCTGTCTCAAAAAAAAAAAAAAAAAAAAAAAAAAAAGTGGATTACTTAATTTCTAAGCATTTGGGCATTTTTCTTCTTTTTGTTATTAATTTCTAGCTTCAGCTGCATGCAGTGGCTCATGCTTATAATCCTAGCACTTTGGGAGGCTGAAGTGGGCAGACTGAGCCCAGGAGTTTGAAACCAGCCTGGGCAACATGGCAAAACTTTGTCTCTGCAAAATATGAAAGAAATTAGCCAGGCATGGTGGCACATACCTGTAGTCCCAGCTACTTGGGAGGCTGAGGTAGGAGGATCACCTGAATCCAGGAAGGTCGAGGCTGCTGTGAGCCATGGTGGTGCCACTGCACTCTAGCCTAGGCGACAGATTCTAGCTTCTCTACTGCCGTCAGAAAACCTAGCCTGTATTATGATAATCCTTTTAAATTTTTCATGACTTTTCCTGTACGTGTTCCACGTACAGTTGAAAAGATTGTGCTGTATGTTCTATAGTACTTAGGTATATATAAATATTTGGCAGAGTTTGTTAATCATTTTGTTCAAATCCCTTATACCTCCTCATGTTTCGTGGGTTTTTTTTCTGTCTGCTTGTTCTATCAGTTATTGTTTCGTGGGGTTTTTTTCTGTCTGCTTGTTCTATCAGTTACTGTGAAATGTGTGTTTTTAAAAAAATCTCAGTGTAATTACAGGTTTATTTCTATTTTTAGTTCCATCAAATTTGCCTTGTGTATTTTGAGGCTGTGTTATTAAAAGCGTACAAACAAAATTATACCTTCCTGATGGATAGTCTTTATTATTATTATTATTTACAACTGTCTGTCTTTAACTCTCAATATGCTTCTCATTTTAAAATCTACTTTGTCTTATGTTAGTATAGCTTCACCAGCCTTCTTTTGGTTGCTTTTTGAATGGCATTTTTTTTTCCACTCTTACATCACCTTTCTGTGTCTTTGTATTTAGAATTTTTCTGTTGTAAGCAACATATTCTTGGGCTTGGGATTTGATCGTACCTACTTACAAGCTAATAAGTTATGCATTGCTGGCAGAAGGCATAAGACTCCTGGGTGATAAGCAGAAGACTCACTCAGCACAGTAAGTAGCATGAGTGTCAGCATGTTTGCCTCTGTCAGTTCCTCCTTCTCCCCAAGCCCTACGGAGGTAATGTGGAGGGTCCAGCTGAAGGCCTGAGTGCTCAGTGGATTGTGTTATAGGAGACAAATAATGGGCAATGCACCACTTTTACAGCAAGCATCAAACAAGCCTGCTCTTTGTCCCAGAAGGAGACATAACCTCATCCCTCAAGGTTACTTGCTGCAAACTCAACCCTATGGAGAAATGGCCTGAGAAAAGAGCAGCCTTGTATTGGCACACCCTACAGGAGCATGGAGGGTTACTCTATGATGATGAGCTGATTTATTCCACTTTGACATTCTGTCATATTTTGCTTGATGTATTTCAAGACTATGTTATTCGATATATACAAATTTAGAATTATATTCCTGGTAGATAGGCCTTTTCATCAATAGCAAATGTCCTTAACTGTAGTAATGCTTTTTGACTTAAAGTGTACCTTGTCTTATATGACAATATAACTACCCCACTTGTCTTTTGGTTAGATTTTTCATGGCGTAGGTGTTCTCATCCTCTTGCTTAATCTTTCTGTTTCTTTATATTTAAGGATTTTTTGTAAGCAACATATATAATTAGTCAAGCTATCTTTGTCTTTTAATTAGAGTATGTTTGAATTTTATGTAATTACTGGCGTATTTTGATTTACTTTAACTTTTATTTCATGTTTTATGTTCCTTTTTCTCATCTTTCTTGCCTTCTTTTGGATATATAAAGGAATTTTAATTATTCCTTTTTCTCCATTCTATTAGTTTGTTAGTAACTCATTCTTTCACCAGTGAGCCTGAAGATTACAGCAGGCATTGTGGCTTATTACAGTTTACTAAGAATGGATACTTATTTCACTTCCCAGATGATGCTGCCGATGCTAAGACCTTATAAAACAACTACCTTGGCCACTGCTTTGTGCAATTATTCTTGTATAGAGATTTTTCTACCTTTTTTTTTTTTTAGACAGTTTCGCTCTTGTTGCCCAGGCTGGAGTGCAGTGGCGCGATCTCGGCTGGCTGCAACCTCCGCCTCTCCGGTTCAAGCGATTCTCCTGCCTTAGCCTCCCAAGTAGCTGGGATTACAGGCACTCGCCACCAAGCCCAGCTAATTTTTTGTATTTAGTAGAGACAGAGTTTCACCACGTTGGTCAGGCTGGTCTGGAACTCCTGACCTCAGGTGATCCACCCACCTCAGCCTCCCAAAGTGCTGGTATTACAGGCATGAGCCACCGCACCTGGCTCATAGCCGTAATTTTTCTACCTTGTAATCAAAATATTGTTATTGTTTTATAAGCTAATATTCATTTAGATTCACCCTTTCCATTGCTCTTCATTCCTTCCTAACATTTTGTGCTTCCTTCTGGATAATTTTCTTTCTTTATGAAGAATTAAAGCTTTTAAATGTTTTCTTTCGTGCAAATGTGCTGCTGACAAATTCTCTGTCTGGAGATGTCTTTTTTTCACCTTTAATTTTGAAGGGTATATTCACTATGTATAGAAGTCTAGATTGTCAATTATTTAAGCACTTTAAAAACTGTCAGTTTATTGTCTTATGCCTCTGTCTCTCATTGGAAAAGTCAGCTCTCAGTCTTTTTCTGCTCCTTTGAAGATAATGTCTCTTTTCTCTTGCAGCTCTTTAAAATGTTTGTGTTTAATTTTTTTTTTTTTTTTTTTTTTTGACAGAGTCTTGCTCTGTCATGCAGGCTGGAGTGCGGTGGCACAATCTCAGCTCACTGCAACCTCTGCTTCCCCAGTTCAAGCGGTTCTCCTGCCTCGGCCTCCCACCAAATAGCTGGGATTACAGGCCTGTGCCACCACATCTGGCTAACTTTTGTATTTTTAGTAGAGATGGGATTCCGCCATGTTGCCAGGCTGATCTCAAACTCCTGGCCTCAAGTGATCTGCCTGCCTCGGCCTCCTAAAGTGCTGGGATTACAGGTGTGAGCCACTATGCCCGGCCTGTCTTTGATTTTCCTCAGTTTGCCTAGAAGGTGCCTAGATGCAGTCTGCGTATTTTCGACTCACTTTTCTTCCAGCACACCAATCCCCTCTTCAGCTCTGCTCTGCTTGCTATTAAACCCATCTACTGAGTTCTAATTTTAGTTGTACTTTTCATCTTTATAATTTTCATTCTATTCTCTTTTAACAAATTCCAATTCTTTGAGCAAACTCTTGTCACCAATTTTCTTGAGCATATTGATTACAGTTATTTTAGTGTGCCCAATTACTCCAGTACCTGGAGTTGTCTGTTGTCAGATTTTTCTTTCAGTCCTATATCTTGCTATGTCTGTCAATTCTTTAATGAATGCCTGACATTGTATCTGAATCATTGCACAGGCTCTGGATGATGTTTTCTGCCTCCAGACAGGATTTACCTTCTTCCTTTGCAAGGAGCCAGAGGCAGATCACGCCAATCCAGCTGGGACCATGCTGCCTCCGTGGCTGGTTTGCTGTCTTTGAGAAGGTCCATCTAGTTCTGGCTCACCCTCTTCCTAAGATGCAGCCCTGTAAAGATCCCAGCTAGGGGCCTGGGATATTTTTCAGGTCCTCCTTTACAAGTTCTGAACTCAGGTTTTCTCTCCATAACATTATGAGACTGCCTGAAACCCTACTTTGCCTTGCACCCACTTTCTGTTTGACTTTTGAGCCTCTTGTACAATTTAATCAGAAAATAACTTGAAAACTGATGCTGATGTTGGCCTCACATTTTTGCACCCCTCTTCTCTCTGGCTTCTTGATTCTCTACGAGTCCTAA
This sequence comes from Homo sapiens, assembly GCF_000001405.40. NCBI lineage: Eukaryota > Metazoa > Chordata > Mammalia > Primates > Hominidae > Homo > Homo sapiens. Next base: position 34,842,433 of record NC_000015.10, on the reverse strand, counting down.
TTGCCTTGGCAACTTCCAACTTTAATTTTTATCTTCTCAGACACATCAAATTGTCTAAAACTGCTCTTTAAAATCACCATTATACTTATGAGAAAACTTCCCTAAGCCACATTTGTCCAAAGCCACAAAATTAATCAGTGAGAGAACTGGGATTAGAGCTTTGACTCCAAAGTCTGTCATTATCTAAGCTACTTCAAAATGTAGCCATTTTGTTGTGTTTACCTAGAAGGGTCTGGCTCAGAGTTGGGTTTTATTGTCTATGATGATATTACAAAAGTTGCTTTATGATATTGAGAGTACAGTAAGATCATAACCTGCTTTCCTCTCTATTAAATGGACATGATAAACTCTTTAGTCAGTGTTTTGCTGATAAAGCCATAAGTTGTTTCATGCAGTTCCTCTTTGGTTTAGTCACCATGATTATTAATTTATTTACATCATTATTATTTAAATATATTTAAGAATGATGTAATATTTAGTTACATCACTTTTATTTAAACATTTTTTAGTTCCTTGGGAATCCAAGGTGAGAGAAACCTTCATTTGCATGTATTCCTAATTTGTACCTAATTTGTGTATTTAATTTAGAACATAATAAGGATATATGCTCATGATCATGTTATTATTTATTGCAAGAAGAGTCAGTACTCCTCTCGCACCAGAAGAAAAACCAAACAGACACTATTTCAACTTAGCAGGATGTGGAGTTGTACCATTGCCTCTTGTCAGCCCTGCTTATATAATTCAGAAGAAGAGCACTTGCCACTGTTGAACAGACTTCTTCACAGAGGGCCTGGGTGTGCAGCACCCTGCCAAGTTTCCTATTAGTTATGGAGAAAAGCCATTTGTATTCTGAAATTGCAAATCAGCCAGGCAATCACCACACAGAAATAGCCCCCATGAAAATAAAGCAGTGCTATATTTGAAGGCTTAATCATGTGTATTTATAGACCTGAGTTTAGTTCTATTTGGAAAATTTCACATTATACAGTAACATTGTGATTACCAACATACTCAAAGGGTGAGGGGATGGGATGTTTGATCCACTTAAATTTTCTGAGTAATGAGGAGTTAGTCACAAAGAATTTTTTTGTCCACTCACTAGTGAATGCCTTTCAAAAATTGCTTTAGTCAGCTCAGAGGAGATCAGAAAGCCAGCTATGAGGTATTCTGGGTGGGAGAAGTAGGGAAGTGTGTTCTCGACAGATTCGTCATTGATACTTAAAAACCCACCATGAGAGATTCAGTCTTATAACTTAGGACCCTGTTCCAAATTAAAATGAAAATTACTTGGGTTGGCTAACATTGCCCATATTAGTGTTTTAGGACTTAGTATTAATAAGTGTATCAGGACATTTCCTGGGAGAAGATTTGAAAAGATAGAGGGTACTAGAAGGCCTTGGGTACCTGGGGTGAGACAGCAGCGTTGCCTGTTTCCCAAGTCTGCTCCGGGCCAGGCCTGTCAGCACACAGTCTGCCCTTCTTCGATGAACACGTGTCACTGATACTGATCAGCTGACCTACAACCAGCATTTTATTGGACCCCCTCAAACTCAGCACACTCAGAAGGACTCATCGTCTTCCTCACCCACCCCTCACATCTGCTTCGCAATGCTCACTGTCTCCTCAGCACCTAGTACTCACGCTTACGAGGAAAGGCACCAATGAATGAACACTTGCAGGAGGTGAGGGAGGGAGACATCTGGAGACCTAGAGTAAGAGTATTCCAGGCAGAGGGAATGGCACCTTGAGGGCCCTGACACAGGACCTGGCCCAGGGTGTTCAAGGTGAATGAAGGGAGCAGTGGCAAGAGAGGAGGCCAGACAGGAGCTCTGTAGAAAGCATTTTCTACTGTTCAAATAAGAAAGCTTCGAGTTGTCTTTGTCTTCTTTTTCTGCCTCTATCCCCTGACTCAGTCTTTCCTCAAGTGCTCTGAAACATTCCTCAAAATTGTGACCTCCTCTCCATTCCCACTGCTACCACAATCAATTCCTCCCAGTTGCCTTCCCTGACTATGGCTTTTCCCTCCCAAATCTGCCCTCCATTTTGCTGCTACAGTTGGCCTCTCCAATTACGTAGCTCATCATGTTATTCCCCTCTTCAGCATCCTTGACGGCTCCCCGTTATCTACGCTAGCACTTTCCAATCGGACTTTCTGCAAAGACGGAAATGTTCTGGAATCTGTGCTGTTCAGTGTCCACATGTGCATTTGAAATGTGGCTAGTGAGACTGAGAAATTGAATTTTAAATTTTATTTAATTTTAGATAATTTAAATGGTTGCACGTAGCTAGTGGCTACATATGATATTGAACAGCCCAGCACTGATATCATTTTTAATCTTTTGGAAAAGCCAGGTTTCCTTTCCTTTTGAGACTCTAATGAGAGCTTCATTTTCCCTTAAAACTTCAGCTACAATACTTTTGCGTGTATTCTAATGGTTTGTGAATCTATGGAGCCCCTCTCTGTATCTGCAGTTAGGAACCTCTGGCCTAGAAGGTAATGTCTAAGCCCATTTTGGGGGCTCAAGACAGCACTTGGAAAATGTCCTCTGTCTTAAGCTAGATTCTATGAGCTGATTGTTCTGAGTGACAGGAAGTAGACTATTTGGAGGAATTAATGATGATGGGGAAAGGAAGCCAGGGACCAGTCCCAACAGGGCAGTATTACATGTTGGGTGTCACAGCATCTGGAGTCAAGGAGAACAAGAAGAGATTGGAAAATGTAATGGGTCAAGGCAACATCGTATGCCCTACCAGCTGCAAAAGAAATGAGGAGGTTGTGCCGGTGCTGGGACACAATAGTCAACCCAGAGGGATCAGGCTGTAAGATGTTGGCCTCATTTCATGTGCTCTGTGCTCCTATCACGCTGTGTGCATCCCTCCCTGGTCCCCAAATCCAGGATGTTTCCGTATGGTTGTTCACATGGCTTCCTTTGCTAAAAAGCCCTTTCTTGCTGGCCTAGCAAACTCCTTCTACAAGGTCAAATTCATCCCCTCTGTGAAGATTTTCCCACCTCCCTTTCTTATGAAATCAGTCACTCCTCAGCTGTGCTCTCCCATGACTGCCTCTCTCAGCCTTCCAGCCACCCAGTGTGGATTAGTAGTTTTGGAGTTAGATGGATGTAACTCAAAAATAACTGAAGTAGCTTTGCCACTTGCTAACTGGGTGATCTTTGACCACATTGCTATAGTTCCCTCATCTGCATGATTGGGGTCATGATAGCATCTGTGAAGAGTTGTTATAAAGACTAAATATGTTGAGATATGGGAATTGACCAGTATAATGCAAGACATATAGTTGGACTCAATAAATAGTAGCTATCATTACCATTTTTATTACTGTTATCATCTGGCTGGTAGCATTACCCCGTGATAGTACAGTTAGTTGCTTGTGGATGTTCTTGTCTCCCACACAAGACTGGATTCAAGAGTAGATTTCCTGTTTGAAGCAGCTTAGAAACCACTTGATATGAACAAGAGGCATATGCCTTGGTTTGCTTGTCCAAAAAGTTTCAGATATTATTTATTTGGCCAAAAATTTTTAGGATGCCCTTGCCAGGCATTGCACCCTTCCATTTGGATAGAACCATAGTATAATAAATAGGGACCAGCCTTTCACCTGCTTTGTGTGGTTTGAAATGTTCTAAAAGATCTGGTCAAACATGTTCCTTCTCAGTCCTGGCATTGTCCAAATCCTCTGCTTTTGGCACACATTGGTTTAGCAGACCAGTGCTGGAGAACAGCGCGCTGAGGGAGGAAGACACAGAACAGGCATAGCCTGAGTGGGGAAAAGACCTGAGATGCCACTGTTGCTATTGCTGCCGATAATGATGCTGAAGGTAATCATGATGGTGATCATGATGGTGATGACGATGGTGAAGGTGAGGGTGAGGGTGGTGATAATGATGAGGATGGTGGTGGCGGTGAGGGTGATTGTGATGATGATGATGATGATGGTGATGGAGATGGTAATGATGGAGATGGTGATGATGGTGAGGGTGGTGATGATGACAGTGATGGTGTTGGTAGTTGTGATTATGATGGTGATTGTGGTAGTGATGATGATGGTGGTGGTGACAATAATGTAATGATGGTGATGGTGATGGTGATGATTATGGTGATGGTGGTGGTGGTGATGTTGATGATAGTGATAGTGATGATATTTACTGAGCACTTATGCATCAGATACTGTGATATGTGTTTTATACAAATGATTACATTTGATGCAAACCCCACGGTACTATAATATTTTCTGTTATACAAATGAGGAAATTGAAGCTTAAATTTCTTAAGGAAATTAAGAAACATGCCAAAGTTTTACATGGCTGGTAAGTGGTGGAAGCAGGATTTGAATTGGGATATTTGAGTACAGGGTCTATACTGTGACTGGCTCATGCATGGAAGTGCTGCCCAGAAGGGTGGACTCTGGGTTTAGTGGAACGGGAGAGGCTGGTATGTGCTACTAGGAAATAAGACAGAGGCTCTGGGGATGTGGAGAAGGACCTGCTGAAACAATTGGTTGCACAGAATTTATTTTTGTCTATTACTGAAATACATGTGATGGTGAGCTGGCTCACTCTGGCCTCTTAAATGAGTGAAAGTCCTCACTTGGCTTTTGGAAATGTTTTTCTGGTGGACAGTGTTACATTGACAGATCCTCAAATGTCACTGCTGGGCAAACAACATCTATCCTTTGGCACCACTGGCAGCATCAATGATGGACGAAATTTATTAATGTAGCATCCATGGTGCTCTTAAGACGTGGCTGCTTTTATTAGTAAAACATATAATGGGTCCACTTACATTTGTTATGAAGGAAAAATAAAAACAGTTTCTCCTTGATCCTTTTGTATTTATTATTTTTTCAGAAATGACTAGAGTCTTGGCTTCAAAAAAGGATGAATGACTGCTTGGTGCTGACTCACCACTCAGCTGTGACTGCCTCTGGCCAAGAGGGAGGCTCAGGCAGGCATCTGCACAGTAGCTGCCTACCGTTAAGGTGGTGCTTGCTGGACTGTGACTGCTCAAAAGCCTCTCCTGCTTCTGACTCATGGCCTGGACTCTTCCATGGGTTCCTGTCTGCTTCTTATCAACGTTCACTGCAACCTTCCCTAGTCATAGGTTTTAAGCTTTTCCCTGCGCTCCCCAAATCCATTCCAGTCCCCTTGTCTTCACTGGCCTGTTTTCTCCTCCACTTACCATTACTCAATGGGGCAGAGAGTCAATTCTCACCTCTCTTTTCCTTGTCACTTTCACCGAGGCCCAAATGAAATGTTTTCCTCCTTCTTCTTGAATAGAGAAGGTGTTCAATAGCATTGTAGACTGAGAAGCCAGGAGGCACAAAGTCTGAATCCCAGCAGCCTTGATTTGATCAGATTTTTAAGGGCCATTCCAGCTCCAAGATGCTGTGATTAAATCTTGCCTGGATCATTGAACAAAGAAAAACTTTGCCATTGTGGGGTCACTAAGACATCTAAAATCTGACCACTTGGAGGAAGGAGGTGTGGATATTGACAGAGATGTTTACGTGTGGAGGGGAACCATAAGAAAGCTTATGAGCTAAGGCCACCTTCTTGGTGTGGTGGCCTAACTGTCCTAGGAGGTTGTCCTTTTCATTTCTTTTCAAGTCTGGGAAGCTAGCATGGCCCCACTTAACAACTCAGCAGGGGAAGTTTACCAATCATGTATCCATTTGTGTGGAGCTTCTGAAGGATGCTGGCCGTCCTGCAGCTGTATATGTTGCTTGGGGTCGGCATTAATCATTACCTAGTGAGCTCCAAACTCTCACTTACCTGAATGTGGCAATGTGCACAGACAAATCCATTTTTTTTCTTTTTCTTTTTTTTTTTTTGAGTCTCGCTCTGTCACCCAGGCTGGAGTGCATTAGAGTGATATTGGCTCACTGCAACCTCTGCCTCCCAGGTTCAAGTGATTCTCCTGCCTCAGCTTCCCGAGTAGCTGGGACTACAGGCACATGCCACCATGCCAAACTAATTTTTGTACTTTTAGTAGAGACGGGGTTTCGCCATGTTAGCCAGGCTGGTCTCAAACTCCTGACTTCAGGTAATCCGCCCACCTCGGCCTCCCACAGTGCTGGGATTACAGGCGTGAGCCACTATGCCTGGCCCAAAATCTTAAAGATAGGAAATTTATGCTAGGGTATCTTTGCTTTTCCCAGGCATTTAAAATTATTTATTTATTCATTCATTCATTACCATATCTGGAGAGCCAGAGAAATGCAAAAACATTGGTAGACTGCTGTCATCACCATCATCTCTAGAAAAGGTAAGAGGAAACCAATTTAGGGGTTGCCTGTGCTTGGGGGGTATTACTCAAGATATTTTTGCCCAGACTAATGTCTTGGAGAGTTTCCCCAGTGTTTTCTTGTAGTAGTTTCATAGTTTGAGGTCTTAGATTTAAGTCTTTAATCCAAATTTATTTGATTTTTATATAAGGTGAGAGATAGGGATCCAGCTTCATTCTTCTGAATATCGATATCCAGTTTTCCCAGCATCAATTATTAAAGAGACTGTCTTTTCCCCAATGTACATTCTTGGCAACTTTGTCAAAAATGAGTTCACTGTAGGTATGTGGATTTGTTTCTGGGTTTTCTATTCTGTTCTATTGGTCTATGTGTCTGTTTTTATGTCAGTACCATGCTGTTTTGGTTACCATAGTCTGCAGTATACTTTGAAGTCAGGTAACATGATTCCTCCAGTTTTCTTCCTTTTACTCAGGATAGCTTTGGCTATTCTAGTTGCTTTTTTTTTTTTATTCCATATATGTTTTAGGACATTTTTTCTATTTCTATGCAGAATCTCATTGGTATTTTGATAGAGATTACATTGAGACTGTATATTGCTTTAGGTAGTATGGATATCTAAACAATAGTGATTCTTCCTATCCATGAACATGGAATATCTTTCCATTTCTTTGTGCCCTCTTCAATTTCTTTCATCAGTGTTTTATAGTTTTAATTGTAGAGATCTTTCACTTCTTTGGTTAATTCCTAGGTATTTAATTTTGTTTGTAGCAATTGTAAATGGGATAGCTTTTTAAATTTCTTTTTCAGATTGTTCTCTGTTGGCATATAGAAATGCTACTGATTTTTGTATGTTGATTGTTAGGTTTTTCCAAATGTAAGATCATGTCATCTGCAAAAAAGGATAATTTGAGTTCTTTCTAATTTGGATGCCCTTTATCTCTTCTCTTGTCTGATTGCTCTAGCTAAGACTTCCAGTAGTATGTTGAATAACAACGGTGAAAGAGGGCTTCCTTATCATGTTGCAGATCTAAGAGGCTTTCCATTTTTCCCTATTCAGTATGATACTAACTGTGAGTCTGTCATATATGGCCTTAATTATGTTGAGGTATGCTCCTTCTATACCTTTTTTGAGGGTTTTTATCATGAAGGGATGTTGAACTTTATCAAATGCTTTTTCAGCATCAATTGAAATTATCATCTGGTTTTTGCCCTCCATTCTGTTGATAATGATGTATCACATTGATTGATTTGCATTTGTTGAACTATTCTTGCATCCCTGGGATAAATCTCACTTGGTCATGATGAATTATCTTTTTAATGTATTGTTGAATTTGGTTTGCTAGTATTTTGTTGAGAATTTTTGCATTACTATTCACTGGGGAGACCGGTCTGTAGTTTTCTTTTTTGATCTCTGTCTGGTTGTGGCATCAGGATAATACTAGCCTCTGAGAATGAGTTTGGAAGTATCCCCTCTTCCTCCATTTTTTGGGAAAATTTGAGTATTGGTATTAGTTCTTTAAATGTTTGATAGGATTTAGCGGTAAAGTCATTGGGTCCCAGGCTTTTCTTTACTGGGAGACTTTTTGTTACAGCTTCAATCTCATTGCTTTTTATTGGTCTGTTCAGGTTTTGGATTTTTTCGTGGTTCAATCTTGGTAGGTTGTGCATGTCTAGAAACTTACCCATTTTTTCTAGATTTTCCAGTTTATTGGCATATAATTGCTCATAGTAGCCACTAATCATCCTTTGAGTTTCTGTGGTAGCCGTTGTGATGTCTCATTTTCCATCTCTGATTTTATTTATTTGGGTCTTCTATCTGTTCTTCTTGGTTAGTCTAGCTAAAGTTTTGTCGATTTTGTTTATATTTTTCAAAAAAACAGCTTTTTTTATTGATCTTTTGTATTATTTTCTGTTTCAAATTCATTCAGTTCTGCTCTGATCTTTATTTCTTTTCTTCTACTAATTTTGGGTTTGGCTTGCTCTTGCTTTTCTAATTTAATTTGTTTATTTGAAGTTTTTCTTCTTTTTGATGTAGGTTGTTATAGCTATAAATTTCTCTCTTAGCACTGCTGTTGCTGTATCCCATAGGTTTTGTATGTAGTGTTTACATTATCCTTTGTTTCAAGAAATATTTCAATTTTCTTCTTAATTTCTTCATTGACCCACTGGTCATTCAGGAGCATATCATTTCATTTCCATGTGTTTGTGTAGTTTCCAAAAGTTCCTTTTGTTACTAATTTGTAGTTTTATTCCATTGTGGTCAGATAAGATGATATTTTTTAATTTTTTGAATGTTTTAAGTCTTGCTTTGTGACCTAACATATGGCCTATTCTTGAGAATAGTCCATATACTGAGGAGAAAAGTATGTACTCTGCAGCCATTAGATAAAATGTTCTGTAAATATCTATTAGGTTCATTTGTTCTATAGTGAAGATTAAGTCCAATGTTTCTTTGTTGATTTTCTGTCTGGGACATCTGTCCAATGCTGAGAAGTGGGGTGCTGAAATCTCCAACTCTTATTGTATTTGGATCTATCTCTCTCTTTAGCTCTAATAATATTTGCTTTTTATATCTGGGTGCTCCAGTGTTGAGTGCATACCAATAGCTTTTTAAAGAGGCAGAAGATGGGACTAATATCAGAAACCTCTCTATTCCCTTTAAAGTACAGTATAATGGGAGTTGCCATGCGCAGAAAAATCTTTTTCTCATTATCTTTAAATTTTATCAGAATTGAACAACCATTTCAGGCTTATTTATATATAGATATCTAAATCTTTCCACCCCACTATGGTCAGAATATTGGTGTTCCCGCCACCAAATTCATATATTGAAACTTAATCCTCAATGCAGTAATATTAAGACATGGGGCCTTAGATAGGTGATTAGGTCATGAGGGCTCTGCTGTCATGAATGGGACTAGTGCCCTTATAAATTAGGTTGAAGAGAGCACCCTAGCCCCTTCAGCCAAGAATGCAGCAAGGGGCACCATCTATGAATCTATGAGTGAGTCTTCTATAGACACTGAATCAGCTGGTGTCTTCATCTTGGACTTCCCAACCTCCAGAATTGTGAGAAATATATTTCTATCATTTATAAATTATTCAGTGTACAGCACTTTGTTATAGCAGCCCGAATGGGCTGAAACATACCCTATTGTTGTAAAATCTGCTGCCCAGAGTCAACAAAACACAGAAAACAGCCATCCCCTTCTCCTCCCTTATCCTCTTACAGAATTCTGCCTTAACAAGACCCACTTTTATCAGTATCTGTTGTTCCCATATAATTTTCCTGCACAGCAATGTTCTCCACTCCGTAATAGGTGAAGCTTTTTTTTTTTTTTTTTTTTTTGAGACAGAGTCTTGCTCTGTTGCCCAGGCTGGAGTGCAGTGGCACAATCTCGGCTCACTGCAAGCTCTGCCTCCCAGGTTCACGCCATTCTCCTGCCTCAGCCTCCTGAGTAGCTGGGACTACAGGCGCCCGCCACCACAGCCAGCTAATTTTTTGTATTTTTTAGTAGAGATGGGGTTTCACCATGTTAGCCTGGATGGTCTCCATCTCCTGACCTCGTGATCCTCCTGCCTCGGCCTCCCAAAGTGCTGGGATTACAGGCATGAGCCACCGCGCCTGGCCTTCGGTGAATCTTTTTTTAAGGACACAAAAATTCTCTTGTGCCCTGTGATATTAGTGAACTGGATTTTTTAAGCCCATTGATAGTGTTTCCCATACTGAAACTCTAGGTTAGGCCATTACTAAATGGGGTTTAAACCAATTCAAGTTGGTTTAACATTCAAAAATGAAACAATTATCATCAACATAGTTCCCCACATTAACAGAAAAAAGGAGAAAAAATATATGATCATCTCGACAAAAGCAGAAAAATGTTTATCAGATTTCAATGCCCATTTTTGGTTAAAAACTCTCAGCAGTCTAGGAATAAAAGAAAACTTCCTCAATCTAATAAAAAGCAGCTACAAAAAAAATTACAGGTAACATCATGCTTAATTGTAAAATAATGAATTCTTTCCCCATAAGATGAGAGAAAAGACAGAATGTCTGTGCTCACAATTTCTATTCAACATTGTCATGACAGTCATAGCCAGTGCAATGGGAGAGGAGGAAATAAAAGGCATATTTATCAGAAAAACGTAAGTAAAACTGTCTTTATTTGTAGATGACATGATCATCTACATAGAAAATAATGAAGAATCTACAAAAAGTCTATGCAATCAAATTAATTTAGCACATTTTTAGGATAAAAGCTCAATATACAAAATTAAAATTTATTTCCATATACTAGCAGTCAAAAATTATGTTAAATTTTACATTTACAACAGCATCAAAATTATAAGAAAAGAAGAATAAGTGTAATAAAAGGTAAGCAAGATCTCTACTAACCTAACACTTTGAAACATTGCTGAGAAAAATGAACAAATACCTAAATAAATTGAATGACATACCGTGTTCATGGATTGAAAGACTTGATAATTGTTGAGATGTCAGTTCACCCCAAGTCTATTCATATATTCAGTGCAAATCCAAATAAAATCCAATCACACTTTAAAAAAATTTTTCTTAAAACATATTTTAATAGAGACAGGACCTCCCTATGTTGCCCAGGTGAGTCTCAAACTCATGGGCTCAAGGAATCCTCCTACCTCAGCCTCCCGAAGTGCTGGGATTACAGGCATGAGCCACTGCACCCATCCCAGACTGTTTCTTTGTGAGAAATTGGAAAACTGGTCCAAAAGCTATTAGAGATCCAAAGAATCTAAAATAGCCAAAAAATTTTGAAATAAACAAGGTTGGATGACATATTACTCGATTTCAATACTTTCTGCAAAGCTACACTAATCAGGACTAGAATATTGGCAAAATTACAGCAAAATATGTTAATATAACAGAGTAGAGTCCAGAATAGACCCAGATATATATAGCCAAGTGATTTTTGGCAATAGGACCAAGGCAATTCAATGGCAATTCAATTCAGTTAAAAGAATAAGTCTTTTTAGCCAACAGAATAACAGGATAAATCTACAAACCTTGATTCTTCACCTTATACCTAACAGAAAAATTAGTTTGAGATTGATCATAGACCTAAACATAAAATCTAAAGCTATAAAGCTTTTAGAAGAAAACGAAAGAATATTTTCATGTCCTTGAGGTAATCACAGATGTCTTAGACAAGACATAAAAAGCATGAAGTAGAGAAAAATGATACATTGTCTTTCATCAAATTAAAAACTACTTACTAAAAGACACCATTAAGAAAATAAAAAGCCAAGCCAAGAATAGGAGAAAACATTTGAAATATTTATATTTGCTAAAGGGCTTACAGTTGAAATATACAAAGAATTCTTACAAATCAGGCTGGGCAAGGTGGTTTACTCCTGTTATCTCAGCAATTTGGAAGGCCATGACAGGACGACAGCTTGAGGCTGGGAGTTCAAGACAAGCCTGGGCAACATAGCGAGACCCCATCTCTTAAATAAAAAATTAGCCAGGCATGGTGGATCATGCCTGTAGTCCCAGTTATCAGGAGGCTGAGGCAGGAGGATCACTTGAGCCCAGGAGTTGGAGGCTGCACTGAGCTTTGACTGTGCCACTGCACTCCAGCCTGGGCAATGGAGTGAGACCCTGTCTCTTAAAAAAATTCTTACAAATCAATAACAAAAAGACAATCCAATTTTTTAAATGGATGAAAGACTTGAATAGACACCTCACAAAGGAAGACATACAGTAGTCACTTGAGCATATTCTGAGAACAGAAAAAAATTCTCAGAATTATTAGTCATTAAGGAAATGCAATTAAAAATGAGAAAATTTTATACCCCATAGAACAGCTAAAATTATATATTTATGATAAGATAACATCAAATATTGGTGAAGTTGTGGATCAACTAGAACTATCACACATTGCTGATGAGACTGTAGATTGCTTCGATAACTTTGGAAAACATTTTGGTAGTTTCTTAAAAAGTTAAACATTAAAAAATATGTAATTTTTTAAAAAAGTTAAACATATACCTACTCTGTTACCCAACAATTCTACTTTTAGGTGTTTACCCAAGAGAAATGAAAACAAAAAAGACTTGTGCAAGAATGTGTATAGCATTTTTATTCGTAATAGTAAAAAATAAGAAATAACCAAATGTCTATCCACTGGACCAAGTATTCCATTTATATACAAGGCATCATTACTCAGCAGTAAATAAGAATGAATTACCAAAGCACAACCCCGTGCTTGAATTTCCAAAAAAACATTATGTTGAGTGAAAGAAGTCATACACTAAAGAATACAAAAATCTATTTAAGAAAATTTTTTAGAAATGGGAATCTTGGTATGTTGCCCAGGCAGGTCTTGAACTCCTGGCCTCAAGTGATCCTCTCACCTCAACCTCACCAAGTAGCTGGGATTATAGGTGTGAACCTCCGTGCCTGACAGAATACATACATTGTGATTCTATTTACATAAAATTGGGGAAGACAATGATAAGAATATATAGTGGTAGGAATCAGAACAATAATTGCCCTGGGTGTAGAAATTGACTGGAAGGAGATCTGAGGGAGCTTTCTGGGGGTGATGGAGATGTTCCATATCATAATTGGGGGTATGAGTTACATGGGTGTGTACATTTTTCAAAAATCATCAATTTACATAAAATCTGTGCATATCAGATTTGTAATTCTAAGGTAAAATTTACAGAATTTTAAGCCAACACAAAGGGAAAAAAATTACTCAATCCCTTAGGTTATTATATAAGTATTTTCTAGAATAGCTGCTCCATCAGAACACATTCTTACCTCTCAGATTTTCAGTTCCCTCTTTCTTCCTAGCATCTGCAAATTTCTTTTTCTTACAGAGACTTCCATAAACTTATAAAAAACATGTACTGCTTTATTTGATCTGGCCTTTTTAGTTGTTTATCATGAGATAGTTTAAGATTATTCTAGTAAACCAGAAGTCTTTACCTTCTCTAATGATTTTGTCTATCTCTTGCCTTGTACTTGAAAAGTATACACACACATACATGTAAAAAAGTCTGTTTTTCTTCAGTAGCTTTAAGATTTCTGTCTTGGGTTAAAACCTGTGCTTTAAAACCATCATCCAAAATCTGTTAGTGGACAAGCCGGGCTGTATATCAGGAATACCTAAAGATAGTTAACTATTATCAGTTGAGTCTCTCTCAGTCCTATACCTGAATGTTGCTAACATGCTGCCCAGTATAGAATTGAAAAAGAAAGCAGGAAACACTGTCATGAAAAACAACATATCCTTTGGGAGGCTGACAGATGGCTATGTCATCTTCTATTCTTGTTTATCTTCTATCTTCTGCCTTATATTTTTCTCCTGTGGTTAGAAGCCATGTTTAACTTTCCTCAAAATGTCACATCTAACCTGTTTACTTTATTGAGTTCTGGAAAGTGACTGATCCTAAATAATTAAAATTAGATGAATCGACATAAAAAGAATCCAGTTTCATTTGTAATGTGATTCGAAAGCCTCTAACCACAATCAAAATCAAAGTTAGGATTGCCACTGCTATTTAAATGTAGCTATCTTGTGCAAATGTGACGTTTAGAAGTTCTTTATCTACTATGGGAATTTCCTAAAGTAAATTTAAACTTCCCATGATATTGTCACGCTGAAATTCTCATTGGCACTGAAATATTTAAAGAAGGGAAAATGGCACCCAAACTGTGAGAATTATTATATCACTTATGTGAGAAGTGTGCTTCTACTAATGGCATGTGCTAATCAGGATGTGAGATCGAAATATATTTACTGTGTTTTCCCACATTGATGATGATGATGATGATGATGATGATGATGATGATGTGTGTTGGTTGGAGGAAGAGAATGAGAGAGAGAGTCAAAGAGAGAGAAAGAGAAAGGAAGGGAGGGAGAGAGGGACATACATTGAAATATATATAGGTACACTTATGAGAAAAAAATGGTGTATATGTATATGTATTTTATGAGAAAGTTTTATTTCCTATATTCTAAGATGTACCTTTCCTCTCTGTTTTAACATTTACAACTATATATGTGCTTTATAGAATGGCTTATTTTTCCCCAAATATCTGTTATTGAATCAACAATATGTTTCACAAATGATAACCTCCAAATCATGGAAGTACTGTGTTGTCACATAGATAATTGGGACTTTTGGAGGATGGGTGGCATACTGGTGTGCATTTCATCAGTGACCCATATGTTTTTACCTAGGAAACAAGTGGGGAATTATACACAGAATTAACATTTTCTGTTTATCAGGTTGTATTTTCTGGGGACAACTTTAAACATGCTTAGATAATCCAACACCAGAAAAAACAAATACGATAAATATTTATTTTAATTAAAACATACCTTAAATACAGCTGAAATGGTTTGGCCAAAGTGTCAAAAAAAAAAAAAAAGATGTGCTAAATAAACCAAAATGTGACCTTTTTTATGGCATTCCGAGATACATAAATTGAATGTCTCTAAGAGAAACATTGAAGGGTAGAAACAAGGAAACACATTTTAAAACCTGGGAAACCTGAAGAATAAATCTTCCATCTTTTATTCAGTCTGTCAAAGTATCATACACAGTGTCTTGCACATAGCTGATGTCCAAATGCTTTATGATTGCAAATATTTATTTTATTTTTTATTTTATTTTAAGTTCTGGGATACCTGTGCTGAACGTGCAGGTTTGTTACATAGGTATACATGTGCCATGGTGGTTTGCTGCACCTATCAACCCGTCATCTAGGTTTTAAGCTCTGCATGCATTAGGTATCTGTCCTAATGTTCTCCCTCCCCTTTCCCCCTACCCCCTGCAAATATTTACTTAGTGAAGTGTATTTACCTGTCAACAGACGAGAATAATTTCAGTTTTTCCATGAAAAAAAATCAATGTGCAATGCTAATGACTTGTCTGATGCAGGTATGATGAGATGTGCTTCCTAAAATGTTCCCTTCATGCTATTGGCCACTACACTAAAGTAGAGATATAGCCAAAAATTTGGAAATATATGCATGTGGAGAGATATATTTGAGAAACCTGACTTGATCCATTATCTCAAGATTGATTTCTCTCTAGTTAGAAAAGGCTAATAACTAAGCTGCTGAAATCATGCACCATGCCACACATTATTTTTGTTTTAGAGACAGGATCTCATTCTGCAGCCCAGATTGGAGAGTAGTGGTGCAATTCTAGCTCACTGCAGACTTGAACTTCTGGGCTCAAGTGATCCTCCTGCCTCGGCCTCCTAGAGCATTGGGATTATAGGCATGAACCACCGCACCCGGCCACATATTGTTTTTACGCTTGATCTTAGCCAAAAGGCCAAGAAGCGATCACACATTGTTTTTTAATACCAACTTCATAAGTTGATTCAGTAAAGTGACAATAGGACAATAGAACATAAAAACTGATTAAAACGAAGTATAGACAATTTGAAAACATTAACTCCAAATTGAAAATATAACTAGTAGAATGTAGGTGGTGGCTTTTCTTATCTCAATTTTTAGCACTAACTGCCCAAAATGTCTACCAAAATTAGCATATCAGAAATAAGACCATATGTTAAAATGACATAACTTGAGACCTCACTGCTTTATATATAAATGTGGGAGCTTTTTTACCGTAATGACAAATAGAAGAAAAAATGGGATGTTAAATTTCCAAAAGTGAGCTAACTGACTAGATCCAGCCATTTTAACTAGTCTGTGGGTTGCAAAGTTGTGAATTCTCCAGTTCTGTTCAGTTCAATTCAATTCACTCAGCTCCTCCCACATATTCAAACTTTCTAATAGGAGGTAACTACTAGCCTTTGATTTATTCCCTACTTCCCCATAATTTTTTTGGTTTTGTGGTTTTGTTTTATACCTCAAATATTTAAAAAAGTCAGAAATACATCTGATTATTTTGGAAAAAATAGATTTCTAATAGATAATTCACAGTCACATGTTTTATCAAAATTTGTCTTTTTGCCAGCACTATAATCTATATTATGAATATATTTCCTTTATCTTTAACCTGGCTTGGTGGCTTACAGCATATTCTCTAGAAACAGTGTGTGTCTTTCTCTTTCCTTTTATCCCTAACCAAACGTTCTTTGTTGTGTGGGAATCCACCTGACCACGGGTTTCCATATCAACTTAAGTATCTTTTTAAAATGCACTTCTGTTCACCTCAGACTACTTTCAGCATGTTTCCTCCTACCACGTCCATGATGTCTAGGAGATCATTCCAAATTCATTTAATTTATTGTCCATGAATTTGGATGTAAATGAATACCACTTGAGAACAAACAGAGGCTATTCAGAGCTGGCTATAACAAGGGAGCCAGCCACCATCACTGGCGTTTGGCAGAGACTCAGAGGCAGGCAGGGGAGTAGGAAAGTTTTATAGTGAAAGAAAGAAATTTCAGGTATGCTCTGCTTGGAGGTTGTTGGCATGAGGAAGCTAGAGGTAGGCTGACTAGAAGCAGAGCATCTTATGTGATTGGTTCGGAAAGCATATTTGGCTTTCTCTGGCTGGTCCTGAGTTGGAAGCAGGGATAAAAAAGGAGGGAATCTGACAGTCATTGACCAAGTTCTGACCTTTCTGGAAGGATTGCTAGAGGTTGAGGTTTTGCTTGCTGCAGAGCTTGAGCATCAGAGTTCTATTGACATATGTGGTCTGACCATTTTTTATTTGTATATTCAATCTCTCAAGTGTCAAAAATGTGATGTAATAGCTGTTTGGACCAGTCCCAGGGATGGCTGGGAACTGGGTAAATTCACTGGCACACAGCATAAGAGTTGGGCCAGCTAACTGAGCATCCTGATGTCTGGCAGCCAAATCTAAATAGACAGTGGACAAAATGACACGGATAGGAAAGTAGATGGAATGACCCTAAAGACTTCCTTCAACTGTAAGCCCTGCAAGATTCTGTGAGATAATTGTTGGGAAAGGCCGTCACGTGCAAGCGGTCCTGAGACATCTGCCTGGACACATAAGCATGAGCTTTGGGCCTGGAGCACTTCTTTACTGAGAGTTTAAAGAGCCCTCACAGCTGTGCTGGGCTTATCACCTTGTGTGGGAATACCTCCCTTTTCACTCAATATGGACTCCTGTGTTTGCCTAAGCTGGTGTATCATTTGGTACCTGGCCGACCACACTACGATATCTATTCCCAACATGGAGAGAGCTGAGTCCTTTGCTTGCAGCATGAGGGGAGTGTGTGCAGATACTCACCCCGCATCAGCTGCTGGCCATGGGGGAGTAATGCCCACTGTTGAAACTGATCTTGCTCTGTCTCTTCTCTGTGTGAGCAAAGCATTGTTCTATCCAGTGCCTGCATGAGGCTGGTGTTTTTGGTGACCTCAAACCATGGAATGGGCTGACATCCTGGGACCATTGCTCCTGGTGGAGTGCACTTCTCCCCTGAAGGTCTGGAAATGATAACAGGTGTCATTTGCTTGACAGTTGTCATCAAAGAAATCTGGCTTCAGAAAGAGGGGACCCAGGCATGAGAATATGATTCAAGAGGAGGATTTAAACCCCAGTTTTCAGAATACTAGCAGTATTCTGAACTAAGTATCCAGTAACTTAGGAGGATAAGAACCCGTATTGGATCTGGGGTATAAGGTTCTAAGAATCAAGGCAGAATCCAAGTACTATTAATAGAACAAGGACCCGCTTAATGCTGAGCCACTCTAAACTCCTCCTGATTAGAAATTAAGCAAGCCGTAAGCCAATTTATGTGAGATCGTGCTGCCTGGCAGATACCATCACAAGCCTTGACCTCTGCCCTTAGACCCAGTGCCCACCTTCCTGCAAGAGACCGTTGGGATTGCATTGTTCATGCCGTTCTTCCTCCTGGAACTCCACCATTTGTCCCTGCAGACACACTCTTACCTCTTTCCAGAGTGTTCCTGCAGCTCCAGGGGCATCCTCCAGCTCCCCAGTTCCCTCTGCCCTCTTCTTCAATGTCTTCTCCCTCCTCTTGCCCTTGGCCTTAGCTCAGTCAGGTGCCTCCCCAAGGTCTTTTCTCACCAGCCCTTCTGAGGGGCACATACTCCTTCTCTCACACTCCCCAGAGTCCTTTGTCTTCACTTGTCACCATTGCTGCCCCTTCCTTTCAGAACAAAGCTCCTCCTGTGAAGCTTAGACCTCTTAGCTGTAGCACCTTCTATGCTGCCTTTAAAACCGCCTTCCACTGTTTAAATCTTTTGATATCTTTAAATTTCTCTTAAGATAAAGATTAACATCCTTAATGAGGTCTTGTGAGGCCCTAAGTGAGCTGGTCCTGGCCAACAGCATTGACTGAGGATAAATAAATTCCCAGAATTCGTATGCCTTTATGTCACAGAGAGTTTATTTTTAACCTAAATGAACATGCACCCTACCTCTAAGTGCAGAGAGCTCCGCCTCAGGTTCATGGGCCATGTACTCATTTATCCAACAAATACTTATCAGGTGCATATCTCTCATAGGATGCTGAGGTAGACAATGAGGATGTGGCAATACAACAAGCAGATGTGCTCCTTGCCTCTCAAGGAGTTAAGACTCTGTCTGAGTGGTGCTCAAATTTCAGGATGCAGCAGAATGACATGAAGCCTGCTTAAAACCCTCCATGCTGGGCCCCACATCCAGAGTGTGGGATTCAGTAAGTCTGGAGGAGTTACATCCCCGACAATTTCCCAGGAGATTCTGATGCTCTTGGTCCAGGTACCATGTACTTTGAGAACCCTTGCTCTAGCAGAGCACACAAGTAAAACATAACTCATTGCATATTATATTATTATTAAAAATTACATTTAGATGCTGAGAAGCACGGGGTACAACCACCTAAGTCAGCAAAGGCTGTCTTTGAGCTCAGCCTTAGAAATGGGGTAGAATAGAATGGAATAAACAGAAGAGAGAAGAATATCATTCCAGGCAGAGGATCTTTGTGAAGGGTGGGAGAGTTTGATGCATTTTGGGAATTGAAAGGAGGCCTTGGCTGGAGGACAGAAAAAGAGTGAGAACTTGGTCTCAGATAAAGTTGGACTCTTTTATCTTTCTTTACCAGTCTATTTAAATCACAAGGGGAAGGGAGAAAAGGAAGGAAGCCCAAGAGAATGGGAGCAGTGGGCCATGGAGGAGAGAAAATGCATCCAGAGCAAGAAATTTGCAGCAACCTCAGGAATTCCACGCACATGGCGGAGGGGACTGGGCAGAGGGGATAATCAAGAGGAGATAGTGTGGGTTGAGTCTTGAGGCAACCCCCACATGCAGTGTTTCATTTCATCCTCACAAATGCCCTGTAAGATGGGTACTATTATTCCTATTTTGCCCACGAGGGAATCAAGACGCAGAGGGTTTACATAATTTTTTTTTTTTTTTTTGAGACAGAGTCTGGCTCTGTTGCCCAGGCTGGAATGCAGTGGCATGATCTTGGCTCGCTGCAACTTCTGCCTCCTGGGTTCAAGTGATTCTCCTGCCTCAGCCTCCCAAGTCGCTGGGATTACAGGCTCCCGCTAATTTATTTTTTATTTATTTTTTATTTTTAGTAGAGACGGGGTTTCGCCATGTTGGCAAGGCTGGTCTCAACCTCCTGGCGTCAGGTGATCTGCCCGCCTTGGCCTCCCTAAGTGCTGGGATTACAGGTGTGAGCCACTGCGCCCTGCCCTACATAATTTTCTTAAAGCTACGCAGTTTTACTCTGTGCTAGGCACTGTATTAAGTGCTTTCCATGAGCTATTTTTTCAAACCCTATAACTGCTTGAGTTTGACACCATTATCCCCTTTTTACGAGGAAAGAGTCTTAGAGAGGCAAAATAACTGATTCAAACAGAAGAGGTGAAAGTGGGATTTGAACTCATTCAGGACTTTCTCAAAGGACCCAAATTCTGGGCTCTTAACACTCTTCTGCCTCACATGCTGAAGCGGGATGGATTGGGTTTACCCACAGTTGCTGGCTTTTTCAATGACACACACTGGAGAGGAAGAAAGAGAAGTACATAGCACAGAGAAAAGAGGGTCAAGACAGGGAAGGACTTAGAAAGCAACAGGGACAATGAGACACCAGATGGCACTGATTGACATTTATGAATGCTGTTCCCCTGAGGTGACCTATGTAGAGCTCCGTACCCGGCTCAAAGCAGAGAGGAAAAGGGAAAAAAAAGTCATAGCCTCTGTTCTTGAAGATTCAAGGGAAGATGTAAATAGCTATTATGTGCATGCGAACACAAATGGAAAAGTGACACTATATAAATAGACCAAATTAAAAATGCATAAGGGCTAAGGGCATTGCTAAAACTGGATTGAGGACCTGGAGACAGGGGTGTTAGCCAGGGAATTGAGTATGAGCTTGAAATTGCGGTTGGTTATTGGGAAAGAAGGTGCAGGTGGGAGGAATGTTTTAAAGATACTGCTAGTGTAGACCTTGGACCAGCAGCACACATATCATCTCAGAGCTTGTTAAAAATGCCTAACTCTCAGCATCCTGACCTCCCTCCTAAATTAGGATCTACATTTTATCAAGGGCCCCAGGTAATTGTACATACCTTGAAGTTTATCAAGCACTGATGGAGCATGCAAAAGAGATGAGTTCTTGCCTCTTGTCAAGCAAGCACAAGAAATATCCCAGAATGCTAAGGAGCCAGACATTTGCTGAGGAGGGAAGAAGCTCTTTAATGCTTCTTTTTGTGCTTCCCTAACATTACCTGGTCCTGCTCGAATATTGAACTTCGTAAGCGATAAAAGGTGAGCCCCAACATGTGGAACCATAGAACATGTAGTTAGCATCCTACAGGTCTAATGTGAGTGATTTAAGGATACTTCAGCTGGCTGATCCTGACTGTCTTGACCCTGTTTTGAAGCTCAAAATCCCTATAAAGGCCAGGGAATGGAGGCCTGTAGGAACAGTTGTCTGAGAAATGAGAAGATTGCACAATGCAGCACAGGTAACCCAGAGAGCCTGCTCCTGTGGATCGGTTGTTTCATATTTCAAGATGATAGTAGCTTGAAATTGGCCATGGTGGAAGTACGTCCACAACAGAAATCAGCCAACAATACAAATGAAGGCTTTATTTTTTTCAGAGAGCCAGCTTACCAGCATGCAACTGTGGAAAACTAGACAAGTCAGAGGAAAGCCTTGGAGTTAGTGTGTATACAGTATGGAAGCAGAAATTCAGGAAAGGAAGGAAGGGATAAGAGAAGTCTTAGAAAAGATGCTATTAGACAACTTGGGCAATATAGTGAAACCTTGTCTCTACAAAAAAAAAAAAATCAAAAATAAAATTAGCCAAGTGTGATGGCACACACCTGTGGCCCCAGCCACTTGGGAGGCTAAGATGGGAGGATTGCTTAAGCCTGGGAAGTGGAGGCTGCAGTGAGCCAAGATTGTGCCACTGCGCTCCAGCCTGTGTGACACTGGGTGACACCTTGTCTCCAAAAAAAAAAAAAAACGCTGCTAGAGATAACATGTTCCAAGCTCTCGGGAGTGACTTGGATTAATCCATTAACCTCATTTCTAAAACTCCTTTTCACAGGCCTGTCTCAGGAGTGGAAGTTCATTGAATCGTTGAAGGTTTGAAGAGAATGGAAAAGATGTGGAATAATACAGAAATTTAATCATTGGCTGACTAGAGAAACATAGAAAGATGAGTGGGCAGCTGTTGTTCTATGGGGTAAAATGTCCTCCTCAGTCCTCATCTGCTCAGCTATCCGCCTGGAGAAGGTGGATGATGGCTTGAGCTAGGGTTGGAGCTTTTTGTCAGTCACATGGATATTGTCTTTATTATTAGGTTTGTACTCAAACCAGCCTTTTCTGGTGTCTTAGATTTACCCTTGTGCTTCTGATATTATCATTACTTCCGGTTAAAAAGCACGTTTTTGATTAAGAAGTGAGTCATTGGAAAGCATCTCTGTCTCAATTACTGTTAAGTGCATTTAATAAGCCGTATTCCTGAAGTTCTCCCCTTCAGCCTGGCCACTTTTCTTAGTTTTTGTTGAAAAAATCTTGAACTTTTCCATCTCCGTGGCTTTGCTTTTTCTCTGCCTCTTATTTGGGATGCCATTCCCTTTTCTAGCCTATTGGTCAACTCTACCCAGACCTCAAGGCCAAATACTACCTTTTCCCGGAAGCCTTCCCTGATTACTCCAGCCTTGTAGTAACTAACCCCTTTCTCCATTCAAAACTTTGCCTGGACAAAATTTTGGGGGGATTGTGCCCTATACTTTTTTCAAATGAATATTAGGGAGTGGACCATCCATTGCAGAATTCCAGCTATCAAGAATTACAACACCCAACAACTGCCTGCAGGAGGGCACTTGAGAAAAATAATACACACTTCCTCTTCACAAACCTTCTCTCCACTTTCAGGTTCCCTGGCAGTCTTCTAACTATGCCCCCTCTGTACCAGTTAGCATTCTGCTCTTTGTTGTCCCAAAACTAGACATTGTGACAATTGCAATGGCACCTGTGGCCCTCCTTTCATCGTGGCAGCTAGCTCAAGCCAGCAACTTACTTTGGTTCCAATCAGAATCTTTGCCTTTAGATAATCAAATTGCACAAAACCTAATGGAAATAACCAATGGTAATCTGCATACACAATACAATAGGAACAGGCTTACCCTTACTGGGGTAAGGGGAAAAGTAAATGTCCTGATAATTTTTAATAAGTCTCTAATTAGTTGAACAGAAAGAGATATAGTTTCAAGAACTGGAGAGAAGGCAGTAGGACAAATATTCCCAGAGAGGCTTCCTGCCATTCTATGCTACCCACAGCAGCACAGCTGGGTGGAAAGGTGGCCAGGTAATGTGGACATTTTTCTTATGTGTGGGGGGCTTTTTCCTTGCAGGGAGGACTTTTTGTCACCAGGTGCATCAGGCAGTGTTCAGACTATATTTGATCACACAGGGACATGAACAGATCACTGGAAGAACTTCTAATTATAAACATAGTGTTTACTTTCCTGGCCTTGTGTCATCAGATTTTCTTTTCATTTATATGAAACAGGAGACATCAGCTTTGAAGACCTGCTGACCCTTTAATGAAAAGAAATGTGGTCGTGAGTTGGTTGCTTTTTATTTCTGTTTCCATGAATTCCCTAAATCAAACATCTCAAACTCACATTGGAGGTGAGATTCACATCCTACTTTCTACCAGAGAAGATCCATAAATTAGCACAGGATAGGAATCTGGCCCTGACTATGCAGGCAGGGCAGAGCGACAAGTTCAGCATAGGTCTCACACTCTCACGATTGTTCCCTGCTTTGTTTGGCCAAAGTTAGGTTGTTTTCCATTGTATTGGCATAATGTGATACATAGTCAGTCCACTGATGCCCAGGGTAGAAGCTGCTTAGCTGCGTATCCTCCCTCTTCTTCTGCCAACTCACACATATCCTAATTTATTTTTTTCAGTGTAACTCAGCAGAATGTGGAGATGATTTGTCACATGCTAAGAATTTTTTCTCAGTTTATTGCTCAGAAGATGTATTATACAATCCTTTGGTGGTTTTTTAAGACTGTGAAAGCAGTAAGTTGAAAATAAGCAATAGCAAAGATGACTAAACTCTTTGTTTCTTCTCCCCCCTCATCCAAACACTCTCAGTAATCAAAATATGGAATAAACCTTCCTTTGGAACAGATAAAAACAAAATTCTTTAAAACCATTTTATTTTTCTTAGAATCAATCCATTAAAATTATAATTCATTTGTGGGCTGTAGATAAACGTTATGGTTCTTGGCCTTTGGAAGTCTGAATTTCAAAAGGAGAGAGAAGATAAGCATGAAGAAGATATTAAAGACACCTGGCTGAAGCTCCTGTGTTTATGAGCTCCAATATATACAGAATGGGCAACCTGCGTATGCTTAGAAGATGGGAGCTGGGGAAAGCAGTGACTGGCTAGGGGGTGTTGGCCCAGGAAGGAGTTTATTCTTGTGCTGGGAGTCAGGTGGTGGTGTGCTGGAAAGATTTTTTTTTTTTTTTTTTTTTTTTCTGAAAGGGAATGCCTAAAGAGATTAGAAGAAAAGGAGAAACATGATTTGGCAAGAAAGATTAGAGATTATATTCCTGGAAGAGCCCTAAACTGTATGACTGGGGAGGGAGAAAGAGAAAGAGAGAAAAGAAACTATAACAATTTTAGCCATTCTACTGGCTCTCGTAATTTTATTTGCATTTTTCTCTTACTCTCTTCATACATTTATTGGCTGCATAGATAGCCTCTTTTGTGTAGTGCCTATTTGCATCTTTCATCCATTTTTATATTGGCTTGTCTGCCTTTTTCTCATTGATTTATAGGAATTCCTATTTAACCTGGATCTAAGCCCCTTATTGCATAAATGTATTGTAAATATTTTCTTCCATAAGTTTGCTTATCTTTTCAACCTCTTAATATAACCTTTGTTGAGGCAAAGATGTTGTTGTCCAATTTATCGTTATCCTGTGGTTAGTGTTTTTTGTTTAAGAAATCTTTGCTTATCTCAAAGTAATCAATGTATTATTCAATGTTATATTCTAGGAATTTGATTTTTAAACTTGCCCATTTAGATCTATGATTCACTTAGAATTGATTTTTGTAGATGGTGTGAGATGGAGTCTTTATTCATTTTTCTTATATGGTTATCCAATTGATTCAGCACAATTTATTGAAAAGGCCATGATTTCTTCAATATTATTTGGGGTGACATTTGGTAAAATCAAGTATACATATACGTGTGGGTCATTTTCTGGACTCTATTTGTCTTACCTTGCACCAATACAACACTGTCTAATTATTATAGCTTCCTAATAAATCTTGATATTCAGTAGTTTAAGTCTTTCAGCTTTGTTGCTCTTTAAGGTTACTGTAGTTATTCATGGCCTTTTGTATTTCTATGTAATTTTAAAATCAGCATTTTGATTTACAAACACACACAGCTGGCAATTTGATGGCATCGCATTGCATTTAAAAATTAATTTAGGTTGAATTGACCTCTTTATAATGTTAAATCTTTTGACTCAATAGAGTTAAAAGAGATGTGTTCATGAAGTGGAGAGAAATGACATATCTTTCCATTTATGAGCTCAACTGGTCACGTTATATTATCCTCTACATATTGCTGTATTCTACTCTCTAACATTTTGTTTAGGATTATTGCATCTATGTTCAAGAGAGATTAGCTTACATTTTTCTGTCTTTTAATAGTCTTGTTAGGTTTTGATATAAATGTTATGCTGTCCTCCCGAAAAGAGTTGGGAAATTTCCCCCCTTTTTTCTCTTCTCCAGAAGAGTTTGTGTAATGTCGATATTATTTACTTCTTAAATGTTTTGTTAGATTTACTAAGGAAGCTAATGGATCTAGAGACTTCTTTTTGTGGGAAATATTTGTATTATACATTCAGTTTATATAATAGATATGAAATTATTCAGCTTCTATTTATTGTTGTGTTGGTTTTGGTAAATTGGGTTTTTGTAGAATTTTTCCCTTTCATCAGCATCTTTACAGATCTTGATATAAAATTGTTTATAATATCTTATTTGTTAAATATCTGAAGGAAATGATGTCCCTTTTTCATATCTGATATTGGTAATATATGCTTTCTCTCTCTTTTTAAATCAATCAGTTTTACTATAAGTTTATAAACTTTATTAGCTTTTTTTTTTCAATAACCTCTACTCCAACAGAGATCATTATTAGCTTTTGTTGAAAGAACAACCTTTAGGCTTTGTTGCTTTTATTTATTTATTTATTTTCTATTTTACTAATTTCTGCCCTTATTTTTATAGTTTCTTTTCTTTGGTTTTCTTAGCTCTTAATTTTTTTTTCCCCTAATTTACTGAGAAAGATTTTCTGTTTATTCATTTGCAATCTTTACTTTTTTTTTCTAATATATGTGTTTAAGGCTTAGTGACATCCTGTAAGTTTTGAGATGTTATATTTTCTCAATTTGGTTTGAAACATTTTCTTATTTCCACTGTAATGTCACCCATATGCCATGGATTATATTGCAAACATCTGGGAGTGTTCTAACTATCTCTTTGTTATTGTTAGAAAAAAATACTCCATATAATTTCTGTTTTTTGACATTTGTTGATACTTGCTTTATAGTCCACTATATCATTATGCTTTGCTAGTATTCGCTGGATATTTGAAATGCATGTGTATTTTGTTGGATACAGAGTATTCTGTGTGTCATTTAGGTGGAATCTTGTGAATATTTGACCCTGTCTTGTGATTCAACTCCTCTATAGTCTGTTTTTTTTTTAATCTTCTGGTTTTGCTTGTAGATTTTTAGATTGCTTCTTTAATTTCTGTCAGATTTTCTCTACACTTTTGAGGCATTTTATTAGATGCATCCAAATTTACTACTTTTATATCTTCCTGTTAGATTGGCACTTTTATCATTACAAAATGTTCTTCTTACTTTCCAGTAATGCTTCCTGTCTTTAAGTTTACTTTGTCTGATATTATTATAATCACACCAGCTTTCTTTGGTTCACATTTGCAGAATATGCCTCTATCTCTCACTGTTTCAACTTTTTTGTACCTTTATATTTTAGGTGTGCATTATATAATTGAACTTTTAACTCCAGTCTAACAATCTCTCTCTTTTAATTAGAATATTAGTTCATTCATATTTATGTAGTTATTATTATATTAGGTTTATATCTACTACCTTGTGTTTATCTATCCAACCTGTTTTAAATTAATTTTTCATTTCTTTGTGATTAAGTAGTTTTACTACTTCACTTTTCCTCATGTTAGTTGTTAGATACACATTACTTTGCTAAGCTTTTGATGTTATCTTAGATAACACAGTTTGTATTCTTGCTTTATTATAGTCTAATATCAATTGGTCCTTTTACTACTTCCCAGAGAATGCCAGCACCTTTGAACACTTTAGCTCCTCTTATCACTGTGCCTGACTTTTGCGCTAGAAGAT
The DNA here is from genome assembly GCF_000001405.40 of Homo sapiens. Taxonomy (NCBI): domain Eukaryota; kingdom Metazoa; phylum Chordata; class Mammalia; order Primates; family Hominidae; genus Homo; species Homo sapiens. The sequence continues at coordinate 34,815,276 of NC_000015.10, read as the reverse complement.
GTTACTATGTTGCCGTTGGCTTCCACCTTGTTGAGAAGCCATTCTCATTGCTATTACCACTTATTTGATAAAAATGTATCTTTTTCTTTGGCTGCTTACAAGATTTTCTTTTTTTCTCTCATTTTCAGCACTTTCATACGATGTGCCTAGTCCAATTTTCTTTGTGTTTACTCAGTTTAAGGTTTGTAGAAATTTGGACTTGTGAATTAATGTCTTCCTTCATTTTAGAAGAATACTTTTTTTTTGAGATGGAGTCTTGCTGTGTTGCCCAGGCTGGAGTGCAGTGGCATGATCTCAGCTCACTGCAATCTCTGCCTCCCAAGTTCAAGTGATTCTCCTGCCTCAGCCTCCTGGGTAGCTGGGACTACAGGTGTATGCCACCACACCTGGCTAATTTTTGTATTTTTGTAGCGAGGGGGTTTCACCGTGTTGGCTAGGCTGGTCTCAAACTCCTGACCTCAGTAATCCACCCATCTCAGCCACCCAAAGTGCTACGATTATAGGCATGAGCCATGGCGCCCAGCCACTTTAGTAGAATTCTTGATCATTATCTATTCAAATATTGCTTTTGTCATATTCTCTTCTCCCTTTCCTTTTTGAGCTCCAAATGCATGTGTACTAAACTTTTCACCATATTCCATTTGCCTTTTAGCTCTTTACTGTATTTCTTTTGCTCTCTAAGCTTTAGTCTGGATATAGTCTAGTACCTTAAAGCTCACTAATCCTCTTTTCAACTGTGTCAACATGCTTTTAAATTCATCTACTAAGTTATTCATTTGCATAATATTTTCAGTTTAAGAATTTCATGTGAGTCTCCTTAATGGATTATAATTCTTTGATGAAATTACCTATTTGCCATTTATTATCTTGAACATAGTAATCATTAAAAAACCCATAAGCTGTGTATCCGGATCTCCTGCTGGTCACTTTCCATTGTCTTTTTTTTTTTTCCTTGTGATTTTTCAGTGATTTGATCTGGCCAAGTACTTTCTTTGTTACTTGCCAGATATTATGTATGAAAAACTATAGCAATGATTTGAGGCTCTGTACAAGGTTATCCTCCTCCAGGGGATATTTACTTTTGATTTTGACAGACAGGGTACTGCCAATCACTTCCAACTAGCCTGGGATTGAGCTGACTCAAAGTCTGTTTGCTGTCAGTCTGTCTTTACTCCTAAGATGTAGCCCTTTGTGGATCACAGCTGAAGGACTGGTCTTTTACCACGGACACTCTTCTTCAGCAGGCCCTATACTCCAATTCTTTCTCTCCCACCCCAGCCCCATGAGACTGCTTACACTGCTGCTCAATTCCTGAGCCTTTGCTGCCAGTTTTTTCTCAGCTTCTGCTCTACTTGGGTCTCTCTCTCTCTCTCTCTGTATCTCTCTCTCTCTCTCTCTCCCCTACAAATTGGCAAATACCACAAGGGAAAAAGCAGCAACAGATACTGGGCTCAACTCTTTGCTTCCCCTCTCTCAGCCACGTTAGCCCCTAAAGTTCTCCCTCCTTTGATAATGTGCCTGTGTTTTCAAAGAACTTGTTTAAAAAAAGTTTATGCAACTTTTCCAGTTGTACTGGGTGGTAACATGCCAGTCCATCATAGCCAGAGTGGAAACTTTTGTCATTGACGTTTAAGTGCTCATTGACAACATTGAATCAGAGGAATTCCTCAAATAGGAATGGTTTCCTGTAAAACTTCACAGTGTCCTATCTCTGTTGAGTCTGAAAATAAATAAATAAATAAATAAATAAATATATAACTGACTTTACTGTGTCAGTAAATTCTACATTTAAAAAGTCTTAATTACTCAGCTGTTTAAACTGAGGAAGTACAACAGGAAGGTCAGAGATACAGCTATAATTTAATTTTATCTCTAAAATGAAATTGTTTGCTTATTTTATTTGTCCAGTTGGGTTCTTGAGCCACTGTAGCAGTACAAGCCACAGACAAAACCCCTCAGACACCGAGATAGGGAAGGGAGTGGCTTTAATCAGCTGGGAGCATCGGCAGGCTAGTGTCTTAAAATCCGAGCTCGTCAGATGCTGAACTTCTGTCCCTTTTAAGGGCTCACAACTCTAAGGGGGTCCGCATGAGACAGTCGTGATCGATTGAGCAAGCCAGGGGGTATGTGACAGGGGCTGCAAGCACCAGTGGTCCGAGTGAAACAGAACAGAACAGGAGGTTTCACAGTGTCCTTCCATACAATGTCTGGAATCTATAGATAACATCAGTTGCTAGATCAGGGGTCTAATTTTAACTACCAGGCTTAGGTCAGGCAGGCCCAGGCCTGGTTTCGGGTCTGGTTCCTAGGCACCAGGCTACCTGCCTTTAGTTTTGCTTTTCTTTCCTTTTCTGAGTATAAAACAATATAAAACAATATGAGAGGGTCTCTCTCTTCCCTCACCACCACATATCATAATGATTTTGATTTTAAGCCAGATTATTATTTTATTTGCCTACTTACGAAAGCTTAAAGGATAGGTTTTATTTTCTCAAACTGTAGACAATTCTACTTGAGCTACTCAAAATAGTGTATTCTAAATTCATAAAAAATAACATTGAGAAAAACACTAGATCAGTCTGAGAAATACGAAAAGAATGATTACTAAATATGTTTAATTTATAGGCATGTGACTCAGACTACAGCTGGGAAACCAGCTCTCCTTGGGAACTTATTTAAAATCTCAGATTCTGTAGCTCTGCCCCCAAGAGATTGTGGTTCCAAAGATTTGAGGTAGGGAGTTTCCAAATGATTTCTTTGTAGGTAATCTCAAGACACACTTGGAGAAACACTGGTTTAGAGAACTGAGTTTAGATTTAATTATAGCAATTCCTCATATCTACTGTGTTCTATTTGTGTTTCATGAAAACAATGAACTGGAGTTTTAAGAATTTCATTACATTTAATTCTTAATATAATCACTATCCATAGTAGCTCATATTTGTTGCACTAGTATAGTATAATAGTGAAGTATATGGGCTTTGGATTCAGATTGCCTGGGTTCAGATTCTAAGCCAATCCTAACTACCTGTGTGACTAAGGCAAGTTACTTAACCCAACTTCCCAGCTTCCTCATCTGTGAAACAGGAGAAATAATACTTCACAGGGTTAGCTGGGGATTAAATTATTATAATGTATGTAGTGTGTTTATCAGTGATAAAAGCACTTTTAAAATATTAAGTATTTGCTAGGCATGGTGGCTCACGCCTGTAATCCCAGCACTTTGGGAGGCTGAGGTGGGTGGATCACTTGAGGCCAGGAGTTGGAGACCAGCCTGGCCAACATAGTGAAAACCCATCTCTACTAAAAGTACAAAAATTAGCTGGGCATGGTGGTGCACACCTGTAATCCCATCTACTCAGGAGTCTGAGGCACAAGAATCGCTTGAACCTGGAAGGTGGAGGTTGCAGTGAGTGGAGATTGCATCACTGCACTCCAGCCTCAAAACAAAACAAAAAAAATATTGCGACCAACTTGTGAGTAGCTGCCATAATGTTCTTGTTTTACTCATGGGGAAATTAGGTCTAGAAAGTTTGAGTAAATTATTCAAGTTCATGTAGCTGGAATGCAGCAGAGGCAGCATGAGGCTCAGGCTGTTAATAAGCCTATGTGTTGGGTCCTGCTCTATACTGTTTCCATGATCCAAATGTCCCCAGCACCCACCCCACATGGTGGGTACAAATGTCATCTCAATAAATACTTAACCCAAGTCAGTACCATTCAGAATGTGTTCCACAGACCTTCAGCATCAGCATCATCTGGGAGCTTCACAGAAATACAGATTCTCATGCCTCACTCCAGACCTACAGAATCAGAAACTCTAGGGATGGAATCAGTAATTTACTGCTTACCAAGCCCTCCAAGTGACTCCGATGTAAGTTTAAGTTGGAGAGCCCTAGGCTTAGATCAATGGTTCTCAACGTTGACTGAACATTAGAATTTCCTGGGAAACTAAAAACTTCCCAAAATGCTCAAATGCACCCAGACCAATTAAATCAGAATTGTTAGAGCTAAGATCCAGGAATCAGTTCCCAAGTGATTCCAATGTGTGCGAGATTCAGAAGAACTACCCTATATTCTTTTGCCTGATAACCCCTCTCTGTGAAACTGAGTGGCATTGGTCCCCTCCCCATCTCTCACATAATTTCCTCCTTGTTCCACAGCTCCGGGATTCCCTAGGGGTATCTCTCAGATGCTGAGGGTAAATTGTGGACTATGACTCCAGCCTCCACTGCCATGTCCCGTCCACTCTGGCCATCACTGGCACAGCCTTTGCACTTATTCCTGGCTGCCAGCATTCAGGCCCACAGATGCCTTCTCCTGGTGCTGAGTCATTCACTGCTCAGTTGCAGATCTGAACCAGGGCAGGAAGTTTAACTCCCTATCCTCTAAGTCCTGCTTTCTCTGAATGCTCCCAGAAGAGGCCCTAGGCCAGGAGAGTTTAGTGGGACAGCTCTGTTTGTTTACAAGATAGGCCTTTGTTTCAAGATGTTCACAAACACTCTTGAAGTAGCTCATCTGGGATGTTTTAGATGCTATTAGTTAGAAGTGTCACTCTCCTCCAGTCTTCAGCTCCTGTGGCCAGTCTGTTCATTGTGCCAGATTCCACTTGAAGTAGCTGTAAATTCTCCTTCTGGGGATCTTCCATTACGCCACAGTTTTCCGATAGTCATCAGCCCCTGATTCATCAAACATGCTTGCATACATTGGAATCTCCTCAGCTTCAATGGCACCTGGCACCACATGCCAGACGTATTACTGGACCAGCCAATGTGCTTTCTCTAAATATAGAGAATAGGATACATTTAGCACTGCTATTTAAATTTCATAAACTATGATCACCTAAGTATAAAAAATTCATTCAGAATCGACTTGATTGAGAAACTGAAATTACTAGATTTTTCACACACTTTATATTTAATCGCCAAAACTTTTATATTTTGAGATAATTGCAGGTTCACATGCAGTTATAATAAAACAATCCAGAGAGCCCATATACCCTTCATCTTGTTTTCTCCAGTGGTAACATCTGGTCTGACTAGAGTACCATATTACAACTAGGAAATTGACATTGATACAACGCGTCAAGTGTATTCAGATAGCACCAGTTTTATATGGACTCAGTTGTGTGTCTGTGTGTGTTTGTGTGCGTATTTAGTAATAAGCAATTTCATCACACACATAGATGCATATGGTCACTACAATTCAGTACAGTTCCGACACAAGGATCCCTCACACCACCCATTTACAGCCACAACTACTTCCTTTCCTTTCCATTTCCTGAAGCCCTGGCTATCATTAATCTGTAATTTTGTCATCTTGAGCATACGATACAAATGAAGTCATACAGTGTGTTGTTTGTACGCTTTTCTTAGTGCTTGCTCTAGGTATTACAATATACAAAGATATCATCATTGTCGAGTCTACTGGTAACGGCATTTTGCCACATCCGGTAGAGTACAGAGACCTTCTTCCATTTAGATCTCTTTACCCTCCCAGGTTCTTAAAGATGATTGTTGTAAGTATTGGCTCTACCAAGATTAGGACCATGTCAGATGCATGTTATAATTTTTGCCTTAACCATCAAATGTGATTTAAGAAACTCATGAGAAAGACAATTTATTATATTTACCCCTATTTCTTTTACCAATTCCAATATTCTTTCCTTTTTGAAGTGTTAAGCCTTCTGCTATTTCCTTTAGCCATTTTTCTAAATAATAGATTTGCTACCAACGAGTTTTCTTACCTTTTGTTCATCTAAGAATGTCTTTATTTCCCCTTCATTCCTGTCAGACATTTTTGCCAGAAACAGAATTTGAGGTTTACAGTTCTGTTCTTTCAGTGCTTGAAAAATGTGCCACTTTATTCTGGCCTCTATGGTTTCAGAAGAGAAATCTGTCCTCATTTGCATTGGTGTTTTCCTATAAGTAACGTATTGTTTCTCTCTGGCTGCTTTCAAGATTTTTCTTTGCCTTTCGTTTTCAGACTTTTAAGGATGATAAGTTTTAATGTGGATTTCTTTGGAATTATTCTATTTGAGATTCTTTAAGCTTCTTAAATCTCTATATTTCTGTCTTTCACCAAATGCAGGAATTTTTCAACCATTATTCCTTTGAATACCTTTTTCAGTCCCACTTTCTCTCTCCTGAGGATCCGATGGTACAAATGTTAGCTCTTTTGTTATTGTCTCACAGGTCCCTGAGACTCTGTTTATGGTTTTTGTTCGTTTGTTTGTTTTTGTTTTTTGAGACAGGGTCTTGCTCTGTCACTCAGACTGTAGTGCAGTGGTATGATCTTGGCTCACTGCAACCTCTGCCTCCCAGGCTCAAGCAATCCTCCCACCTCAGCCTCCCAAATAGCTGGGACTACAGGCATGTGTGACCACACCTGGCTAATTTCTTGTATTTTTTATAGAGATGGGTTTCCACATGTTTCCCAGGCTGGTCTTAAACTCCTGAGCTCAAGCAATCCACCCACCTCTACCTCCCAAAATGTTGGAACTGCAGGCGTGAGCCACCTCACCTGGCCTCTGAGACTGTTTTTATTTTTTTCAGTCTACACTTTTCTCTGTTAATCTGGAGTAAAATCTGTTGACCTGTCCTCAAGTTCACTGATTCTATCCTCTGTCATCTCCACTGTATTATTGAGCCCATCCATTAAGTATTTTATTTAGCTTATTGTATTTTTCACTTCTATAATTTCCATTTGGTTCTTTTTTATAACTTCTATTTCTTTGCTGAGATTTTCTCAGTATTTTTCGCATTTGTTTCAAGAGAATTTGTGATTGCTTATTGAAGTATTTTTATGATGGTTGCTTTAAAATTCTTGTCAGATAATTCCAGCATCTAATTCATCTTGTTGTTGGTATCTGTCAATTGTCTTTTCTCATTCATGTTGCGATTTTCAATTGTATCCTGACAGTTTTTATATTATATTCTGGATCATATTTAATCTTCTTTTATTAGCAGGCAGCCCCCTGTTGAGATATTGAAGACTAGGTAGATGTGTATGTTTAGCTTCCTGACACCATCCTGGCAAAAAGGGAGTGCTGACTCATACTGCCTCACTGCAGTGGGGTGGGTGGGAGGAAGCTCAGCTCCCCATTTGGCCCCACTGACACCTTCCCAGTGAAAGAGAGGCACTGACTCCTACCATCTCCTGGCCTCCAAATGGGAATGAAAACTCAGCTGTTGCAGGAAGTAAGGGACCCCGAATGGAGGGACCGGCTGGAGCCATGGCAGAGGAACATAAATTGTGAAGATTTCATTTTAATATGGACATTTATCAGTTCCCAAGTAATACTTTTATAATTTCTTATGCCTGTCTTTAATCTCTTAATCCTGTTATTTTCGTAAGCTGAGGATGTACGTCACCTCAGAACCACTGTGACAATTGTGTTAACTGTACAAATTGATTGTAAAACATGTGTGTTTGAACAATATGAAATCAGTGCACCTTGAAAAAGAACAGAATAACAGTGATTTTTAGGGAAGAAGGGAAGACAACCATAAGGTCTGACTGCCTGCCGGGTCAGGCAAAAACAGCCACATTTTTCTTCTTGCAGAGAGCCTATAAATGGACGTGCAAGTAGGGAAGATATCACTAAATCCTTTTTCTAGCAAGGAATATTAATATTAATACCCTGGGGAAGGAATGCATTACTGGGGGGAGATCTATAAATGGCCGCTCTGGGAATGTCTGTCCTATGCGGTTGAGATAAGGACTGAGATATGCCCTGGTCTCCTGCAGTACCCTCAGGCTTACTAGGGTGGGGAAAAACCCGGCCCCAGTAAATCTGTGGTCAGACCGGTTCTCTACTCTCGATCCCTGTTTTCTGTTGTTTAAGATGTTTATCAAGACAATACATGCACCGCTGAACATAGACCCTTATCAGTGGTTCTGCTTTGCCTTTGTCCTCTTCCCTCGGAAGCATGTGATCTTTGTTCTGCTTTTTGCCCTTTGAAGCATGTGATCTTTGTACCTACTCCCTGTTTTACACCCCCTCCCCTTTTGAAACCCGTAATAAAAAACTTGCTGGTTTGAGCCTCAGGTGGGCATCACGGTCCTACCGATATGTGATGTCACGCTCGGTGGCCCAGCTGTAAAATTCCTCTCTTCGTACTCTTTCTCTTTATTTCTCAGCTGGCCAACACTTACGGAAAATAGAAAACCTATGTTGAAATATTGGGGGCAGGTTCCTCTGATACTCAGCTTTCTGCTGGGCTCCATTGTTACCAGGGAGTGGGAAAGGAGGGGGCTAACACACACAGCTTTGTGGCTTCAGGGTAGCTGCAGGAGGTCAGCTTCTCACTGGTGCTGCTGAAACCTGGGTGGTGGTGGGGGGCATGGAGGGAAGTAGATGGGCAATGAGAATCCATATCCCACCCCCTCATTTTGCCTGGTTGTTTCTGGGTGAGGGCGGGAGTGGGGACCAGAGTGCCCATTAGCTCTATTTTGCACATCGTTGTACAGTCTCATTGCTGCTGGGTGGGGGTTAGAGGTTCAGTTTGCTGCTGCTCCTTGTTGACTCTACCCTGGTGGGAGAATAGGAGCACTGGCCGCTTCTGCTGGCAGGAAAGGGAAGACTAGCTCCCTGATCAGTCCTACCAATACCACGGGGCAAGTGAGTCAGAGCACCACCATCTGATGCCACAGAGACTGGGGATGGGGAGGAAGATCAGCTCTCAACTCCATCTCACTGAAACTGTGGAGAAGGGAATATAATTTTCCCATTAGTACTTGGCAAGAGTAGGGCAGGTATTACCAAAAAGGCTTCCTATTGCAAGGGCACCAGCTTCTTGGTCCTTTGACTAGGAGGAACAGACTTTTCTTAGAGCTTATTTTGTCTGTACCTGTTGGCAGCTCTAGGTTGGAGGCATCTGCAACACCCTGTCTGGGATATATGAGAGGCAATAACGAAACTTACAGAACTTACCAGCAGTTTGTTTCTCAAGTCCCCAAATCCCTAGGCAGTCCACCTTCTTTCCTCTTTTTAGTTTCCCTAGGTCTGTTTGTTGTGTTATGGCCACAGTTGTAAGAGGGAGCATCTGCAAGAAATGGAGTGCTCCATCTTGACTGGAAGCAGAAGCATGATCTATATTTGATTTTTAAAAGAAATAAATAGATAACAGGTATGTTGATACTAACAGTGAATTCATTTAAGCAGCTTTCCAGGATATTATAATTTTGTTTGGCCCAACAGTCTACATCTGTCACATGTGTTATGCTATAGTGTGTGACAAAAATTAGTTTTCCAAAGGAGAATATTCTGGAAATAACTTCACAGTATCAAAGAAAATTAAATGATCTTCTCTGTAGTTTTGTGTGGGCATATCAAGATGAACTTAATTCTCTGAACAATGGTAGTTTTCAACTTAACTAGAAACCAAATTCCTAACCAATTTGGCTAAAAGAAATTTTATTACATCTAAAAAAATTTGGAACAGAGTTAGATTATAGACCAAATATGAAGACAGTTTTAAAAATAACAGTGCTGGTGAAAAAGAGCCTTAATACTCACAGATGCAATGTCTTTCTTAAAGTATATGGACGTTATTACGTAGACATCTCCCCTGGGCAAATGAGACAAAAGTATGCTTGACTTTCAGCAAGAGGATGTTACATTAGATTGTTTTCTTTCTTTCTTTAATAGATAAAATTAATATATGCTTCTGGAAAAATATTCAAATAATACCTAAGTAAAAAATGGAAACTGTAATAATTCCTTCCTCCCTTAATCTTCAGTACTCTTCCCATGGTTAAGAGTTTTGGTTTGTTTGGTTAGATTTTTTTTGAAATAGGCTTCAGTAGTCAAAGATTTATGTAAACAGTAGAACTTGAAATCATTCACTCCCTAAAGACTTTGAAAACCAATCATGGCAAATGACTTAGGAAAAGTGGGGAAGAGCTTTCTCTTGGGTCTGTTCCAGCTTTCAATTCGTAAAGAATAAGATGTGGCTACACTTTAAAATATACACAGAAACACACACATTTCACATACTTTTCATCTGAAAGGACCAGTTCAGTGCACCTTCAGCAGTGTGCTTATTTCTGACTTTACTTGGAACCCGGAAGTTGTCTTCTTGGAAGTACAGCATGTGGTACACAGTGAGCATTCAGTGAGTATCTGTTGAACGAACTGTAATTATTTTAAGAGGGAACAACATATTTTTGTCTTCCTCATAAACATGATTCAGGCAGAAAATAATGCAAAAGCTTACAAACATAATCTATTCATCAACTAGCCCTCATAGACTCAGCTCAAAATCCATAAACTATGAAGTCTTGCCCAAGGACCCTCATGAGAAGGGCTCGCTCCCTTTTTCCAGCCCCTCAGGCTTTGTTTAATACCCTTTCGTGCTGCTTAGCACAGATCTTTGTGGTGGCTTGCTGGGTTTAGGTACTATCTAATAGAATGAAAACATTCTCTTGGTGTGCATACACCATCTCATGCACTCTAATATTTCCCACTGTTCCTGCCACAATGTCTTGCATAGAGAAGGCATTCAATAAATATTGATTGAATGAAGAAATTGAATAAACCACATCTTGATTTCAAGGGAACACCAATTTAGCCACCGAATTGGCTTTTTCCTTTTGTTCATATCTACATTTGTATGATAAGCATCACTATTTTGATTATATTTAGTTAGAAAGTATGATGTTTCAAATCAAAGAGTTTATTCATCTGTAATATTTTGCTAAGTTGTTTGCAAAATGAGACACTTGGGACACATTTGAATTTCTACGGTGACAGCAAGCCTTGAATCTCCCAAAGAAATTATTTGAAACCCTTTGTTCAAAATCAGTCGCTGAGATCTGAATGTCTTCTTGGTTAATGCTGAGAATTTAAATAGCGTTCAGGGAGACCAGGAGGGTAAAAGATACTTCATTGGAAATGACACATGCTCTAAGAATAGAGCATTATATTTTCCTATCATGCCACATTTCTTTGTAAAGGTATATTCATTTCACACTTTCAGTGTGGTGATTATGAGATGTTATCTGGACCATTTACATTCACAAATATTTGAGAAAACAAAGAACATCTGTTCATTCTTGGCTGCTGCCTGATACCAGCCTTAAGGTTTTTAAACCCTGTTTATGTGATTGTGACTGAATCAGATGATTTGGAAAGATGTACTCAATCTATCCTTTTGACATTGCAATGAAATAAATGTAGGAAACAGAAACAATAAACCTTTCATTCATGACTGATTCTCTCAGATACACACAAACATATTCCAGGTGAGAAAGTAGGCAAATTTAACATTTAACCTTTCACATTTAGTCAAAATAAGAGTTAGTTTCCAGATAGATCAAGGAAAACTCTGACTACATAAAGATGTAAATTATGGAATAATATTTTAGGGTTTGATATTTAGGCCTGAGGTGTGCACACTTTTAGAAGGACCCAGAACACTGGAGCTGTTCTAATACATAAGGCTTTCTGCCTCATGGGATCACTTTTGCCTTTTCTCTTATCATTTTTGGGGCCCACATCCCTGAGTTGGACAAAATAAACTCAGTATAAAGTTTTGCACTGCCAGGTATGAAAGCAAAGCCTGAGCCCCTTGTAACTGCATTTGTCTGTGATTCTGATTTAGCATTTTCAGTTTTCTATTCAGAAAGAAATGAGAGGGAAGAGGTGTTGTAGGCCACTCCCCCATCACCCTCTTTCTACCCTCATCCCTCTCTCCTCCGCCTCGCCCACTACCTTGAGTCAGCAGCTTAGTGATGCGATCCTTGGGTGGACACCAGAAATGGTCAATTATGCCAATCTAAGAGATCAGCTCAAATTAAAGCTTCAGGGCTCTCCCTCTGAAACTTCAAGAGAGGGGCTCCGGACTCCTTATCATCACTGAACAGGGAACACAGAAAGTAGATGGCTACATACATTGGTGAAGGAATGAGCCCAGTGTGAATCTTTTGTGAAAAATATAAGTAGTGTGCTGTAATATTAAATTCACTAGAATCTCTCACTGGAAAATTGCATGTTTAAAGAGAGTTTGCAAAAACATTAACTGAATAGAGAGCACTTTGCTTGTTCATCCTTAAAGAATGTTCTCACCTTAGGGTTACCCAACCATTGCAGGTATTTCTTTGATGATGTAGTATTTTACTCTGTTCTGTCCTTTGGGTCATGCTCAAGGTTGTTCTGATCACTTTTCAAGGCCCATATCATAGTTTAATGGCTGATTATTTTCTCTTCTCAGTCCTCAAAGGCTGGCTCTTCTCTCTGGAATATCATAAGCCATAGGCCTACTTATTTGGATGGGTGCCAGCATTCACGCACAAGTAACGGCTTAAGAAGGCTTTTCAGTTGTTTTTATTTTGTACGTACAAGTTCTGTAGGTACACAGTGCTAGCTTTAGATAAAGCCTTTGTTATTATTTTTAATTTATGAAATTAAATAAGAGGTGGTTAAGATGAACTGGTTATCTGTAGTCTAAATTAAGAACAATTTTGATAATAAAATAGCTGTAAAGATGTTTTTCTAAAAGAAGTGCTTTCAGACCCTCCACATGAAGACAATGCCTTCAGCAGTATATTCATATGGTTTAGTTTTATGTTTGTGGTAGACCAGTTTTTAAACTACAAGTTTGAAACAGTTCAACAGCTGACTTGGAAACCAGAACCCACCCTCTGAAATACATAAGTGGGATATATAAAGATGGTATAATCCCAAGGGCAGAGCCTGCTCTGAGTTTGACATTCTTTAGTTCCAGCTGTTGACTAGAGATAATTTACTTTATAATAGTAGGACCAAGAAATGCTTTTAATGCAAATTCTTTGCATTGCATGTCTCTCTTTGAAGAACAAGTGGACATTCTTGCAGACTACCAGAATAGGAGGCTGTTTGTCTTTTCTCAGCCCAGCGGCTATAAGTAGATATGGAAGCCAAGGCCTTATGAATTTTATGCCACATTTAGTTTTATTTTAGGGAGGTTACAATATAGAGCTTTACTGTTTTTTCCTAGTTTATCACAATAAACACATACTATATTAATAATGAGGGAAATATTGTTTTAAATTGCCAGTTGTACTTACCATGTTAAGAGGAAAATCAAAATGACATTATAGTTTACAGGTAATGGGTTTTTTTCATTAAGCAATATATGCTATTTATTTATTTATTTATGTTTGAGTCAAGGTCTTGCTTTGCCGCTCAGGCTGCAGTGCAGTGGTGTGATCACAGCTCACTGCAGCCTGGACATCCCAGGCTCAAGCAATCCTTCCACCTTAGCCTCTGGAGTAGCTAGGACCACAGGTGTGCACCACCATGCCCAGCTAATTATGTATTTTTGTAGAGATGGGGGTTTCGTCATGTTGCCCAGACTGGTCTTGAACTCCTGGATTCAAGCAATCCACTTGCCTCGGCCTCCAAAAGTGCTGGGATTACATGCATGAGCCACCACACCTGGCCTATGCTTTCACTGGGATGGAAAAAACTACAGATATATACGCAAGTCATGGCAGACTCTTAGCTACTTGTAAAATGGCCATCCCAATTGTAATTTCAAATGTTCTCCATTGTTCCTACAAATTCATTCTTATCTATCTATTCATTCATTCTTTGTTTTGTCCCACACAAGATTTATGCCAGCTTACAAAGATAGAGAGAAAAATGAAAACTAAATTAGAAGAAAAATAAAAATAAAAAATAGAGATGGGTGTGTAAAACAGATCAAAATGACCTATAATCGCTGTAACAATTGGGCCACATATGTGGTTCTCTAAAATTTTTCTTAGCCAACACCAAAAGTGAAACCTTAGCTGGTCACTAGATTCAGGGAACACAAATCAAAACAAACTAGTTCGTTGGTAGATGTGCTTCTGCCCTTGGTACCAGAGTCAGACAGGGAATTCTCCCAAGGAGGCTTATAAAGAAGATTGTGTCCTATGATGAACATCCATGAAAACATCCTTACAATGTCCTTACAATAGAGATGGTGACCTACTCTTACACAGCCCCTCAACATAGGCTGGTGACATCATATCAAAGAACAGTTGGGGCTGGGCACGGTGGCTCACACCTATAATCCCGCACTTTGGGAGGCCAAGGCAACTGGATCACCTGAGCTCAGGGGTTAGAGACCAGCCTGGGCAACATGGGGAAACCATGTCTCTATGTACAAAAAAATTAAAAACAAAACAAAACAAAGAGAACAGTTGGGTAAAAATGGATTCTACAGCTGGAAGTCTGCCCAGCTTCATCTAGAAACTGACCATGTTGACCATATACACATAGAAAGTGGCAGGATAGTGCCAGCCTCTAGGAAATTCTCAGGAAATGTCAACAATTAGTGTTACCATCACCAATATTGTGTGTCAGATGAGTGCTTGATCTTTGCTGGGGAAGAGATGGGCTCTACATGATGCAGGTGAGTGAAAGCAGCCTGCAGGAGGTTTTCTGAGCTCACAGTTCTTACTACTGATGCACGTCTCCCAGCCCTTCTGCTTGCAGGTCAGGCTTAGATCAGACATTGTCATGGTTGGGCTCTCCAGGAAAGATGGATTTGCTCCAGGTAATACTTGAAACACTGAAACTCCATAAATAAAGTCACTGCCAGTGTGCAGAGCAAGTCAAATCTGAGCTAAGAGTAGTAACTTCCAAGCAGAAACTCATGGGCGTGAGCATTTCATTCTTGACAGACAAACTCCTTTTAAGGAATTTAAAAGGCTATCTAGAAATCCTTTCTGATTCTTTCCCGCTGACGTCACCAGGATAGAGGAGACTGAAAATGTGGTCTTTAGTCTGAGTGCGGTGGCTCACGCCTTTAATCTCAACACTTTGGGAGGCCGAGGCGGGCAGATCACTTGAGGCCAGGAGCTCGAGACCAGCCTGGCCAACATGGTGAAACCCTGTCTCTACTAAAAATACAAAAATTAGCCAGGAATGGTGATGTGTGCCTGTATTCCCAGCTACTCAAGAGGCTGAGGCAGGAGAATAACTTGAAACTTGCAGTGAGCTGAGATTGCCCCACTGCACTCCAGCCTGGGGGACAGAGCAACGCTCTGTCTCAAAAAAAAAAAAAAAAAAAAATGTAGTCACCAGGATCCAGAGAAGCATCTTCCTTCTATGTTCCCTTCTATGTTCTCCCTCCTCCGTGCCCCTTCCTCCTTCCCCTGCCCTCCTTTTCTGAGTCTTATTAAATGGTTCATTACAGTTGGTCCTATCATGTTAGAAGACAGTGACGGCTGGGACCTGCCAAGAACAGAATCCATCTGGGGCCAAATACCCTCTGCCTGGGTTAATCCCCTTGGTGGTTGCATATAAAACACGGGGAAGTATGCTGTGAAGATTAGCCATGCCTCATATATTGGACTCTGAACACCAGGATGTGTGGGGGCCTGCAGCCCTCACCATCATGTCACTTTCTCCTTTCAATGAAAACTGAAACCCAGATCCAGCCAGAGGGCAGTGGGGGTGAACAAATGTGTAGGCAAAGAAAATAGGAATGTTTAGGAAGGCTAGATCCTCCCCCCGGTCTGATCTAAACCGAGGCTCTCCCTCCCCCGGCACACAGAATGCAGGAGGGACAGGAGGTGATGGGGAGGGCTCATGGGGAGGAATTAAGTGTGGCTCTGTCTGTTTCTGGCTTCTCTGTAAATACTGTGACACCTCCGAACGGAGGAACAGCTGAGATAAGTGACTGCTAATCCCCCAGTGCCGGGGAGGAGGCTGGGCCGCTCCCTTCCAGATCCCAGCAGATGGTGGATGAAACAGACTTCCCCCGAGGCAAGGGCAGTGGGAACTGTCCCACCTTCTGTTCCTTCAGTTTGCCCTGCACGTCTCCCTCATGGCCAGTCCACGCCGAAAAGGGCTTCACTGGCCCTCAAGAGCCCTGGGGACCCGCCCCAGCTCTGCCATCCCACTGGGATCTACAAGGTCAGCCAACCTGGACTCCAGCCAGCACTGGCAGCTTGGGCAGCATCCAGCAAAGCTCTGTGGGCTTCAGAGAGAACAGCCAAGCAGTGCGGCTAAGTTTTTCACTCTGCAGAGAAACATACCTAGGGGAGAACAGTGAGGGCTCATTTAAAATGCAGATTCAATCTTCCAGGGTGGAACCCAGGAATCTGAATTTCTATGAGGCAGTCTAGGTAATTTGGCTGGAGGCGGTTCTAGCATCACATTCTGAGAAATAGCAGACCAAGTATATGTGAAGGTATTTTTGGTGGTGGTTGGGAATAGGGCTTAAAATCAGGTGCCTGAGTTTGAATTGTCACTCCACCATTTGCTCACCTGTGTGACCTCAGACAAAAAAGGCTCAGTGGTTCCCTACCTCATAGGATATAAACTGGTCTTTCTCAAACTGCAGGAAGCACAATTTAGTCACAATTAGCAATAAAAAAAATAACACTCGGAGACTGCACAACAATGTGAATGCACTGAACACTTTTGAACTCTGTATTCCTAAATGGTTAAGATAGTAAATTTGATATATGCATATTTTACCATAATTAAAAAAAAATCTAGAATGTACCAAAGAGGAGATGTCATTTTTTTCTTCTTTGTTTTGTAATTTTTTTTGAGATGTCATTTTTATATGCTTAAAAAGCCAATCTCAATTTTCAAATTAAGTGGATCTGTAAAAAGTAGTTTAAATAAAACTCAGTCATGAAATCTTACTTTCCTGTTGGTTTACATTTTAAAATATATAAAATAGGGTTCAAAGTTTTTAAAATGTGGAAATCAAGGCCAGGCTTGGTGGCTCATGCCTGTAATCCCAGCACTTTGGGAAGCTGAGGCTGGCAGATCAGTTGAGCCCAGGAGCTTGAGACCAGCTTAGGCAACATAGTGAAACCCCGTCTCTTCAAAAAATACAAAAATTAGCGGGGTGTGTTGGCATGTGCCTGCAGTCCCAGCTGTTTGGGAGGCTGAGATGGGAGGATCAGCTAAGGTGGGAGAATCGGCTAAGGTGGGAGGATCACCTGAGCCTGGGAGGTTGAGGCTGCAGTGAGCCCTGATTATACCACCGCACCTGATTATACCTGGGTAACAGAGGGAGACCCTGTCTGAAGCAAACAAACAAATACATAAAAATAAAATAAATAAAATGTGGAAATTGAGTGGTAATACAAATAGTAAATATCAAACAATCATAAATTTTTAAGAAATAAGCATTCGTTCTTGCTACACACATAACACATATGAAAATACACTGTTTTGAGTGTTAGGCAATGAAATTGAGCGGAATAGGAAACACATTTTTCAAACATTTTAAGGGTGAATATTGTTTCACAAAACTGCTGTTGTGTCCTGCACTGTTCTACTGGCCTCCCACTAGAGCCAATGGTCCTGAGATGAGGGGGCTGGAAGTGGCCTCCTAGATCCCCGAAGCCTGTGCGAAGGACAAAGGTCAATAATCATGGTTTTCCATTCCTGAGAGTCTTTGCACCTATAGCAGTCATAGTGGGAGTCTCTCACCAGCCACTCCCATGCAGAAACTCTTTCTCTCACACAAATGTTCATAAACTTCAGTTCTGCTCTACTTTTAAAAACGAACAACACATCCTGGGGAAGGCTTTCTCGGCAACTCTTTCAGACCTCCATTCCCTTTTTGTGACTATCCTGCTGATACCTCTTCTTCCCTCCCAGTTTGTGCCATAGCTGTCTGACTTTTCTGTAATTGCCACGGAGGATGAGTCCTGCTCTGTTTTATTTATCACTGAATCCTTAACTAGCACAGTTCTTGTCCTGCAAAGATTTGCTGAATCAATGAAGAATGAAATCAACCTGATTCTTTAAAAGGCAGAGCTACTACTGCCTCCAAAAGTATCATTATTACACATACAATTTGCTTTGTATCTTCCATATTACTTACAGCATTTGTTTCTAACTATTACAATACACAATAACTTCTGCAACAAGTGTTATGGTATCACTTTTGAGAGGGAAAACTTGGGGCTTGGGAAGGTTAAGTGTCTTGCTCAAGACCAAACAGATAGTTAGTAAGTGATAAAGGCAGCATTTGAGCCCAGTTCTGTCTGGCTCTGACACCAGTCCCATTTCTCCTTTTCCTTGGTTTTTCTATATTTTCACGAGACAAGGCAGTTCTACTCTTGGCATCCTGTCAATAAACATTTTCACTGTAAAATGCCTGCTGTGCTGCACAGAGTAATCTCAGCCAGGTCTCTTACCCGACCCCACCACACAGCTGCCCATCGCGTTTCTTCTCCAGACCAACCCAAACATGGTTGGGGAGTTCAGAGGGGAGGGCCCAGCATTCCCCAGTCGGGACAAGTATCTAATCAGCAGGCCTCCTCAGCATATCAGCCCAAGACCACTCTAGAGAGAGATGCCAGTGCCCAGTTTTCTATTTTTAACTGGTGTGAACTGGAGGAAAAACACAAGCATTAAAAATCAAAGCTCCAGTCAAGAACTGAGAATGCAGGGCACCCCAGGGCAAACTAGTGATCTGTGTCCTTCTTACATCTCCCTCTTCCTTCTCCCTCTCCTCATTTCATGTCATTTTTCTTTTTCCTTCTCAAAAGTTCAAGATCCTGCAAAATCTGTTTTCCACAGAGGAGATGATATCTGTCATTTATGCCAATGCTTCTCACACTTTAATGTACATACCAAGCAAATGAGGATCTTGCTGAAAAGCGGATTGGGATGGCTCTTGAGATTGCATTTCTAGCTCATTTCCAGGTTATGACAATACTGCTTGTCCATGGGCTGCACTTTGAGTAGCAAGGATTGGTGTAGTCCTATAGTTTAAGTTGTTGCTATGTTCTCCATCAAAGTATTTGCCTTTGCAGTCTTGTCTCCACCTGGAGTGAGGGCCTCTGCCCCCAGTTTAAAGATGCTCATCTCCCCACCATCAAGTGGGCAAGCTACTTTTGGCATTTGTTCCTTTATTCACTTTGGCAGCAGGGGATCCTTTTCTGGCCTGAAGACCAGAGTCTGAATTTGAGCAAAACCCTGCAGCATGGATGAGGGCTACCCAATAACTGGGCTGGGGTAAACCTGGTCCCTTCTCCAGCAAGACTTGGCCAAGCTCTCACAGAAACCCTTTTCTGACTCTTCCCTGGCCAGACCCTGATCCATGCATGGGTTGGAACTCGGGTGGCCTTGGTTAATCTCAGCTTTCTGACCTAGATGAGCCCAGCACCAGCTCTCTGAGTAAAGCCATTCAGGCTGGCGGGGACTAGACCAGAAGGGTGCCCTGTCCTGGGTGCCCCTTTTGCAGCCACTCAGATGTGCTGCTGCGGTGTCCTTTGTGCTGGTGGCAGCCCTGGAAGATGAGAAGCCGCTGTTGCTCCCCTGCTGCCCTGGCCCAGCTGTCAGGACCCCTCAGCAGAGGGCAGGGCGCCAAGCCTTCCCACTGCATGTGGCTTATTGTCCCCAAGGCTGGCAGGGCTGCGGAGGACCGAATCCACAGACCATCCAGGGAGCACCCACACCCCAGAAAGGGGGAGGGGTGGGCTGGCGTCACTTAGTCTTCCCCTGCCCCCTACCCTTCAGCGCCTGCCCCTCCCCAGCTCCCTATTTGGCCATCCCCCTGACTGCCCCCTCCCCTTCCTTACATGGTCTGGGGGCTCCCTGGCTGATCCTCTCCCCTGCCCTTGGCTCCATGAATGGCCTCGGCAGTCCTAGCGGGTGCGAAGGGGACCAAATAAGGCAAGGTGGCAGACCGGGCCCCCCACCCCTGCCCCCGGCTGCTCCAACTGACCCTGTCCATCAGCGTTCTATAAAGCGGCCCTCCTGGAGCCAGCCACCCAGAGCCCGCTGCCGCCGGAGCCGAGCCGACCCGCCCCGCCGACGGTGAGTCAGCGCCCGGCCCTCCGCGTTCACTCCTCGCCTGGTCCGCGGGCCGCGCCGGACGCCAGCCCCGCGCCGCCACCTGGCCAGCCCGGCCCGCATTCAGCCAAGGCCCCAGCTCCTGCCGCTCTGCGACTGCCTTTTTTTTTTTTTTTTTAAAGCCCACACTTTTTGATTTGGTTCTAACTTGTTTTGTCCTGGGCGTTGGTCCTCGCAGGACCTCGCAGGGGCTCTAAGAAGGGGAATTTTGTGGCTCCCCAAGGGGCTTTTGGGTCCCTACTCTCGTGCGCTTTCCCCTCCATCTGGGGCACAGGCATGGCGATATGGACAGGGCTGGAGATCGAGTTCCCAGTTCGTGAAAAGGAAGAAAGTTAAAGGGCTGGGGAGGACTAAGGGGCTGGGTTTCTTGGGTCCCTCCTTGCACCTGGCACCCTAGCTGGAACTCCTGGCCAGGGAGCCTGGGTGGATTCCTCTGCCCTTCTCTGTCCCCAGTCTCCTCCGCGGCTTCTTCCCTCCCTTTTATGATTCGAGGGGAAGGGAGGTGGCAGGAGTGTTCCCCGCCCAACCCCCTGTCCAGTCCCCACAACCCCCTTCTGCTCTGTCCTGTCCTCTGGGTGCGGAGAAGGCCAGCTGCACAGGCAGCTAAGCGTGGTCCGCCCTCCCCTCCTCAACCTGCAGAACCCCCTGAAGCTGTGCCAAGATGTGTGACGACGAGGAGACCACCGCCCTGGTGTGCGACAACGGCTCTGGGCTGGTGAAGGCCGGCTTTGCGGGCGATGACGCGCCCCGCGCTGTCTTCCCGTCCATCGTGGGCCGCCCGCGGCACCAGGTAAACTTCCCGCCGAGCCCCCCGTCCCACTCGGGACCCCTTCAGTCCAGCGATCTAGGAAATGGCTCTCACCTGACCCTCTTGTTCGATGAACTCTTTAGGCCAAATTAAGAGAAGGCTGATTGACTTCAAATCCAAGCCAAGGCAAGCAATACTCCACAAAACCCCAACATACTGAGGAATGTACACCTGAGTGGCACGCCTCTAAAAGGGTCCCACTCCCTGGTGTGAAAGCCACCTGCTTCTCTCCACTAATGGCCTTTTGGACTTTTAGTCTTTAGTGTCTTCTCTGCCTTATACACTTCATTTTCTTCCTTGTCCTCTCTTTTCAGTCCTGTTTAAAACTTCTAACAATATCACCTCTCCCAACCAACCAGGACCAAATCCACATTCCTCTCTCATGTTCACAGCCAGTTTACAGGGTTCCCCAAAGGTGTAATCAATCTATCTCCTTCCTGGCTGTTGCATTTTTAGAAGCCAGGCGTGACAGAGGCAGCAAGTGCCATGGTGATAGTGACATACCACCTCGTTTGTTAAAAGACATGCCATGCTCTCTGGGTTTGTCACATGCCTGGCCAGACAGGCTGCCAAGCAGGAGAGCTTAGTCCTCAGAGCTGGTGAATGACTCCAGAACAGCTCTGGACAGGCTGAATTTCACTGTTGGAGTGAGGATGGCATATCAGCCCATCATTATGTGTTCACTTGAATGTCAAAATCTTTTTCTTAGGAGAAATACAATGTGTCATTAATTCAGTCATTCCAAAATGCAGTCATCTATATTCCAGTTGACATGGGTGATGAGCTTAATAACTTAATGAAGGCATATGATATTTTTAAGGTGAGGTGAGGCTCTGCTTCTTCAGTGGAATAGCTTCATTCTCTCCTGAGTTATATTCTCAACAATAGAATTATACATCTTTGGGGGAGTGGGGAGAAGGTAGAAGATTGATTTTTAAATAATTCTTCTAAATTGGGGTAAAATCGTATTGCTTGTTATTTCTGGTATTTAAATATGTTCCTTGACTTGGGCAGTTAGATATAAATGGACAAGACACTGATTATATTCCTGACATGGTGAGAGCATGATTTTCTCATTTTTTCTTCTCATAGGGAGTTATGGTGGGTATGGGTCAGAAGGACTCCTACGTAGGTGATGAAGCCCAGAGCAAGAGAGGCATCCTGACCCTGAAGTATCCCATCGAGCATGGTATCATCACCAACTGGGACGACATGGAGAAGATCTGGCACCACACCTTCTACAATGAGCTCCGTGTGGCTCCCGAGGAGCACCCCACCCTGCTCACAGAGGCCCCGCTGAACCCCAAGGCCAACCGGGAGAAGATGACTCAGATCATGTTTGAGACCTTCAATGTCCCTGCCATGTACGTGGCCATCCAGGCAGTGCTATCCCTGTATGCTTCTGGCCGTACCACAGGTATGCTGGGCTCTGGGGACAGTTACTGATGAATCACATTCCCAAGTCACCGACCTTGCTGTGAATCAGATCCCCCAGTTGAAAAAGGGATAATCCCTTTCCTCCCATTCCCTAGCAAGGTCTGTGCTAAGAGAAAGAGTTAACAGTAGTGCCCTGAGGTTAGTTTCGGAGCACAATTATTGTTGGAGCTGATAGCTTGTGGAGATAGGTCCTTCCCTCATTTAAAGCTCAGCGCAGTGTAGCAGCTTGGAGTGCAGCAGTCATTGTTATGTGTTTAAACCATCACATCACCTGGGCAAGCATCCCCAAGGAGAATACATTCCATACAGGGTCTGAGTCAAAAGAGAGAGAAACGTGTAAGTTCAATAGGAGCAAAGAAAAACACCCTTGGGTGCTTACATAATGTGCTCGTGGCTGACAAGAAAGATGGTCATTTGAAAGTGTCCTCGGGAATTTTTTCTACTATAATAGTTAAAAAGATGAGCTGCAGTTTGCTTCAGATTTAGTATTCCTGATGCGCATTTTTATTCTTTGTGTGTAAGGAATCTAATTTTATCTGGATCAATGCCCATTGCTAGCATCTCTTAGCCAAGATTGGAAGCGGGCTTTGCCGTGGCTAGAGCAGTGGTGTTGTCCTCAGGAATTTACCTTGTTCTTGTCTACTTCCCCGGGCAGGCATTGTTCTGGACTCTGGGGATGGTGTAACTCACAATGTCCCCATCTATGAGGGCTACGCTTTGCCCCATGCCATCATGCGTCTGGATCTGGCTGGTCGGGACCTCACTGACTACCTCATGAAGATCCTCACTGAGCGTGGCTACTCCTTTGTCACCACTGGTGAGTGTGTGTGTCTCATCTGCCACAGTGTGGGTCTGCTTTCCTCCTCTCTCACTGAATCCGCCTACCTCCCTATAATTGACTTCTTGCTTCAGAGCATGACTGTGATACTCTTTATTTCTGTAGCTGAACGTGAAATTGTCCGTGACATTAAAGAGAAGCTGTGCTATGTCGCCCTGGATTTTGAGAATGAGATGGCCACAGCTGCCTCTTCCTCCTCCCTGGAGAAGAGCTATGAACTGCCTGATGGCCAAGTCATCACTATTGGCAATGAGCGCTTCCGCTGTCCTGAGACACTCTTCCAGCCCTCCTTCATTGGTGAGTTGTAGGGTCTGGTGCAGAGGCACGATTTTCCCTGGAAATCTTAGGGTCTCCCAGAGTA